>NC_000007.14:101900718-102203748 GCF_000001405.40 Homo sapiens | reverse complement strand
ATAGGCACAAACACCCCCCACAGGACACAGATGCCGCCCTGGGATATTTAGGGGCTGCATCCGATCACTCTTTTGAAAAGTTCTCAAGTTCCAGAATAAAACTGCACTCACGGGCCAAACAAGTTCAATGTTATTAAGTCTCTGCTAAATTTAAGGCATGAGCACGAATGTCTATTTCAATGTTCTCAAATGGTATTTTTACAACACTGAACTAGAAATCTCAAGGGACTTGAAATACTCATCCTCATTTCTAGTCGCCCCCCTTCACCTTTTGCAAAATCAGGGCAAAGTTCGCCATCGGACACCACCGGGATTCACAGCACAGCATACGGCAAACACTGAGTGGAAGGCGGGGTGGGGAGTGCGGGGACGGCGCCATGCAGGGACCCTGGCTTGGCAGGGGAGGGGGTGGGATTTGTCCCCTGCTGATCCAGCCACGTGCTCCCTCAGGAAGGTGCCTTTTAGGGGAGAGGGGTGCTTCTCCTTCTATTCAGCACTCCGTTATTTAATCTAAAATGGTAGGGGGTTGGGAGGCCAAGGCAGGCAGATCACTTGAGGTCAGGAGACCAGCCTGGCCAACATGGTGAAACCCTGACTCGACTAAAAATAGAAAAATTAGCTGGGTGTGGTGGTGGGCACTCGTAATCCCAGCTACTCAGGAGGCTGAAGCAGGAGAATCGCTTGAACCCAGGAGGCAGAGGTTGCAGTGAGCCGAGATAGCGTCACTGCACTCTAGCATGGGCGACAGAGTGAGACGCCATCTCAAAAAATAAATAAATAAAATGATACTAGGACATGATGTTTATTTTAGATTTGGCAGGCACGGTTAACCCTCATTCTCCTGAATCTCAGTGACCAGGAAAGTGCCAAGAACAGAAAGGCCTAGAAGCTCGTCCATGCACGATTACACTTTCCTGAGCCAGGGAAGGATGATAGGGAAACACGGGCCACCCTGCTTGGGCCATCCCCAAGCTGTGTGTCCCCGGGCAGGTTGCTTGACCTCTCTGACTGAACAATATCCAAGAGTTACACAGAAAGGAACAATAATGCTCTCTGCAGCTTTTTCTAGTAAGTCCCTTTTGGCTCTCTGCGTACTGGTGGTCCCTCTGTGTGATCAGATGGGATTTTTTTTGGCCAAGGAAGCCTGCAGGGGTGCCTCTCAGCTCCCCTTGGCAGCAAAAGCTGGATGTGGACTCGGCTGCCGGTCAGCTTGGGGCAAGTAGTTAACGTCCCCAAGCCTTGGTGTCCTTCCCTGTCAATTGGGGATTTTACCATCCACTTCCCAGCGCCAAGTGAGGGGTCGAAAGGGCAGCATGCAGGTGAAAGGCTGAGCCTAGAACCTGGCTGCAGTCGGGGCTCGGCAAATGGGATCGGGGCTGCAATGTTCACCAGCCGCACCTTGGAAGTCTGGGAGCAGAGGATGCCTTACGCTCTGCTCTTGGGTGAATTGAAATGGGTGAGGGTCACAGGCTGCGGGATAGATACTTGGTCCTCAGCAAGGAGAAGAGATGGGAGAACCAAAGCCCCCAGAGCAGATCCCTTACCTTCTCCCCGAAGATTCTCTGGCAGATGCCGTTCTTGGCCAGCTTTTCCTTAACCTGCCGGGTGAGCTCGATGGTGTCCACCTCCTGGTACATGTAGACCTCGTACTGCTCGGGGGTCAGCGGGGGGACCGAGGGCTTGGTGGGCTTGGACATGGGCACGATCGGGGAGGATGGCAGGGGGCTGTTCTGTGGTGTCTCGCTGCGGCTGGCCCCGGTCAGACTCAGCTCTGAGCTCTGGGAGTATGGGGACTCAGCGCTGGGCCACTCCTTCCAGTACTCTGACGACGAGGGTCCCTGGAGCTGACTGCGCTCGGCCCGAGGCTGGCTGCCACCTCCGCTGCCACCGCTGCCCTTCTCTTTCCCGCCGCCCGTTTCTTCGGCCTTGGCCTCCTCGGAGGAGGCGGCATTTCTTCTCTCCGGCTGCACCGCGCTCCACCAGTGGTCCTTCCAGGCACCGCTGCGGCCCACCTCATTTTTCACCTGTCTCAGGACCCCTTGTGCACAATCGGCTGCTCCCTGGGGGTCCAGCCCGGGGGCGTCCTGGGCCTCCTTTTTGAGGGCCGGGGGGTTCGGCAGAGCAGAGGCACCGGCCTCAGGAGCTGCGGAGGGCTTCTTCAGGGAGATGGCGAGAGGTGGGTAGCTGGACACGGTGGGCATGGGCGAGGTGGACAGAAGCTTGGGGGTGAGGATGGTGATGTCACTCTGGGACAGTGGTGCCTGCTTTAAGGCAGGGTCGAGGGCAGCCTGCTGGGCCTCCATCTCCCGGCGGGCTTGCTGCAGGATGGAGCGGATGGCGTCATCAGAGTTCCCGCTGCCGGATGCGGAGGAAGGCTGGGCCGGCTCTGCTGCATGGAGAAACAGGGGTGAGAGTGTGGCAGGGCGGCCCCCTTCAGCTGGGGACATGCTTCTCATCCTAACTTGACCTACTGCAAAGTGTGGGTTATTTGGGAGAACCACACTGTGTATTTCCCCAGCATGGCCCCTGTCAGTGAAACATTCAGGCATCTTGTCTCAACCAAGGACCAGGGCCTGACACTACAGCTTGATGACCTGGTGGCCTTTGGTATACACACAGATGTAGAGGGTAATAAAGGGGGTGTCAGTGAAAGTGCTCCCCGACCTGCCCTCCTGGGGCTCCTTTCCCCGAGAATTTTTTTTTTTTTTTTTTTTTTTTTTTTTAGCGACAGGATCTCGCTGTTGTCCAGGCTGGAGCGCAGTGGCACGATCACGGCTCACTGTACCCACCCTCCACCTCCCTGGCTCAAGCAATCCTCCCAGCTCAGCCTCCCAAGTAGCTGGGACCACAGGTGCATGCCACCATGCCTGGCTAGTGTTTTAAGAGACAAGGTCTCTCACTGTGTTGCATAGGCTGGTCTTAAACTCCTGAACTCAAGTCATCCTCCCCCATCAGCTTCCCAAAATGCCAGGATTGCAGGTGTGAGCCACCGCGCCTGACCTCTGATAATTTTTATACTTGGTATTCATTTTCCTGTGCTATATTCTGAAATGCAAGTGGTTCTGTCAAAGTTAAGGAGCGTAATTTCTGTGAATAATTACAACTAGGGGCCAGGCGCGGTGGCTCACACCTGTAATCCCAGCACCGTGGGAGGCCGAGGTGGGAGGATCACTGGAGGTCAGGAGTTCGAGACCAGCCTGGCCGACATGGTAAAACCCCGTCTCTACTAAAAACACAAATATCATGGGCATGGTGGCACATGTCTATAGTCCCAGCTACTCGGGAGACTGAGGCAGGAGAATCGCTTAAACCCGGGAGGCAGAGGTTGCAGTGAGCTGAGATCGTGCCACTGCACTCCAGCACAGGCAACAGAGAGAGACTGCATCTCAAAAAAAAAGGTAACTATTAGGCAAATACAGATCACACAGACCTGCTTCTCTCTACGTGCCTAAATGCTTGAGAACAGGCATTCATTATTGTTTAAAAAAAAAATAGTTAATTACTGCTGACCAGAGCACTCATGACAATTCTCTTAATTAAGTTTGAAGACAGTGGATGAAGAAATGGAAGCTGTACCAGTTTTCTGCACTTGGAGCTCCCTCTTGGCTTGCTCTAGGATGGACTTGATGGCTTCATCAGAGCCAGTCTCCGAGGCTCGGATCCGGGTGGTGATGTTACCTGTGGGGAGAAGTTGCGCCAATGACATCAAACCCAAACCCCGGACAAAAATCAGCGCTGCGCGAAGACGTCATTCTGATATATAGCCCCGGGTGGGGGCTGGTGACACAAGGAGGCAGATGTGGCCTCCCAGTGGCCTGTGTTTGCTGTGAGTGCAACTTCACAGCGACACCGGGCAGGAGGGATTTCCTGCTCATTTGACCTTACGGTCAATGTTACTCTGCCAAAGCCGGACACCACCCGTGGGTTAGTACCCGGGAGAACCGATCATTTAATCCATATATATAAAAGGCGAGTGATTAAAAGGCAATGTTTCTCATGAGTCACTTAGAAGCAACTGCTGTGGCTTGGGACTGACTCTCCTCGGGGTTAGATGTTTATTGGATGCTGGGGTCCCACACAGGATAAACGGAAAAGGAGGGCAGAGGGTTTGAGGCTGATTGTCTATCAATCATTCAGAGGCACAGGGTGAAGAAAGGCTTAACTTAAAAAATTGTTTGCACCTATTATCACATAATATCTTTTTAAAATTTACATACGAGGAAAGGAGCCTGCAGAAATTCCTAAGTGGGGAGGATGGATTCTTTCGGCCACATGGTGATGTTTTGTGCAGGCACACGTGCCGACGAAATGAGGCTACTATGGCCCAGGGGCTGGCCCCAGCTCTTTCGGGAAGCCACCCGGATAGTTTAATTTCTTACTACCTTCCTAAATAGGAACCACTGCATTCAAAACAAGTATACCACCATTTAAAAACAAGTATGCCACCGGGACGATGTGGGATGCGTCCGTTCCATAGGACCTTGAGTGTGTTTCCGAGTTAAAAATACGAGGAAGCAGCAGTATTTAATTTGACGGGTCACCTGACTTTTCTCAGAGCAACCGCTGTTATTTTTTCAACTGCGTCTGAGAAAAACGGGGGACCGGGTAATTAGGATCTGAAGTGGGCTGGGATTCAGACTCGGGGGGCTTAGCTTAGCAATGCCTCTTCTCACCCCCGCCTGTGCTTGGGAGAGGGCAGGCAGCTCGGGAGGAAGGGGCTGGGTGTGCTTGAACCCGTGCCTTGTTTTATACTTACTAGCTGTTTTTCCATCAGGTTCCAGGCCAGAATCACACTGCACAGTTTTAACCCAAATACACAGCTAAGGACATGCTGCTTCCCTAGGTGACTGACTGCAAAGAAAACGCCTGCCTGCAACATACCTTCAGACCCATTTCTTCGTTTCGGTACTTCCTGAAATAGTCTGTTCAGGCTCTGGCCTGGATTCTCTGTTGAAAAACAAGTGTGGTAAGAACAAAACAATCAGGGGAATGGTGGTGTTGACGATATGGGCTGTGTGACATGAAATCTGAGCCGCCTGTCACTAAAGAAAGGGCTCAGGGCTGCCTGTGCAACTCGGGAGTTTCTAGAATCTTCTGAGAGGCCCTTCCCTGGCTGACCGGCCCGCAGAGGCCGTGGCTCTGCTGCAAAAGGAGATGGGGGAAATCTAAGTAGCGACCTACGGCATTGAGGCCAGGGAGGTCCATGGGAGGGAGGACTGCCTTGAAGGAGGATCACCCGCCAGCCCCCAGAACAAAGCTCGCATTAATCATCCAAAGACATTCAATTTCGGTTAACATCCTCATAAAACACTGCATTTTCTTGGTGCAAATTGATGCTGTTCAAAACATCTCCCTGCTCTGTTTGAGTCTAAATTTCAGGGTGTTTCAAACATGTCTGATGAAATGACCTCTCAATAGCTCTGTTGATGTGGCACATTGATCCCCTGGTCTTAAACAGAAAAGGAACTTTCTTTTTTGTTTTTTTATTTGAGGCAGGTTCTCACTCTGTTGCCCAGACTGGAGTGCAGTGGCTCAATCATGGCTCACTGCAGCCTCCACCTCCTGGGCTCAAGCCATCCTCCTGCCTTAGCCTCTCAAGTAGCTGGGACCACAGGTACACGCCACCACGCCCAGCTAACCTTTTGATTTTTTTGTAGATCAAAAGATTACAAAATATATGTTGCCCAGGCTGGTCTTGAACTCCTGGACTCAAGCGATCCATCCACCTCAGCCTCCCAAACTGCTGGAATTATAGGCGTGAGCTACTGTGCCCGGCTGGGATTTTTTGAAATTATGAATGTGACTGACATTTTATCTTTTTACGGAGGGTGGGGTAGAAAGGGTGCTTAAATAAAACTTTTGTGTATTTTACTCAAGCCAGGCCTGTTTTACTCATAATGCTAAACAAATCACTAATGGACCGTGAACAATGTAGGGAAGGTGGCCATGGGACACGCCCTCTTCTGCGGGGTGGGAAGAGGGGAGGTGTCATCTGTGATGTGTTCTCCCTACAGAACCAGCTTTGCATGAGGATCGAGCCCAGTCAACGTTGCTGCTATGGGGCTGGAGGGGACTTAAGGGCTCCTCCCAAAAGTGAGACCAGCACCCAAGGCCAATTGGACCCGCGGCCACTAAGCATACGGAGACGCTATACATCATGTAATGCAATTCCCTCTGATACGATCTCTAGTATTGAAATACTATAGGGTTTCCTAAGTATGGAGTGCTGAGTGCGTTTCAAAGGCCAGATCTCCCAAATCTAACAGCCTTAACTCATGCCGGGCCACCCTTGAGCTCTGGACGTGGCAGAAGCAAAGAGAACTTTACCTGATGTGATGCACAAATGTTTCATCACGCACACAGACACACGCACGCATGCACACACACATGTGCAACTCTGTGACGGGCTCGCACGCTGGCGCCACCCAACGCCAGTCTCTCACCTCTTTGTCTGCCTTGGATGCTACGGAGGGCCAGGATGTTCTGCTCATCGGAGAGGAACTGTTTCATCTTGTGAAATGGCTCCTTGCCACGAACAGTCAGTTTATTCCATGGCTTGGGCCGGGCCAGAATCTCGCTCACGGACCCTTGAGACAGTCCCAACACATAATGTCCGAAAATACGTTGTCCGATATTGTGCTTAATCAGCTGCTCTTTGACCTGCCGGGCGATTTCTGCAGTGTCCATCTCCTCGCCCTCGGAGACGCTCCCAGCACTTTCTGACTGGCTGGGGGATGGGGCCATGCCATTGACATCTGGGCTTTGTTGTAATGGACTTTGGGAAGATATGGAGTTTGTGCTGTATGGACCTGTTGAAAAAATCATGCTTGTGCTTCCGGCTTCCTGCATAGCCTTGGAGTAGAAGGACTGCATTAGCTGCCGCTGGAGAAGAGAGTTTAGTGCAAATTTTCCTGTAGAAGCCAGGGGTAGGCTGGGGCTTGCCAGGGATGAGCTGAAAAAGTCTTGACTTAACCCCGCTGGTGAGAACTGGTGTGTACCATTAGTATTGGAAGCCTGCTCCCCCGGGTTGCGGGGCAACTGAGAAGGAGGGGGGGCCGGCAAAGATCCCGGGCGCCGACTTTCAGGCTGGTCTTTCCCTTTCCTCCTGGCTGACCCTACAAGGAAGGGCAAACAGAATGCATTATGGGGGATTCCAAAGGGGGAAAAAAAAACCAAGACCAAAATGCAAAAGTTTGCCCCCGCAAAAGGGAAAACAAAAAAAAGTGCAGGTTTTTTTTACAAGGGCCAATGAGGTGGGTTGGTTTGTTTTCCGATTAAATTTGTAAGTCAGCCAAACGAGGCTTCCCAAAACAAGCAACATGCATTCATGTTTGCGCCTTTCTTGTACGTTGCAGCCTGGAGAGTCCCCTTGACATAGACTCAAACTCCTAGCGTGACAAGGAGCTGGTGACACACACAGGGAAGAGTTGACGGGTCGCGGGCCTCTTACTGGGCCCGCTGGCCCCGGCCGGAGGAGCAGCAAACACTGACATTTTAGGACCAATGGATTCGCTCGCACCTCTTGCTCTGAGGCGATGCACCGTACCGAGCCCCCTCGATGTGGAGGCGCGCGCCCGTTTTGAGAATGCAATACCATTAGAGCCCGAGACACCTGTACGCGTTTTACCAGCTGCCCAAACCAGAAGCACAGTCAAGTGACGCCACCATTTGGGGGATGAGCCAAGAAAGGCTAAGGATGGGGGACGCGTCCCCAGGGGAAACCTGACCAAGGAAGAAAAACCTCTACTGGACCCGGCAGGCCCGGGGCTGTCCCTGAAAACACCACCAGAGCGAGGCTGGGTTCACACTGCCCCTGGCCTCTGTGCAGCACAACCAGACACAGATCAGAAAGGCCGACGTCCTCCGAGCTGTCCCTCCCGGGGATTCCAGCCGCACTGCCCCTAACTGACCTCCGCAGAGCCTGTGCGGCTGGCCCGTCTCGACATCCAGCTTTAAGCAGGGCGGGGAAGGGAAGGGAGGAGCGGTGAGGAGGAGGGCACCCAACACGCGTTAGTCAAAGGTTCTCGTCAACCGGCGCTTCTCTGGCCATGCATCTGTCCAGACTCACGATTCACCTTCCTCGTCCTCGACCGACCCCTGGAAGCGAACCAACCACCGCACACGCGCGAAGCCCGGCCAACCTACCGCTCAGGTCGCTGTTGGAGATGCGCAGCGCGGCGTTCTCGGACTGCAGCGAGCGGTTCTTCTCCAGCAACAGCACCTCCAGGGGCTTGGCCGCATCCTAGAAGGGGCAGAGCGGGGGTCTCACTGCGGGGCCGGCCACTCACCCGCTCCCGGGGCCACCAGGCCTGGAGCCCTGCCTCCCTCCATCTGTCCGCGTTCCCACCCAGCTCTCGATCTGATTAGGAAGTGGGCTGCGGACAGCTGATTTCCCCCCAAGTCGTTTAACACACGTGGAAAACAAGTTCCCTTTAGAAAGAATGGATTCTAGTTGAAGTCATTTTCCTTCTTAGACTTCCACAGCTCCTAAAAAAATTAATTATTCTCTCATCTGTTCTCAAACTCAAGCGACCTGAGCCCGTGCCTCATTTGGCCATAAGACTGGCTGCCAAGCCACAAACGTCTGTCCGAACGTTACTGTAAAGGGAACTTTTCTTTTTTTTTTTTTTTTGCCAGCCACAAAGATGTTGGCTGTCTTCTGGGCATCAGGAGTCAGATTCCACTTAGGATGTCAATTTTATTTGATTTGATTTTTTAATTTTTTGAGATGGAGTCTCACTCTGTCGCCCAGGCTGGAGTGCAGTGGCATGATCTTGGCTCACTGTACCCTCTGGCTCCTGGGTTCAAGTGATTCTCCTTCCTCAGCCTCCCAAGTAGCTGGGATTACAGACGTGCGCCACCACGCTCAGCTAATTTTTTATATTTTTGGCAGAGATAGGGTTTCACCATATTGGCCAGGCTGGTCTCAAATGCCTGACCTCAAGTGATCCACCTACCTCAGCCTCCCAAAGTGCTGGGATTACAGGAGTGAGCCACCATGCTTGGTCTGGGATGTCAATTTTAATTGGCCACCAGATGACCCTGGGCCACAGTCATCCTTCCCTTGTACCTTCTCTACTGAGGCAGCATGTAACTAAAGTTCCTAAACCAATCCATTTTTGGCTGCTCTTTAATGCAATTAAAAAAAAAATAGTCAGTCTCAATCTGTTGTCCAGGCTGGAGTGCAGTGGTGCGATCATAGCTCACTATAGCCTTGAACTACTGGGCTCAAGCGATCTTCCTGCCTCAGCCTCCCAAGTAGCTGGGACCACGGGTATATGTCACAGTACTTGGCTATTTTTTTTTTTTTTAATAGCAACATGGTCTTGCTATATTGCCCAGGCTGGTCTCAAATTCCTGGCCTCAAAGCGATCCTCCTGTCTTGGCCTCCCAAAGTGCTGGGATTACAGGCATGAGCTACTGAGCCTGGCCTTCTTAAACACAATCTGAAATTGTTTTTTATTTATGTTCTTAGTACCTGCTGAAGTGAAATCACAATTTCACTTCAGTTACCAGTTTGGAAAACACTAGCTTTTCTCTTTTTGCCTCTTTTTGTTAAAGATAATTTGCTTTTTGGTAGTGCCCATCTCCTATCAGTCAGGGATGAAGCAATCCCTTGTTCATCCCCAGCTTGGCTTTTGATCTATGCCTGGTTCATGCCTTGGACACATGGAAAAAAAGGAGACAAAAAAAAAAAGATAATTTGCTTCAACTTGGTTAAATGTTCTTGAAGTATGACTCATCGGCTGTAAGTGAGAGGTCTCGTAGAAACAGTGGATCATGGGATATGCCGGAGGGACCAGTGGTAACCAGCAGCGGGGCTGATGCTAGTGCTGACCATTGAGGTGAGACACGTACCTGTGTCCCAGCGCCCTCGGACGGTGCAAACTCCATGGACTTCAGAATGCTGCAAGAGCACAACAGAGGGGTTATTTTATTTATTTTTTGAGACAGAGTCTCGTTCTGTCACCCAGGCTAGAGTGCAGTGGCGCGATATTGGCTCACTGCAACCTCTGCCCAGGTTCAAGCGATTCTCCTACCTCAGCCTCCCGAGTAGCTGGGATTACAGGCATGTGCCATCATGCCCAGCTAATTTTTGTATTTCTAGTAGAGACGGGGTTTCACCACGTTGGCCAGGCTAGTCTCGAACTCCTGACCTCAAGTGATCCACCCGCCTCAGCCTCCCAAAGTGTTGGTATTACAGGCATGAGCCACCAGAGTGATTATTTTCTACTTATACCTTTGACAACAGCCACATTAATAAGCATTAACATTACAATTTCCTGCTCTCCAGGAACCGAAGAACTGTCAACTTTAACAACTTCCCTGGCAGTAATAGAATCTGATAATGTCTCTAGAATAACTATTCAACTAGCAGTTGGCTGGCAAAAGTTTCTTGCCTAGCATGTAAATCATTCCATATGGAATCACACCAGGTCTGTTCAGAGTATAATTTTAAAGTTTAATACAGACATAACATTGTTGCAAGTGGAATGTATTTGTAAAGCTTAAAGGGAAGGAAAAAGTTGTAAGGAGAAGCCAGAGAGAGGGGAACCCACCAGGGCGGCCACTGCCCACACCTCACTCCTAACTGGCACCTACCTGGGGACCAGGGGACATAGGCAAAGAGCAACCTCCTAGACTTGGATGACTCAGAAGCCAGGTGGGCAGACCTTCTCTGCAGCCCCAGGTTGGGGAAGGAGTGCAATGACAAAGATGTGGCAAGAGAAGGTGACTTCTCCCTCCCTTGTTCTCAATGGCACTGAAAAGGGCCGCACCCTGATCACTACGGTCTCTGGGCTGTCTCAGTGAGTCCAGGTCCCCAGGATTATTACTGTTTCTTGAGTTCCTTTTGCTGTGGATGTCCCTTTTTTGCTGAGTTTACCAGGGAGAAGAGGGGAAGTGAGGCTATGTGGCTTTGAAGGAGCTGCAAGTGTTTCTTTGAAATACCAAGGATGGAAGAGAGAGACCCAGAGCAGGCTGGCTGGACCGTGAGATTTACGACTCGCAGGTGCAGAGTCAACCGGACCTTCGCCATGTTCCTGCAGCCACAATTTCGGCCTCTGTCCCCCTAGTGTGAGCCACCACACCTGGATAATTTATTTTTAGTAGAGACGGTTTTGGCCAAGCTGGTTTCCTGACCTCAGGTGATCTGTCGGCCTCCCAAAGTGCTGGGATTACAGATGTGAGCCACTGCGCCCAGCTGAAAGGGGTTTCTTAAGATGGAATCCTGTCCTTCGTTTCCTATTTTCTTTAGGATTATGTAATAAAAGACCACGTGGCTCTTTATCTATTCTACAGATCTTTACCAGCAGCCTGCTATCCGCTTGTTGCCGTGGGGAATCAGAACCACTCCTGGTCCGTACTCCAGGAAATTTACAGGCCATTACAGGTAATAGGCAAGACTCCAAGTGGTCCATTAAGACAGAACTTGTGAGGACCCCAGCAGGAGGGATCTTGATGGATTGGAGACCACGTCTCAGTGTCATGATGAACAAGCATTGGAGAAGGGCCCTGAAGGGACAGGGTGTCTTGTGCTGCAGTGCATGAGGATCTGAGGTCAGCATCCCCTGTTGCGTGGGGGTGAGGAAGTGGAAATGGGACGATGCTGAGAAGGGGACGCGGGCAAGAGCTCAAGAGCACAGCTGGTTCACCAGGAAGTGGAAAACTAGGAGCGCATTTGGGCAAAGAAGCCACCTGAGTGGGGCTTCCAGATGTGCACATGGTGGTGGGGCCTGTCATGTGCGGACGCAACAGAAAGAGTTAGCAGAAATGCAGTGACAAGCGGGGCTGGTGTGGCAGCCCTTCAGTGGGGGTAGGGGCAGCCTGTGGTCCGGCAGGCTGTGGATGAGAGGGAGTAGAACGGTATGTGTTGCAGGCTGGAGCCTGGAAGCCTCAGCTCCCAGGGGATGAAGTGAACGTGGGGGTTGGGGGAGAAGAGGAGGAGGAGGAGGAGCAAGAGGAAGAAGAAGAGGAAGAGGAAGAAAGAAGAAGAGGAGGAGGAAGAAAGAAGAAGAGAGGAAGAAAGAAGAAGACAACGAAGACGACAATGAAGACGACGACTAACTCCCAGGGTGAGGCTGGGCAAAGGCCTTCGCAGCAGTTTCTCTGGCTCAAAATTAAAAGGCCCAATTTCTTTTTCTTTTTGGAAGAGGGAAGAAGAGGGAAAGGAAGGAAAGAATGGGATAGGAGAGGCAGGTAGAGAAGGTTAACCAGGTAATGTTTAATAATAAGTTACATGTAATCCCGGCACTTTGGGAGGCTGAGGTGGGTGGATCACCTGAGGTCGGGAGATTGAGACCAGCCTGACCAACATGGAGAAACCCCATCTCTACCAAAAATACAAAATTAGCCCGGGGTGGTGGCTCATGCCCGTAATCCCAGCTACTTGTGAGGCTGAGGCAGGAGAATCGCTTGAACTCGGGAGGCGGAGGTTGCGGTGAGCCGAGATAGCACCATTGCACTCCAGCCTGGGCAACAAGAGCTAAACTCTGTCAAATAAATAAATAAGTAAGCAAGCAAGTAAGTAAGTTACAGAGGCTGGAACTGTTAGAGGGATGTAGGGGTCTGTCCGAGGAGGTGCCGGCAGAGGCTTTGCAGCTGGAGAGGGGATGAGACCGCTCAGGGGGAGAGCATGGTGGGGACAGGGACTACCAGGGCCAGCAGACGCCAGGGAGGCTGGGGGTCCCAGGCGAGAGAAGGCAGCTGGTCATGGAAGTGAGATGGTTCAAGAGGATGCCCGAGGAGCTTTTCTTAGCAGAATGGAATTAACAACACAAAGAAAACGTGGTGAGTGGGTGTAGGCTCATCTTAAAAGGAGAAATGGAAAATAGCAGCAAGAGAGAAAGGGGCTGATGGGACAGCAGGAGGGGCAGGAAGGAAGGGACTCAAGGTCTAGGCAGAGGGGGCAGCCTGCAGAGATGGGAGGTGGCACCCAAGACCAGAGGCGGGAGTCTGTCCCTAGCAGAGGGCTAGGGCATCTGTGGATAGTGGTTGGGGTAACAGTGACAAGGGCAGGGAGGAACCCCTGAGGAAGCCTCGAACCAGCAGAGCTCCAGCCGCGAGAAGCACGGGGGACCTGTGGGGCTGGTCACCATGCCCTAGGCAACCTTCGTTTGCAGTGCTTAATAACCTAGGAGTGAGGCGGGCATGCCAGTGGGAAGGCTTGGAATGGCTGACGATCCAGGGGAGCTGTATGAACGTAGAGGGTCTGACCACAGGCTCCAGGCTTGCAGGGGAGGTCAGTGAGCCTGGAGCATTATGGATGTGGGGGGACAGGTAAAGACCAGGACCTGGGAGCTCCAGAGTGCCAAAGCAGGCTCAGGGTGAGGAGGCAGAGGTGGGGGCTGCTGGCCGAGAAAGGAACTTTGAAGCTTGAGAACTGAGAATGCCATCATTAGCCCTGAAAAGATGATAAGCTTTCGGCTACAGCCTCACAGATGGAGAATAGAGTTTGGAAGACAGAGTTCCTGAGTCCAGGAGGCCGGGGCAGCGTGAGGCCATATGCCCACCTTCAACCCGAAAACATTTCCCTCCTGTGCTTTGTTTCTGTTTGGGGAATTTATAGTTGCAAAACAAGGTCATATTTGATCATTTCTGTAAAAGCCCTATGCCCCTGATTCCATACATTCTGGAATACCTGCAATGCACAGCTTTTAGCAAAAGTCCAAAGAATTCAGGGACAGGCCCAAGGGCAAACGCCCACAGTGGTGGGTAGCCCAGGACACCATGCAGTGGTAGAACTCTGGCTGCATTTACGGGCATCTGCTGAGCCAGAGGGCAGGGGGCCAAGGCTTCCTGCCACCAGCCTGGCATTGTTAGCAGATGGCCCTAATGCGCCCCAGCGTGTGAGGGGCCACAGGGCTCTCCGTACTTACTTCAGCTCTTTCTTCACCTCTTCATAGTCAGCCTGGCCTTTGAGTTTTTCTTCCAGTTGCTGAAAACAGAGAAGAATTTGATCAGTGGCCATGCCTGACAACAGGTCGACGGACTTCACCGACGGCATTCACTGCGGAACAGCCAGCTGTGCCTGAGAGGGGAAGCCAGCCCTTGCGAATGGAGTCAACGGTGCTGGGGCCATCTTTTGTCCCTCACGCTCCTGGCCTGCCCAGTGTGAGTGCGTGCCCAGGCACGGCAAAGTGTGTAGGGATGCTGTAAGGTTGTAACGTACAACTTAGCAAAAGCAGAATGAAGGGTGTGGTGGCTCACGCCTGTAATTCCAGCACTTTGGGAGGCTGAGGTGGGAGGACTGCCTGAGCCCGGGAGTTGGAGGGTGCAGTGAGCTATGATTGTGCTGCTGCACTCCAGCCTGGGTGACAGAGTGAGGAGTGGAGACCCTACCTCTTTTTTTTTTAAAAAAAAAAAAAAAAAAGCATCCCCCCCCGCACCCAAAAAAAAGAAGGAAGAATCTTTGCAGAGGTGAAAAGCAGAGGAGGAAAAGTGTACTTTGTAGGAAGTGCCATGAAACAGCAAACAGGAGGACAGGAGGAGAGGCTTTCCTGGTGTCTGAAAAGCAGCGTGTGGTTTTAAACAAAATATATTAGGCTGAGGGACTCATACAGCTGGTTGTCAACACCTTTGGGAGGACCTCTACTAACGAGAGACACAGCCCTTTTGTATTGAGAGTAGGCATCAGATAGGCATCAGGGCAAAGGCCTTTCCACTCCTGAACCCCTGGATGCTGGGGTTTTAGGAGCAGGGACCTGTTCAGTCGAGTGCTTGGTGGCTTCCCTGACAGCCAGCTGGTCTGAGTCCTGCGGGGAGGGCCCTGACCGAGATGCTGCTCCCTCTCAGGGGCCTAGGGGAGGGATGGCACATTTCCAAAGTATGATGACGCTCCAGTGGGCTCCAGAAAGGTCTGTGAGCTCACTGGGGATTGATGTGGCCTGTTTCCTTTTTTTCCTTTTTAATCCTTTTTTTTTTTTTTTTTTGGTGGAGACAGACTCTCGCTCTGTTGCCTAGGCTGGAGTGCAGTAGCGTGATCTTGGCTTCGCTCACTGCAACCTCCGCCTCCCAAGTTCAAGCAATTTTCCTGCCTTAGCCTCCCCAGTAGCTGAGATTACAGGCATGCATCACCACTCCTGGCTACTTTTTTTTGTGTTTTTAGTAGAGACGGGGTTTTGTCATGTTGGCCAGGCTGGTCTCGAACTCCCGACCCCAGGTGACCCTCTCGCCTCAGCTTCCCAAAGTGCTGGGATTACAGGTGTGAGCCACCCCACCCAGCCTGATGTGGCCGTTTCTGCCCACAGCTCTGCAGGGCTTTCTTGTGAGAGGAGCCATTGCTGTAGGGTGGTCGTAGGGGGTGCTTTCTTCTCTGAAGGTGTTTTTGGACTAGTTTGCTTTTGATCTTTTCTAAAGGGAGCTCCTTGGAGGAAATGAGGCAACTCTACATAAAACAAGAATATGGAGGGGCGGTGCCGGGAGGGTGTTCTGGCCATTCAGCATGTTTCCAAGCTAGAGGTGAACAATTGTCATTTCCGGTAACTTCCCCTCTACAGGGTTTCTAGGTATTATGCTTCTTGTTCTTCTTCTTCTTTTTTTTTTTAAAAAAGAGACAGGATCTTGCTCTGTCACCCAGGCTGGAGTGCAGTGGTGCGATCATAGCTCACTACAGCCTCCAACTCCTGGGCTCAAGTGATCCTCCTGCCTCAGCCTCCTGAGTAGCTGGAACTACAGATGCACATCACCACACCCGGTTATTTTTTAAGAGAGGGGGTCTTGCTATGTTGCCCAGGCTGGTCTCAAACTCCTGAGCTCAAGTGATTCTCCCACTTCAGCCTCCCAAAGTGTTGGAATTACAGGCGTGAGCCACCATGCCTGTAGGTGCCCTTGACTAGCCATGGCTAAGACCACAGTTTAAAGCCAACTGAGAACATTCTAGACTTTGGGGAGGAGATGGCACCATCCAAATCCCAACCTGCCCGATGTTTTAAAAATTCAGGGCTGGGCGCGGTGGCTGACGCCTGTAATCCCAGCACTTTGGGAGGCCAAGGTGGGTGGATCATGAGGTCAGGAGATTGAGACCATCCTGGCTAACATGGTGAAACCCCGTCTCTACTAAAAAAAAAAAAAAAATACAAAAAATTAGCCAGGTGTGGTCTAAATTTAGCGTGCATAAACGTGGTCATATCCAGAGAATAGGAGCCGGCTGGGAATAAGGCAGACAGAGGGAGGAGCACACAGAGGGTCTCAGAGCCTGGCATGGCACAGACCAAGAAGGCCGACAGCCTGAGCCTGGAACTCGAGTCTGTCACTTCTGACCTGGGTGCCTATGGACAAGTTAATAAACTTCTCATCTGTAAAATGGGAATAACAGCAATTACTCAAGGGTTTGCACAAAGCAAAGAACCAGTTCAGATGTTGGCAACTCTGGGCCCTCAACAGTGGGACTCTTTGTTTTTTTTTTTAAAGTTATTTTGTAGTGACGAGGTCACACTATGTTGCCCAGGCTGGTCTTGAACTCCTGGGCTCAAGTGATCCTCCTGCTTTGGCCTCTCAAAGTGCCGAGATTCCAGGTTCCTGGCTTGATATTGGGACTCTTAGCACTGCTAAGTCCCATTACAGTTTCTGTCTAGGGGCACGGCTGCAGGTCTTCTTTGAAGGCCTGTGATTGGCCCTAATTGGAAGGTTTTAGGAGTGGAATCCATGTATAATCATGCACCGCATAACGCTTTGGTCAACAAAGGCTGCCTAAGTCCCATAAGAGTCTTTTTTTTTTGAGATGGAGTCTCGCTCTGTTGCCCAGGCTGGAGTGCAGTGGCACGATCTTGGCTCACTGCAACCTCTGCCTCCCAGGTTCAAGCAATTCTCTTGCCTCAGCTTCCCAAGTAGCTAGGATTACAGGTGCCTGCAAAATGTCTGGCTAATTTTTCTATTTTTAGTAGAGATGAAGTTTCACAATGTTGGCCAGGCTGGTCTCGAACTCCTAACACTAAGTGATCCACTCGCCTCGGCCTCCCAAAGTGTGGGATTATAGGCGTGTGCCACCACGCCTGGCCTGAGTCCCGTAAGATTCTAATGGAACATACAGAGAAAGTTGACATACGGCCCTTTATAAAGGCACTGCAGATCAAGCAAGGGAAATGACTAATGCTCAGTAATGGTGCTGGGACATTTGGTTTTCTGTATGAAAAATAGGCATAAATAAAAAAAAATATATATATATATATATACTATCTAGGTTTGTGCAAGTACACACTATGATTGCACAACAACGCATTCACCTATTGACGCATTTCTCAGAACACAGCCTCATTGTTAAGTGACACACGACTGTATTTTAGTTGGCCGTGAGTTTTGCTGAGAGCTAAACAGCTTCCATTGAGGGTTCTGCCATCTACCTAGGGGCAGTTGAACTAGGAAGTCCCCAAGATCTCTTCTGTAAACCTTCTATGACGTTTTCTGTCTTGGGCAGACAAGCTGGATGGAGCCTAGGGGAGGCTGCTTGGCGACGCTTCTCCCAACTGCCGGAGCGCCTGTAACCTGGTCCCATGGATGTCTCCATTCTAGTGACCCTGCTGTGAGTGCCACATCTCAAAACCTGCAGACGCAGGGCTCCCATTGACTTCCAATGCTGAAAATGCCCAGTGTGGAAAAAAGACTAACTGTCCTCAGTGCGGTTCTTCGATCAGAAACTCCTTGTTGGGTTCCCAGAAAGCCTGGTTTCGAAGACTCTGACCCTGGGACGGGCGACAGGCACGCCAGTTTCCCAATGTCTCTGAAGACGCACTCCTCCTGTCAGGTCACGCTACCGCTGGCCGCGTGGTATGCTAGACCTGCGCTTATTCCTAGCATTTCATACGCTATCTGATTTCATGATTGCAAAACTTTTGCAGATGGGTCTGACTACCCAAAGAAAGAAAAAAATCTCTGGGGTCCTACAGTGCAGATCTTGACAGAGCTGAGGCCGGTCCTACGTGCCTGCAGGGAGGAAGTGAGATGCCGGAGAGGCCAGGATGAGCCGGGGGCTCTCTGCAAACCTGGACTCCAGAGTCCGACAGATCCTGGCTCCACCACGTACTTGCAGGGTGAACCTAGATAAGACTCAACATCTTGGGTCAGGTGTGGTAGCTCGCTTGAGCATAGGAGTTCAAGATAAGCACGACAACATAGCAAGACCCCGTCTCTACCAAAAAAAAAAAACAAAAAAAAAACCCCAAAACATTAGCTGGGTGTGTTAGCATGTGCCGGCAGTCCCAGCTACTCAGGAGGCTGGGGCAGGAGGATCACTTGAGTCTGGGAGGTGGAGGCTCCAGTGAGCTGTGATGGTGCCACTCCACCCCAGGCAAAAGAGTGAGACCCTGTCTCTAAATACATAAATAAATCAACCAATCAACCAACCAACCAACCTACCCACCCAGACTTGACTTCTCCAAGCCTCAGTTTCCTTATCTATAAAATGGGGATCATGTTTATATGTTACAGTGCTTTGATGAGGATTAAAAAAATATTGGGTACTTAGAGCTTAGTACAGTGTGGGCACATGGCAAAGTGCTCTGTAAATGGTGGTTAGCACTGTTACTGTCCTTGTTACTACAATTACTACATCCCTGCTAGGTGGGGTTGAATCTGGCTACATTGGATCTGAAGAGAGTCTCTGGTTCTGTTTCTCCAGGGGCTCTGTTCGTGAAGGTCTGCGGATCTCAGCCTGTCACCTCCCAGGGTCCCCGCTATTCTGTAGCAGAGCCACAGAGAAAGAGCACATGTGCCCTGGAGTGGCTCCCGCTGTCAAGGGTAACTTCATGTCCAAGGCTGTGGAAAGAGAATCTGGGAACTGGTCATCTTCCTGAAAAATGCACTTGTCTGGCTGGGTGCAGTGAGTCATGCCTTGAATCCCAGCACTTTGGGAGGCCGAGGCAGGAGGATTGCTTGAGCCTAGGAGTTCAAGACCAGCAGGGGCAACATAGAGAGACCCTGTCTCTACAAAAATTTAAAAATTAACTGGGTGTGGTGGTGCACACCTGTAGTTCCAGCTACTTGGGAGGCTAAAGTGGGAGGATCACTTGAGCCCTGGAGGTTGAGGCTGCAGTGAATTATGATCACGCCACTGTACTCCATCCTGGGGCAAAAGAGCAAGATCCTGTCTTTAAAAATAAAATAAAATAAAATGCATGAATCTAAGGAACACACGTGGGCTTTACACAGACAGGTAAGAAAAGGCCAAGTGTCAGAGACCTGGCTGCCAACCTGGTCCTACCCTAGCTGACTGTGACCTTGGATAACCTTAGCCTGTTTGGGCCTCACATTTCTCATCTGAAGAATGGGGAGATTCAGAATGAATATGGGTTTTCAAAGGACAGTGGTGAGATGTAGGATGATCAAGTGCCAATCAAACACGCCTGTTGTAATAATACGATGGAAAAGATACACGGAGCCCACATGGCTCCAGAAACCTAGCTGGTGCTCCCCAGCTGGGTCCTGAAATGCCAGAAGAATTGTCTATTTGAAGCTCTTAAAAGCCTGGCTAAGACTTAAATGATAATAAACTTTACAATGCCAACTATTTTGGCTTTAGCAAATTAGGTGTTTAATCTATAAACTATGTCTATCTACTGCAGGGCATGGTGTTTCACGCCTGTAACCCCAGCACTAGGGGAGACTGAGGTGGGAGGATCACTTGAGCCCAGGAGTTCGACACCAGCCTGGGCAACATAGCAAGACCCCATCTCTACAAAAGATATAAAAATTCGCCGGGTGTGGTGGCGTGTGCCTGTAGTCCCGACTACTTGGGAGGCTGAGGTGGGAGGATTCCTTGAGCCAGGGAGGTCGAGGCTACAGTGAGCTATGATGGTGCCACTGCACTCCAGCCTGGGCAACAGAGTGAGACCCTGTCTCAAAAAAACAGCAAAGGGGCCTCTGGCAGGTCTGACTAAGGCAGAGACCCAGGGAAAGGTCATGTCTTCCAGGTTGCACAGCCAGTGGTCAAGGTGACAATATCTCTTTTCCATAAAATTCTGACCGTGGGGGCAGAGTGGCATCTGCAGTGCAGATAAATGGGGCCAGGCTCCACATGGTGCTGTCTGACTGGCTCAGGTTAGAGTTGGTGTGGGAGTCTTCGGTCTCACGGGGACCCCCTGGCCCAGGGCAGGGGTCTGAGGCACAGACCCTTAGCTGACACTGCATCTCTGGGGTCCAGGCCTGGGCAGCATGCACCTCCTCTTCTACTGGACAAGGACTCTCCATAGATAAGGACATGTGTCTCCATGGTTCCTCAGGCAGAGGCAGCAGGCATGGAGATTTAGGTTCTGCTGATGCTGGGAGTTGGGGAGGAGCCCAAGGATACTGTGGACTCTGGACGGTGAGTCCAAATCTCCAAAGCAATGGGGTGGGTGCTGTGTATGCTCCAATGATCCTCTCTCCCCAGCCTCCCAGGTAGCTGGGACAACGGGCATGTGCCACCACTCTGGCTCATTAAAAAAAAAAAAATTAAGAGATGGGGCCGGGCGCGATGGCTCACGCCTGTAATCCCAGCACTCTGGGAGGCTGAGGCGGGCAGATGACCTGAGGTCAGGAGCTCGTGACCAGCCTGGCCAACATGGTGAAACCCTGTCTCTACTAAAAATACAAAAAATTAGCTGGTCTTGAACTCCTGGGCTCCGAGAATGCAAGATGAAAAGAGAGACACCCAAGGCCAGAGGGACGGTTTTATACCACCTCTTTTATACCACCTCAGTGCCCCGAGGGACACAGCATCATCCCATAGTGTCTCCATGGGACCCATCAGAACCTCAGGAGTGGGGAAAGAGAAGCAGTTTGGAAAAGACCCCTAGGTGATTCTAACGCATGTGACCATCCACCCAGTGGGAAGCACTGATCTTTAACGCATCTCTAGAAAAATATAATTTCTCCTTCTGGGAGACTGGTGTTCTTTTAGTTAGCCTTTCTTATAAATATCTATTTTAAATCGAAGCTATTGGTAGCATTATCTTCTGTGCTGTAGCAAGTACAGTGCAGTTGACTAGCTAATTATACTGCTTCTATATTAAAGCATTCCAACAGAAGACCACAGAATAGAGAGTTATCAAAAAGCAGCCTTGTCACGGCGGTCGGGCTATTTCATTAATTGCAAAAACAGTTCTTCTTTACAAGTGGCACTATGCTTAAGCACTTGTCAGATTAGGCAGGAGGAAACATCTTCCACTTTTGCGTCTGTTTCCATGCCTAATTAAAGGTTAGCGATGTCCCATGACACACGTGGATAGCGGGGCATTTATGGGGAGCTTTGCTTGAAAAAGTAGAGCCCTGGACAGGACAGACTCGAAGATGTGCAGCTGTCTGGTATCCTTGTGAAATAACAAATCAAATTTGAGGGAAGAGGAGAAATCTCAGTGGCAGAAAGATGGAGAATTTCAATGGGTTAGAGAAAGAAAACCAATTAGTCAGTCCTCTGATATATCCAACTACAGAAAGTATCATTGGAAAGTATGGGTGGAAACAACTCAGTGAACTCAGGACAAAAGATTCTGCCCAATAAGCCTTCTGCTTATGGGAAATGCCCTCTCCCCAAGTGACTGTCACCAAACACCCTGGCACATGTCTCAAAGATCAAGGACCTGCTGCCAAGTGTTCATGGGAAAACCACCTGCAACTCCAAACAGCTGAGCCCAGAGCTGGGAGCTTGGAGCCTCCTCTCCCAAACAGCAACCTGATTCAAGGCCCCATCGTGTGTCCGAGGGTCCCCCGTAAGACATGAAAGAGGGGAAGGGGACAGGAAGAAGAAAGAAAGAAAGCAGCTCCGTGGTAAGTAAAGGTGAGTTCTTTGAGTAGCCAAGACTGCGGGGGCAGGGTTCCCCATGGCAAAAGCATCAGGTTGCCAATTTGCCAAGTCTTATTCATAAAAATATTTTCCTAATAATTGTATTCCTTTAGGTTATATTTGAGGCTATACATTATACACATTAGGAAAAACAAAAAGCCCTCAGAACATATCTCATTCAATTAACCTTATTCCTTTGGGGCGAGAGGAAACCCTGGTTTGGTGAAGTCAGATGCTTTCTGCATGTGGGTTTCGTATCAGGACAATCTGGCAACAAGGAGTTAAGATAATTAAAATCAGAAGTCTTGTTACTAGAAGATATGTTTTGATTATTAGATTAGATGAAGATAAGGTAGCAATGATTTTGGAAGAAGTATCGCTGAATTGTTTCATTAACTGCACGGTATTAAACAATTCCCCCAAGATACGGATAACGAACATTAATTTGCAAAACCGCGTTTCATTTTTTTGTGAAGGCAAACATTGAAACCTTAACTGATTTGGAAGAAATTGCTCTATAATAAAAAATGTGAGGTCTACAGCTTTGCTCTCTTGTAGCCGGTGTGTATCTGAGTCACGCCCTTTAACTTGACAATGGAGAGAAAGGCAAATTATCTCATCATAATGCCGTTGCTGGGGTCAGAAATGGCTGTAACATGAGAAAATGAGATTAAATGTAGAAATAAAAACTGAATCCTGGTACTCATTGGGTAAGCTGATGAGAGAGGAAGAAACGGCGGTGACAAAATAAATGACCTGGTTCGCGGTGGCTCACACCTGCAATTCCAGCATTTGGGAGGCGGAGGCGGGTGGATCACCTGAGATCGGGAATTTGAGACCAGCCTGACCAACACGGAGAAATCCCATCTCTACTAAAAATACAAAATTATCCGGAAGTGGTGGCTCATGCCTGTAATCCCAGCTACTCAGGAGGCAGAGGCAGGAGAATCACTTGAACATGGGAGGCAGAGGTTGCAGTGAGTGGAGATGGCGCCATCGCACCCTAGCCTGGGCAACAGAACGAAATTCCGTCTCAAATAAAATAAAATAAAATAAAATAAAATAAAATAAAATACAATAAAATAAAATAAAATAAAAATTTAAAAAAAACGACCTGGCTGAGGACAGACAGAACCAGGTTTCAACCATTTCCCCAAAGTCGGCAGGACTGTCTCCTCCAAGGGACCCGGCGCTGGGCAGTTCTCAGTGAATGGGTGAAATTCACCCCAAAGAGGCAGAAGAAAGGAGTGAGGGAGGGTCGTGGGAGCCATCAGCATAGGCAATAGATTGCTGGAAACTTAGTCTTGGTATAAATTTGGTCATGTGTCAAAAAGAAAATTTCAATTAAAAAAAAAAAAAAAGACATTGGGCCAGGTGCAGCGGCTCATGCCTATAATCCCAAAGTGTTTTGGGAGCCGAGGTGGGAGAATTGCTTGAGCCCAGGCGTCCCAGACCAGCCTGGGGAACACAGTGAAATCCCATCTCCACAAAAAATTAAAAAACTAGCTGGGTGTGGTGGGGCATGTCTTTGGTCCCAGGGTCCCAGTTACTTGGGAGGCTGAGGCAAGGAGAATCGCTTGAGCCCGAGACTTCGAGGTTGCCGTGAACTATGATCCTGTCACTGCACTCCAGTCTGGGCCAGTGAGTGAGACTCCGTTTCAAAAAAAAAAAAAAAAAAAAGGCAGTGGCTCACGCCTGTAATCCCAGCACTTTGGGAGGCCGAGGCTGGTGATCACCTGAGGTCAGGAGTTTGAGACTAGACTGGCCAACATGGTGAAACCCCGCCTCTACTAAAAATATAAAAGTTAGTCTGGCATGGTGGCGCGTGACTGTAGTTCAGTTACTCAGGAGGCTGAGGCAGGAGAATTGCTTGAATCCAGGAGGCGGAGGTTGCAGTGAGCCAAGACTGCGCCATTGCATTCCAGTCTCGGCGACAAAAGCGAAAATCCGTCTCAAAAACAACAACAACAACAACAACGACAAAACACAATGGACCTAAGTACATCCTAGGACTACTTCATACCAGAAAAGGTTTCCTTTAAATGTTCACAATGAACCCTGACCCACTTTATTCATACAATGAATATACTTTACAGCCACTCATTCCCTCACCCACCCAACATGGAGGTACCGGGTTGGGGAAGGAATGGGCCTGAACGGGCAGCCCCCGGGCAGAGCAGGGAACCCCTGGCCTGGGGCTGAAGCCCTGCCCTGAAGGTCCTGCCTTCTTCGCTGTCAAGACAGACAACTCCGAGAGTCTCCCCTGGCTCTGAAGCCTGTGAATCAAGGGTCCCAGGACCCTCTTCAAATTACACTTGCTTCAACGGATCATAAATACCTAAAGTATAATCATTACTTTTTAATATGTGGAAAAAGCTCTGGGTTCTGCGTCTGGGATAGAAATTTATGGAAAAGCCAAGAGTGCCTAGTGGGAGGGAGCCTAGACTGAAGCAGCACCTGGACAGGGGCCACTGAGGGAAAAGGTGCTTGGACAAGAGAATGTCCCTTAGAAGGTCAGATGTGACTTCCATGGACCTCTGGGGTTTCATTTGGCTCATGCACCGGAAGTGCTGGAGTTATAGTACACCAGCTCCTCCTGTAGGGGTATCCTCAGAAAGCTAGGATGCCCTGCAAAACTCAGTTAAAGAGCCGGGTGCAGAGGCTCAGACCTGTAATCTCAGCACTTTGGCAACCTGAGGTGGACAGATCACCTGAGGTCAGGAGCTCAAGACCAGCCTGGCCAATGTGGCGAAACCCCATCTCTACTAAAAATACAAAAATTAGCTGGGTGTGGTGGCAGGCGCCTGTAGTCCCAGCTACTCAGGAGGCTGAGGCAGGAGAATCGCTTGAACCTGGGAGGTGGAGGTTGCTGTGAGCCCAGATCATGCCATTGCACTCCAGCTTGTGTGACAAGAATGAAACTCTGTCTCAAAAATAAATGAATGAATAAATAAATAAACAAATAAGCCGGGCATGGTGATGCACGCCTGTGATCCCAGCTACATGGGAGGCTGAGGCAGGAGAATCACTTGAACCTGGGAGGCGGAGGCTGCAGTGAGCCGAGATTGCACCACCGTGCTCTAGCCTGGGCAACAGAGCGAGACTCCGACTCCAAAAAAAAAGAGGGAAATGCTGTTTACACAAGGGCTGATGCCAGGGTTTAACATCCAGTCTCCCTGCCATGGACTCCGGGACTCTGCTTGGTGCTACTTTACAGAGGTTCAAGGTTGCCACACTTGCTATCAAGTCCAGAAAGGCAGAGGGTGTGTGTGTGCGCGTGTGTCCAGCCATCCGCCCTGCCTCCTCGGGCCACCCCCGGGCCCCGCAGCCCCCTTACTTTGAGTGTGCTGTTTTTGGCGCTCAGCTGCTGCTCAAGCTGTGAGATCTGGCTGGCCGAATTCTCCCGCAGCTTGGTGAGGCTGGCCTGGAGTCTCTGCACGTCCTCCACCAGCTGTGCGATCTCCCGCTCCTTGGCGGCCAACTCAACTTCTAGGCTGGAGCGGGTCAGCACCTCTATGGCCTGCTCCTGGGGAGGAGAAAAGAGATGACAAAACTGCGCTGGCCTTGAGGCGGGTGCTCGAGGCTACCTGTGCTGGCAACTGAGACAGAAGCTGCACAGATGTCAGTGTGTGGATGGTGATGGCAGGATGTCACTTCTTGCCCTTGCTTGCACTTCCCCTATGCAACCTTCCTCCCCCTGTGGTTAGCTGCCACCTCGATTCATTCACTGGACAAATATGTACTGAGTGCCTACCATGTACCAACCATATAGCAGTGAATCAAAGAAAGTCCAGGCTGGGTGCAATGGCTCACGCCTGTAATCCCAGCACTTTGGGAGGCCAAGGTGGGTGGATGACCTTAGGTCAGGAGGTCATGACCAGCCTGGCCAACATGGTGAAACCCCGTCTCTACTAAAAATACAAAAATTAGCTGGGCTAATTATAGGCACGTGGTGGTGACCTGTAATCCCAGCTACTCGGGAGGCTGAGGAGGAGAATCACTTGAACTCGGGAGAAGAAGGTTGCGCTGAGCTGAGATTGTACCACTGCACTTCAGCCTGGGCAAAGGAATGAGACTCTGTCTCAAAAAAACAAAAAAAAACAGGAGAAAAGTCCCTGTCTTCCCAGGGCTTACAGCCCAGCAGGGATGCGGCAGGATGAGTGAGATGCAGAAAATACACTTATTAGTAATGAAAAGTGTGCGGGGTGACCACTGTCAAAGGAGACTTAAAACAGAGGCCAGAGTCAGAGCTGAGAGGCAGGGGGTTTAGTAAGATGGCCAGGAAAAGACTCACTGAGATGGTGATGTGTGAGCAGAGACCTGGAGGAGGAGGAGGTGGGGAGGGGCTGCTGAGCGTTGGGGAAGAGGGAAGAGTGCTCCAGGCAGGGGAACAGCAGAGTGGGTGGCTCAGAGGAGGAAGCCTCCCTCCAATGCTCCCAAACCACCGAGATTTTCCACCACAAGGTGGGATTCAAGGTCCTTGAGATTCACTGTTAAATTACCCGGAAGCTGAGATATTGTCTGACAAATTGAAAACTCTGTATCAGCATTTTCTTTTTCTTTTCTTTTTTTTTTTTTTTTGAGATAGAGTTTTGGTCTGTCGCCCAGGCTGGAGTGCAGTGGCGCGATCTCGGCTCACTGTAACCTCCGTCTCCTGCGTTCAAGCAATTCTCCTGCCTCAGCCTCCTAAGTAGCTGGGATTACAGGTGGGCACCACCACACTTGGCTCATTTTTGTATTTTTAGTAGAGATGGGGTTTCACTATGTTGGCCAGGCTGGTCTCGAACTCCTGACCTCAAGTGATCCACCCACCTTGGCCTCCCAAAGTGCTGGGATTATAGGCATGAGCCACTGTGCCCGGCCAGTATTTTATTTAATAAAAGAATTAAAAGATGTGGAAAATGTATATTTGGTGTTCCTTTGTTGAAGAACTCTTAGGATAATTGATGTGAAAAAAACCTGGCTACCCACCCCTTAACCTCACTAAATGCTCATTGTGGAAAATACGCAAAATAGAAAAAAGCTAAGGTATTAAAAAAAAAAAAAGGAAAAAGTCAAATCTGTAATTCTACTTCTCAATGACTCAAGTAGTACTTTTTTCAACCTTTAAAAGTAATCACGGGGCCAGGTGCTGTGGCTCACACCTGTAATCCAAGCACTTTGGGAGGCAGAGGTGGGTGGATCACCCGAGCTCAAGAGTTCGAGACCAGCTTGGGCCACATGGCGAAAACCCATCTCTACAAAAAAATACAAAAATTAGCAAGGCATTGTGGTGCATGCCTATAGTCCCAGCTACTCAGGAGGCTGGGGCGGGAGGATTGCTTGAGCTTGAGGAGGTTGAGGCTGCAGTGGGCCATGATTGCACCACTGACCTCCAGCCTGGGTGACAGAGCGACTCTGTGTCAAAGCAAAAAAAAAAAAAAAAAAAAAAAAAAAGGAATCCTGGCTCCTGAAAGATTCTGAAATATTTTCTGCAGGGCAGATGCAATTCTGGGCATGACAGACGGGGACAGGGGTGGAGAGGGCAGAGCTGCATGGTGTCTATGACAGCCGAATCCTGGGGGCAGCTCATGCTGTAACACAGAAAGCCACTGTCCTTGCCGCTGTCCCCCCTCTGAAGTGCTCAGTTTCACGTCCTGATCTTGCTTGTATTGTGGGGAAAGGGTGGCACCGTGGCCCCAGCTGGCAGGTACAGCTGGGCCATCCCATGCACCGTGTGCTCACCACGGATTTTCAAATTTGGGGACAGGCAGGCATTCACTCAGGGAAATAATGTTTTATATCTCCCTCGGGGAAAATGAGGCCTTTACCATTTAAGTCTGTAAAGTTTTGTGTGCAAAGAGGGTACTCCTTCCTGCTTCTTTGATTTGTATGAGGTTGTAAAAGAGGTGTTTCGGTTCTCCTGACCTCTGACAGCTGTGCGCGTGGCCCTGGGGGGCTGGAGCGAGCATCTCCTGTCGGCTTATTTACCAGGCACAGGCTGTCCAGGCCCGTTCTGTGCAGCGTGAGCTGCAGGGATCGTTGCCAATTTGCAAACTGTTGCTGGTGCACAGTGAGGCAATTACAGAAATCGAGAATAAGTGTTTAGAAACTTTTATAGCGATTCGGCATTTCGGTGACATTTTAAATGTCTTTTATATAAAACGATCAGTCTGCCACAGACTGGAAATTTAAAAAACAAAACAAAACTGTCCATCACAGGGAGTCTGGAAAGCACCGCTCTGAATAATGCCGGGCAGGGCCAACGTCACGAGCCCTCCAGGGTAGGAGGACCAGGACAGTGGCACGTGGGGCTGAGCCACAGGAGGGGGGAATGGGTGGGCCTCGGGAGGGCTGGCGGGACCTTGTCGGAAGGAAAGGGGGCTCCATCTCAGGGTGGGTGCCGGGGAAGGGCGGAGGACATGCAGGCAGGTGCAGAGGCTGGCAGGAGTGTGGGGCAGGGCTGGAGGAGTGACAGCTGCCAGGGGTAGCCAGAGGCGCCTGGACATGTGGTGGCAGCCCTGGGGAGTCCCTGCCAGCTCTGGAGCAAGGAGGGGACATGGCAGAAGTGACATGTAGGGAGGTCAGTCTGGGCACAGGTTGAATCATGCTATATCACGTCTTCATCTTAATCTTCCACCCTGAGGGGTGCTGGCCATAGACACTGATTAAAGGGCTTTTACGAAAAGGGTCAGTAAAACCAGCCAAGGGAATGTGGGTTTTACAAGGCGCAAGTCAAAGTGAATGTATCTGGGACAGGTGCTTCCAGTGACACAGGTCAAAGGTGTGGATTTCAGTGCTGTCCCTGGACCCAGAGTGGGGACCGGGCAGCGGGTGGTCGAGGGCTCAACTCCTGCGCCCGGCTGGGCATGGCCACAAGAGCTCGGCCACACTGGCCAACTCCCAGCAACTCAAGCCACAAACTCCTCCTTCATAAAACAGCAAAAATCATCGCTGTCTCGCACGAACTAAATGAGGTGAAAATGAACCCCAAAGCAGTAAGACCTTGGAAATGACACAGACATGACCATCCTCCCTCTATCTGTTTTTTTTGTTTTTGTTTTTTGAGATGGAGTCTTGCTCTGTCACCCAGGCTGGAGTGCAGTGGTGTCACGTCAGCTCACTGCAACCTCCCCCTCCCAGGTTCAAGCGATTCTCCTGTCTCAGCCTCCTGAGTAGTTGGGATTACAGGCACATGCCACCATGCCTGGCAAAGGCAAATTTTTATAGTTTTAGTAGAGATAGGATTTTGCCATTTTGGCCAGGCTGGTCTCGAACTCCTGACCTTGTGATCCGCCTGCCTTGGCCTCCCAAAGTGCTGGGATTATGGGTGTGAGCCACTGCGCCTGGCCCATCCTTCCTTTATCTGAAACTGTGGCTCACTCCATCTCAACACAGTGGGCACTCCCAGTTGTGCTGTCACAAGGACATAAGGGAGAATGAAGAAAGAAACAGAGAGGGGCTTGGGGAGCGATCCAGGGGGCCTGGATGAGAAGCAGCGGCCTGTCAGTCCATAGGGTGATGGCTGGGAGAGACATGGGCAAAAGCTAGAGAGGAAATCAGAGAGAGGAAGAGGTGGCCTTCAAAGCTTTAGGGAGGCTGGGTGCGGTGGCTCACGCCTGTAATCCCAGCACTTTGGGAGGCTGAGGTGGGCAGATCACCTGAGGTCAGGAGTTTGAGACCAGCCTGACCAACATGGTGAAACTCCATCTCTAGCAAAAATACAAAAACTAGCCAGGTATGGTGGCGCACACCTGTAATCCCAGCTATTCAGAAGGCTGAGACAGGAGAATTGGTTAAACCCAGGAGTGGAGGTTGCAGTGAGCCCAGATTGCGCCACTGCACTCCACCCTGGGTGACAGAGCGGGGCTACATCTCACTAAAAAACAAACAAACAAACAAAACTATGCAAAGCCCAGCATGGCTGCAAACTTGGGCCAGCAG
The DNA here is from genome assembly GCF_000001405.40 of Homo sapiens. Lineage (NCBI taxonomy): Eukaryota > Metazoa > Chordata > Mammalia > Primates > Hominidae > Homo > Homo sapiens. Next base: position 102,174,071 of record NC_000007.14, on the reverse strand, counting down.
CTCACTCAGTGACCGCTCACCTTCTAGAATCGGAGATTCCACTGGGATACCCAATGGATGGGTTTTGGCCTTTGCTAGATCTACAGACTCCACCGTTTCTCTGCTGCATTCTGCCAGCCAAGCCCAACAGACCATTTTTCCGCTGGCCCAGTTTCCTATGTTTGCTCCCCAACTGGCTGCAGCTGGAACCCACTGGCTATGTGGGAATACACGCCCGCGGGGAGCCCCACGGGGCTGCTCTGGGGAGACTGAACCGGTGCCATGTAAACACGGCACTTAACCGATGATGAAGTGTTTAAGCGCCCCTAGGATCCACAACGGACTCTACCTGCAAAAACATTCATTTCCTTCTGAAATGTTTTGGTTGCTGCAGTCCAGGATAGTGCCAGAATTCTTTTCAACCAAAACACTGAGCTCAGGGGCCCCGTGTAGACACATCAGAATGGACGACTTCCTTTGCAGAATGAAGCAGGACCCCAGGGGCCAGGGGAAGCCGCTGACCCTGTCCTGAAGGCTGCCTCCCACCCTAGCCATGGTGCTGGATCCAGTTTGTCTAAACTTAGAGGAAGGAACTGTAACAGAGCCAAGGGGACATTCAGTTAAAATTAAGTTCCAGAGTCCATGAAGTATGAAGGACGTGATGGCCTGCTCAATGCAAATCTTTTCTCTACATCCAGGAACACTTCAATCATATCTTTTTTTGTTTTGTTTTGTTTTGAGATGGAGTCTTGCTGTCGCCCAGGCTGGAATGCAATGGCACGATCTCACTGCACAACCTCTGTCTCCCAGGTTCAAGCGATTCTCCTACCTCAGCCTCCTGAGTAGCTGGGATTATAGGCGCCCACCATCACACCCAGCTAATTCTTCTATTTTTAGTAGAGACAGGTTCTCGCCATATTGGCCAGGCTGGTCTCAAACTCCTGATCTCAGGTGATCTGCCCGCCTCGGCCCCCCAAAGTGCTAGGATTACAGGTGTGTGCCACCACACCCAGTCTCATATTTACTTTTTTGGAGACAGGGTTTCTCTCTGTTGCCCAGGTTGGAGCACAGTGGCACAATCATAACTCACTGCAGCCTCTGCCTCTTGGGTTCAAGCAATTCTCCTGCCTCGGCCTCCTGAGTAGCTGGGACTACAGGCACATACCACCATGCCCAGCTAATTTTAAAATTTTTGTAGAGATGGGGTTTCGATATTTTGCCCTGGCCGGTCTCAAACTCCTGGCCTCAAGTGATCCTCCTGCTTCAGCTTCCCAAAGGGCTGGGATTACAGGTGTGAGCCACTGCGCCCAGCAACAAATGTTTTAATTAATGTTAATTTTAAAAAGAAGGCTAAAATCTTTTCTTAGAAGGGAGTCTTAATACCTTGATCTAGATTCATTCCTGGGGAATAATTTAAAAGCCACAGTCTGGGGTGCCAGAACGCCCAATTCAGGTCTTAGCTCAGCCATTAGATTGACTGTGCTTTGGGAAAAGGTGTTTACATTCATGGAGGTTTTGTTTCTTCATCTATATAAAAAAATAGGGCCGGGAATGATGACTCATGCTTGTAATCTCAGCACTTTGGGAGGTGGATAACCTGAGGACAGGAGTTCAAGACCTGGGAGGCTGAGGCAGGAGGATCGCTTGAGCCCAGGTCAAGGCTACAGCGAGCCATGATCACTCCACTGCATTCCAGCCTGGGTGACCGAGTGAGATCCCGCAGTGGCTCATGCCTGTAACCCCAGCACTTTGGGAGGTGGATAACCTGAGGACAGGAGTTCAAGACCAGCCTGGGCAATGTGGCAAAACCCCATCTCTACAAATAATACAAAAATTAGCTGGGCATGGTGGTATGCGCCTGCAGCTCCAGCTAGTTGGGAGGCTGAGGCACGAGAATTGCTTGAACCCGGGAGGTGGAGGTGGAGGTTGCAGTGAGCTGAGATCACGCCACTACACTCCAGCCTGGGCGACAGAAGAAGACTCTCTCTCAAAAAAAAGAAATAACGGTATTCTGTTTCACAGATTGGGTGGAAATAATGATTGTCAATGATTGAATTTATTACAAGAGCAAGTTCTTCTGATGAGACTGTACTCTCTGCAACCAGCCTCATCTTACTCCTTATGGTTCTTCGGGTGTCCACTACAAGCCCTAGCATACGGCAAGGGCTTGACGGAGTCACTGTTGGATAAAAGGACTCCTACAACTGATATGTACTCATTGTAACCTTAGGATGAGGGCTCCATAGAGCGGCCTTGTGATCACTTAATTCCTATTTTACACATGGGAAAACTGAGGTTTGTAAGTGAACTAGTGATGAAATTATGTGCTAGAAATTGAGGGATCAGGCTAGGCGTGGTGGCTCATGCCTGTAATCCCAGCACTCTGGGAGGCTGAGGCAGGAGGATCACTTAAGTCCAGGAGTTTGAGACCAGCCTGGGCAACGCGACAAAACCTAGTCCCTATAAAAAATACCAAAATCAGCCAGGTGTGGTGGTGTGCGCCTGCAGTCCCAGCTACTCGGGAGGTTGAGCTGGGAGGATCCCTTGAGCCTGGGAGGTGGAGGCTGCAGTGAGCCAAGACTGCGCCACTGCACTCCAGCCTGGGCAACAGAGAGAGACCTTGTCTTAGAAAAAAAAAGAAAAAAAAAAAAAACCCAAAACTGAGGGATCAGAGATAATGGTGCCAACTACAACTAGAATTACTGCTAAGGTTTACTTAGTCTTATTACATGTCCAGCTTTGCTCTAAGTTATTTGCTCATAATAACTTTCGCACCAACCCCCCAGTTTACAGGCGGGGAAACGGAGACTCAGGGACGTTAAGCTCCTTTGTCCCCATCACCAGACTGCTGAGCTGGGGTCTGCACTGGGGGCTATGGCTCCAACACCCAAGGTCTTAGCTCCTACGCTGTTCCTTGTCCCTATACAGCATTGAAAGAGAGTCTGGAAACCCATAGTTCAAAGCCACCTTGATCGAGCTGGGAATGTTTGGGCTAAGAGCCATTTGCGCTAATTTCAGAAAAAGCAAGCTGCAAAAAAGTGGTGTGATACCCACTCTTCCTGCTCTATAAACTCGGTGCAGAATGTTATTTTATTACCTCTCTGCCCGCCCACCCCTACCCTCCCAGCTCATCCTGAACTGTTCCTCATCTTGGAAAGGCACAGCGGAAACCCTCAATTTCTCCGTGTCATTCTGGAGAGGCTCCTGGTTCGGGTCTGCACCCGCATGCCAGCGATCACACCCCCAGGCCTGGCTGGGGCATCGTGACTGTGTCTGTGACTGTGCCTGCGTAGCCTCCACCTTGGCCCTGGGTGGATGCCACGCTAGCCTCAGCCCACCCACGCACAGTTAGCAAAGCTCTTCCTTCGACTTTAACAAGCTCCGGCCCCCAATTGGTCAAAGCAAACCCCACCGAGAAAGCAGTACTAGTTAAAACGTGATTCCCAAAAAGAGATGCTGAAAACAAAAAGGAGCAAGCGGCTGTAACTCGAAGGTGCGGAGGCCAGGCGGGGACAGTCCCCCACGGGGCCGGGGCTACCCACCACGTCTGGTGCCTTCTGGATCTGTGAGGCCAGCTGGAGGGAGTGATTGGCCGATGAGAGCTGTTCCCTTAAGGTCTCCGCCTCTCTCTGAGCCACCTCTGCCCTCTGAAGGAAATGAAAAGGGGTGAAAGAGAAAGTACATTCAGTTTAACAACTGACAATTATTACAAGAACATTCATCAATTCATGCCTGACTGACTATAATTGATTTTCCTAAACACTCAACCTAATAAATGCTAGGAAAAAAAACACAGAATGTGATGGATTTTTATTTTAAACAGTACAAGGAAGAAATAATTGAGCGATTATGACAGTAATTTAACGCTAGGAGCAAAGGAATCCCCTGCTGATACTAATACTCCGGCCCACTGAATTTCCCAGACTGAATAAATACAAGTGGAAATCGAGTCTTTTGATTCAATTTCTTTCTATTCTCATAGACCAAGAAGATTTTATTGCGGGATTACTCCTGGGAGTAATTCTCACGGGTAAACAGTGAATTAAAGACACTTTGGCCATTCTCTTCCTAAAAACACGCACAAACAATGTTGTGGTTGTTTTTCTTCAGCAAGGATTTCCATAAACGTACAGGATGTAAATGCCACTGCTTTTGTAAAGGCCGGGCTTATTTCAACATATTTAACCCTTCACTGGACAAAGTGTTTTGAATGCTGATCCTGGCATTTTCAGCCAACCAGGCCAATCCGAGGACGTAGACAGGACAGCATAGACCAGTGCTGGGGGCTGCGGGACAAATGAGTGGACTTTTCCATCATTTGCCTGCAATTCCTGAACAAGGAAACAACCACCCCCAGAGAGCAGATGGGGATTTCCCACTGGATGACGAGGACAGGTCACCCCAGTGCCCACCACCCGACAGGGTGTCTGGGAAAAGACATACCATGGCAAGTTACCCAAACTCACTGAGCTGCTGCCTACCCGTCTGGAAAATGGGAACACGGTCCCTAGCCACGGAAGTGCCCAGGACACACAACTCAGGCAGAGGTCGTTTGTGAATGGCCTTGTGCCGGCTTAATACTTAGGACTGAGGCACAGTTCTAAGACAGGTGGGAGATGGTGGCGAATGACATGGGACACGTGGGCTGAGGTGAAAGTTCTGCTTCTTCCTCCCAGACTTACATTCCACTGCTAGAAACATTCAATCAGAAAAGCCTGGCCAAAGGCTGGGCATGGTGGCTCACACCTGTAATCCTGGCACTTTGGGAAGCCGAGGCGGGTGGATCATGTGAGGTCAGGGGTTCGAGACCAGCCTGGCCAACATGGTGAAACCATATCTCTACTAAAAATACAAAAAATTGGCTGGGTACGGTGGCTCACGCCTATAATCCCAGCACTTTGGGAGACTGAAGTGGGCAGATCACCTGAGGTCAGGAGTTCGAGACCAGCCTGACCAACGTGGAGAAACCTCGTCTCTACTAAAAACACAAAATGAGCTGGGCATGGTGGCACATGCCTGTAATCCCAGCTACTCGGGAGACTGAGGCAGAAGAATCGCTTGAACCCAGGAGGTAGAGGTTTGCGGTGAGCAGAGATCACGCCATTGCACTCCAGCCTGGGCAACAAGAGCAAAACCACATCTCAAAAAAAAAAAGAAAATAAAAGAAAAGAAAAGAAAATAAAAGAAAAGAAAAGAAAAGAAAAGAAAAGCCTGGCCAAGCAGCGTCTCCATCGTGTGTTTTATTTTGTGGCATGGCAGCGTGTGGCTAACAATGGCTGAGAAAGGACTCAGAAAGACAAACAAGAAGTTGGCCTGTCCTGGAACTGGCTGATTAATCTAGTTCTAGGAGGAGTGGCTTTGGCAGCTTTAAGCAATTCTGTGGCAACAGCATTGAATCTATTTGCCCTGCATACAGACAAATTAGGATTTTTTTTTTTTTTTTTTTTTTGAGACAGAGCCTCGCTCTGTCGCCTAGGCTGGAGTGCAGTGGCATGATCTTGGCTCACTGCAGCCTCCACCTCCTGGGTTCAAGCGATTCTCCTGCCTCAGCCTCCTGAGTAGCTGGAATTACAGGTGCCCACCATGCCTGGCTAATTTTTGTGTTTTGAGTAGAGATGGGGTTTCACATGTTGGCCAGGCTGGTATCGAACTCCTGACCTCAGATGATCTGCCTGCCTCGGCCTCCCAAAGTGCTGGGATTACAGGCATGAGCCACCGCGCCCAGCCAATTTAGGATATTTCTAATGGCAGTTCCGTCCGCCCAGGGCGGTGCTGGTGGCCGCCTGCCTTGCCTCTCCAGGAGCTCTTGGAATTACATTCAGTTGAATTCATGTGGTGCCTGGGTGGGTGTGTCTAGGCCCAAGCAGGTCACCTCTGTCACTATCTCTCGTCCACACTGAATCTAGAACCAGCCATCAGGAAGGTGGCAAGGTGACCTGTATGTCCAGGACTGTAGAGGTGATTTCTGGTTCATGCTAATTAATCAACTGGTTTTTTTTTTTTTTTTAATTTCCTGAGATGGAATCTCATTCTGTCACCCAGGCTGGAGTGCAGTGGTGCAATCTCAGTTAACTGCAACCTCCGCCTCCCGGGTTCAAGCGATTCTCCTGCCTCAGCCTCCCGAGTAGCTAGGATTACAGACACACAATGCCACAACCGACTCATTTTTATATTTTTTGTAGAGACGGGGTTTTGCCACGCTGGCCAGGCTGGTCTTGAACTCCTGACCTCAGGTGATCCATGCCTTGGCCTCCCAAAGAGCTGGGATTACAGGTGTGAGCCACTGCATCCGACCTAATCAACTATTAAGACTACAGAAAAATGTCCTCTTCAACAAAAAAGATTTTTCCCAGTTTATTTCCAGATGTGTCATGCCAAGTGTTTCTGATGATCACGTCAAATCACTGAAGAGCTTACGCCTCCCTTGCTGGTCAGTTCAACTCTTGGGCAGAAAATATCTAAGACTCTGCCTGGAATAAGATGTATTTGGAGATATTTCTCCTGGTCTCTTGGGCTAGAAAACCTATTTCTTAGCCTAGTGGAGAAGCTGTTCTGGTGGCAGCCAAGGAGGTGGCCTCACCACCCTGACTTGTAACACTGGCTCTGAAGTGTTCTGGAACGGCCAGCGCTGGGGAAGTCCCGGGCATCTGGTTACAAGGTGTCCCCGGGAGCCTACATGGTCTCAAGCAGGCATTTAGCCGTTCAGAGCGGATACCATCTCATCACAGGGTGATGGTTCACAAAAGAAGGGATCTAGCTGTTGATGATTTCAATTTCTGATTGCATAATTTCTTTCTTTTTCTTTTCTTTTCTTTTTTTTTTTTTGATACAGAGTCTCACCCTGTTGCCCAGGCTGGAGTGCAGCGGTATGATTTTGGCTCACTGCAACCTCCACCTCCCAGGATGAAGTGATTCTCCCACCTCAGCCTCCTGAGTAGCTGGGATTACAGATGCCCGCCATCACGCCCAGCTAATTTTTGTATTTTTAGTAGAGACAGGGTTTCACCATGTTGGCCAGGCTGGTCTTGAACTCCTGACCTCAAGTAATCCACCTGCCTCGGCCTCCCAAAGTGCTGGGATTACAGGTGTGAGCCACCGCGCCCGGCCTGATTGCATAATTTCTGTGGAGCATTTGCACTTGCAATCAGTTTCCAAGTTCACGGACAGTCTCTCTGTGGCCCATCTGTTGGCGGTCACGGTGTCAGACTTCTATCACTTGTGGCTTGCCTTCGTTACTTTCACGCAACTTTCTGATCACATAGTTATTCAGGATTTCTGTCCTGAGGGCGTCGAAAAAAAATACAAAACTCACAAAATGAAGCGTTGAGGTGGTTTGTGTGGTGAGATCCACGAAACAGGAGAATTCAAACTAAAAACAGGCCTAATGGCAGTGAAAGGAAGGAACAGGGAAACAGACACTGATCTGGAGCTGGGATAAATTCATTTCAGGAGCTGAGAAGTAAGCGTAGCCCATCATTGGCAGCTGAGGCAGGAAGAAGGGGGCCCTGTCCCGGGTCGGCGTGTGGTGACACTGGTTTTGAGGCTCTGGCGTCTTCCTGAAGACCCCTGTTAAACCAGCTGTAGCTGTGTTTCTAGATCTGGAACCCCAGATCTAGCGGTGGCGGCCCTGAGACATCACTTCCCTGTGGTCACCGCCGGACTCCCGTCTCCTCCTGTGTCCCTGCAGAGACAGGGCCACTGGGAGCCCTCGTTCTACTTTTGTGTCTGCCCCACCATGAGAACGGCCCCTCGCCAAGCCTGAGCACTGTCCTGGGAGATCTTTCTTGCTCTTTCTTGTCTATTCTCTGTCATTTGCTGAGAAATCAGAGTTGATGCTAGAAACACAGGGGCGAGGAGGATACTGCTTGCATATCAGTGGTAACCCAGACCACGATGGCAGAAAACAGCCACCCGGCAAGGGGACTGGTGGCCACGGGGCTCACACAAGCCGATGCCCATCACCTGGCGATGGTGTCCAGGACATTGTCACGAAGGTCCCTGGCATGTGTGGCCCCAGGCACACCTCACATCCTCCTCATCTCAAAATGGAAGACCCTTTTGGGGGAAATTACTCTTAGCTGGCATCAGGTTAAACTCTGCCTCCCCTCAGCAGTCACCTGGGAGGTAGCAAGCAGCCAGCGACACCGTGTCTCAGGAATTCTTCCTGTTAGAGTCAAGCCAGCAAATACAGAGATGGTTTCCACCGTGAGACCCAGGGGAGCCTCGCTTCTCTGGGGAAGGTGAAGGAGGCTTTTCTGCTCCCTGGGCTGGTGTCATATTCCTCACTGGGTGATTTGGGGAAGGAGAGCCGGAACCAGGGGTCCACGAGGTCACCTCATCCTAGAAGAAGTTCCACGGGCCCCCCAACCCCTGCCCATCCCTCAAGGGTCCCTGAAAGGCCCCAGGAAGGATGGTAAGTAAATGCTTTTGCTGGGTGCTGTGGCTCACGCCTGTAATCCCAGCACTTTGGGAGGCTGAGGTGGGCAGATCACTTGAGGTCAGGGGTTTGAGACCAGCCTGGTCAACATGGTGAAATCCTGTCTCTACTAAAAATACAAAAATTAGCTGGGCGTGGGGGTGTGCACCTGTAGTCCCAGCTACTTGGGAGACTGAGACATGAGAATTGGCATGAGAATTGCTTGAATCTGGGAGGGGGAGGGTGCAGTGAGTCAAGATCACGCCACTGAACTCCAGCCTGGGTCACAGGGTGAGACTCCATCTCAAAAAAAAAAAAAAAAAAAAGCTTTCCCCTAACCGCAGTGCCCGATTGGGATGTGAATACAGGATGTAGACAGCTACTTCCAGGCCTCTAAAGTCTGAACAATTTGACTCATAAAACGTGGTAAGGCATCATGGGAAGGACACAGAGAGGGGTGGGCTTGCAGAGGATAAAGACAGGGCCTTGGGCCAGCTGCAGCCTGGTGGGGCGAAGGTGTGGGGAGAGGGCTGGGGGGTCTCATGTGCGACATGGCCCCAGACCTGTGGAGAGGTGGCTGTGGTTAGGAATTCTCTTGGGAGGCTCATTTTCTTCTCCCTCTGGAACCAACAAGAGAGAACCCTCACCGTCTCCCCTTTAAGGGCAGACTCCTTCCCCCACCCTGCCAGTTTACACTTTCAGAGTGTGGCCTTTGAAGTCCCTGGTTTTATATGGCGGGGGAGGGGGGTTTTCTCTGATCCAATCTTCCACCCCCTTCTTGGCCCCAGGTTTTGTCTCTTGTTCTCTGCTTGCATGGCCATTAAAACTCAGGCTTGAGGACACCAGAGATGAGCAAGTCCCCCGAGGAACAAAGTAGACCCAGGAGCTGATGATGGGCTAAGGCCCTGCTGCCCTACCCGCAGCATGCAATTACAGTGAACATCTCGACTCCCAGAGGTAACTCCATGTCACTGACTCTGCAGGAAGGAGGTCGGGAACAGCTACCACAGCTGGAGACCAAATGCTGACCACCACGTGTCCCACGCTGATGCTGCACCAGTGGCCAAGGCCTCCATGGAGACCCACTCTCCGTGGTGAGGGTCAGCTGTGGTTTCCAACCCCTAACCTCAACCTGGAGAGTCCTCCACTAGGGCAGTCTTGTGACATAAACACCAGGCAGGTGAACAGGAAGAGGGCAGCTCACTTCAATGACTCCCTCCCAGCCCCACTGTGGGCTAGGAGAACATGCCACTGCGCTCCAGCCTGTGCGTCAAAGCCCATATTCATTCAATACATCTTTTTGAGCACGGACTCTGAGCAGGCCTCGTAGGTAGTAAAGAAATGCTGGCTTCAAAGCCGGGCGCAGTAGCTCATGCCTGTAGTCCCAGTACTTTGGTAGGCCAAGGCGAGAGGATAGCTTGAGCCCAGGAGTTTGAGACCCACCAGCAACTCGGATCACCACTGCTCAGAAAGGAGGCCCCGGAGGGGTGGTGGGCGGGCCACTTTTTTTCACCACAAAAAGGCTGTGAATTGCTGAAAGCCCCCGGACGGGACGGGGTTTCACATGCAGTTCAAAGTGTAAAGCTGTGGCTTCTTATTGACCATGAAGTCTCAAGAGATCTGATCCTTTACTGTCACCAATTGGGACAGTGAGTATTTATGCCAGTGCCCTGATGTTCAACAAACAGGTGTGAATGAGGCTCGGACATAACTGACAGGTGCCGACCCCTCTGCTACTTCTCCATAACAGGAGCACAGTGGTTGAGCAATAAACGAGCACTTCAGGTCTCCGTAGAACATTCTAACTACACACCCAGGGAAAACGAATGTTGTATGCCAGTGAGCTAGTAAATTGCTCCTCCTGGGGGGTTTCCTGATGGGAAAGGTGTTGGTCCAGATGCCTGCCACCTGCACCAGTGTTGGACTGTGTCTGCGCCCTCCTCTTCCTGCCCAGCCCGCCTCCAGCTCACCTCCGCAGGGATGGCCTCAGCTCAGGCCCATGCCATCTCTCCCCATACTTACACAATAGCCTCCCACAGCTCTCCTGGCTTCTGGTCTTTCCACTCCCATCTGTTCTCCAATGTATAGCCAGAGAGATCCTTCTAGAACTCAAACCTGATGTCTCAATCCCGCCTACGATTCTTCACTGCTCCCAGGATGAATCCTTCATACTCAGACCCTCCCACAGGCCTGGCCAGGTCCCGTCCTACCAGCCCACTCTCTGACCCGCATCTCTGGTGTTGGTTTTGAACTCTCGGGCCCAAGAGATCCTCCCATCTCAGCCTCCTGGGTTAGCTGGGACCACAGGTGCACACCACCACACCTGGCTATTTTTTTTTTTTTAAACTTTTTTGTAGAGAAAAAAGTCTCACTATGTTGCCCAGGCTGGTCTCAAACTCATGGGCTCAAGTGATGCTCCTGCCTCGGCCTCTCCAACTGCCGGTACTATAGGCACCGCCGCCACCATGCCTGGCTCTGGGCAGCTTTTCTCTTAGTTGATGGCCCAGGGCAACGTCCCCTTCTCTGGCTTTCCTTTAACCTTCCACTTCTTTTCCTGCTGGAAATATTCTCTCGATATTCCAAGGGCTTGCATCTTTCCTCCCTGGATGCTTCTCATGCCAATGGGTTCACCTGTAGCTTCACGAAATCCTAGACTTCAGGGTCAAAAGGGACCCTTTGAGCCTTCTTGTTCAATCCCTCCTTCGGTCCACTCTGTGCGTGATTCCCCATCTCATGCTCTCTGGGAGGGCTGGCCTGAATCTGCTTGCATAGCTCTGGTGACAGGGAGCTCACTCTCTCCAGAGCAAGCATCTTTCAGCGTGGCAACTCTGGAGAGCCAGACCACTGGGAATAAGCTTCCTGGCTGGGCATGGTGGCTGATGCCTGTAACCCCAGAACTTTGGGAGGCAGAGGTGGGTGGATCGTTTGAGCCCAGGAGTTCAAGAGCAGCCTGGGCAAACATGGCAAAACCCCGTCTCTACTAAAAACACAATAATTAGCTGGGTGTGGTGGCATGTGCCTGTAATCTCAGCACTTTGGGAGGCCGAGGTGGGCAGATCGCTTGAGCCCAGGAGTTATCTCTACTAAAAATAAGAAAATTAGCCATGCGTGGTGCCATATGCCTGTAGTCCCAGCTACTCGGGAGGCTGAGGCAGGAGAATCGCTTGAACCCAGGATGGGGAGCCATATGCCCGTAGTCCCAGCTACTCGGGAGGCTGTGGCAGGAGAATCGCTTGAACCCAGGATGGGGAGCCATATGCCCATAGTCCCAGCTATTTGGGAGGCTGAGGCAGGGGAATCACTTGAACCCAGGACGGGGAGGTTGCAGTGAGCTGAGATTGTGCCACTGCACTCCAGCCTGGGCAACAGAGCAAGACTGTCTCAGAAGCAAAAACAAAAAAGTTTCCTCTCGCCAGCCTCTATGCTTGGCTGGGGTCTACAGGGGTCTCTCAGAAAAAGCCTGGCTCCGTCCCCTGGCCTTTCTTTCTGGTCGGCTCTTGAGAACTACAAGGACAGAACCCACAAATGCCCCCATGACCCTTCCCCCTTATCTTTTCGCGTCCCAGATTCCTGAAATTATTCCTCTTGCTCCTGCTGTCCAGTGGTGCTGCCGTCTTTCCCTGCTACCCCAAGATTAGGAACGTCTCCGAACCCCCTAGTTCTTTTTATGTTAGAGCCCCTCCCTGTCCTGGCCATGGAGTCATCTCTGAATGCACTCCAAGGAGCTGTTTTCCTTATACTGTGGCTTCCAGTCTAAAATGGAATTTCCGGCTGGGCGCGGTGGCTCTTGCCTGTAACCCCAGCACTTAGGGAGGCCAAGGTGGGCAGATCACCTGAGGTCAGGAGTTCGAGACCAGCCTGGCCAACACGGTGAAACCCCGTCTCTACTAAAACTATAAAAATTAGCTGGGCATGGTGGGCGCCTATAATCCCAGCTACTTGGGAGGCTGAGGCAGGAGAATTGCCTGAACCCATGAGGTGGAGGATGCAGTGAGCTGAGATCGTGCCATTGCACTCCAGCCTAGATGACAAGAGTAAAATTCCATTTCAAAGAAGAAAAATAAATAAATTTAAAAAATGGAATTTCCTAGGCACGGACTCCTTGCTGCCAATGAGCAGAATCACCACCTCCTTCATTCTAGAAACTGTATTTCTATTAATGTAGCCGTATCAGGCTATAAACTCTGGCTGAGTTGTTGGTGAGAACTCACCTCTACCCCTCACCACCCTTTCCTGAAGGCAGGACTTTACAATTCCCCCAAAACCTGAGCTTCTTCAGCAGCTACGGAACTAACATTTATTTAGGCATCTACTTCTTTTATTTTTTTTGAGATAGGGTCTCACTCTGTCACCTAGGCTGGGGTGCAGTGGTGCAATCATAGCTCACTGCAACCTCTACCTCCTGGACTCAAGCGATCCTCCTGCCTCAGCCTCCCGAGTGGCTGGGACTACAGGCACACTGCCACGCCCAGCTAACTTTTGTATTTTTTATGGAGATGGGGGACTTGTTAAATTGCCCAGGCTGGTCTCAAACTCCTGACCTCAAGTGATCCGCCTGCCTCGGTCTCCCCAAGTGTTGGGATTATAGGTGTGAGCCACTGCGCCCGGCCACCATCTACTTTTTACTCTGGCATTTTACCTCAAATCCTCGAAACAATCTTGCAAAGGAAGCATTAGCTAAATTCCCTTCCTTTCTTTCAAAAAATTTTTTAACATATTTTAAATCGTGGCAAACTACGCAAAGCATAAAATTTACCATCTTAACCATTAGCGTACTTTTCAGTAGCGTCAAGGACGTTTACGTGGTTGTGCAATGAATCCCCAGAATGTTTTCATCTTGCAAAACCAAAACTCTGTACCCATTTAACAACAACTTCGTATTTCCCTCCTCTCCTCGTCCCTGGCAGTCACCGTGGCACTTTCTGTCTCTCTGAAGTTGGCTCCTCTAGATACTTCATACAGGTGGAATCATTCAGTATTTGTCTTTTTTTGTGACTGGCGTATTTCCCCTGGCATAATGGCCTCAAGGTTCACTTTTCTTTTGATTTTTTTATGACCAAGAAATTTAAGAGATTAAGAGACCCGTCAAGGCCACACAGGAAATACCGAGTTAGGAACTGAACCCGTGTCATTGCGGAGCCAGCACCTGTCCCTACAGCCTTGTCTGGTGTCTCCTAAGACTGGGGTCCACCGAGTGGCTTTGGCACCTTGAGAAGTGCATTCGCTTTGCCAAACTTCTTAGGTAGCTGGGGACTGCCTCTGAGACCACAGAGAACCTGTTCTGGATAGAGCACTGATATTCACAGGATAAGGCTCTCCCGTTTAACAAACCAGGCTCTCCTGTTGGGCACATTAGATTGCCCTAAAGTGCCATCTAAAGGCAAGGCATGCCCAAGACTGGCCTTGAGGAGAGAGGTGGAGTCGGTGGAAACTTGAGAAATAGGAATAGTGATCTATGATGAAGGTAACTCCTTCCAGTAACTGCTTTTTTTTTTTTTTAGACAGATTCTCGCTCTGTCATCCAAGCTGGAGTATGGTGGCATGATTGGTTCACTGCAACCTCTGCCTTCTGGGTTCAAGTGATTCTCCTGCCTCAGCCTCCTGAACAGCTGGGATGACAGGTGCATGTCACCGCACCCGGCTAATTTTTGTATTTTTAGCAGAGATGGGGCTTCACCATGTTGGCCAGGCTGGCCTCAAACTCCTGACCTCAAGTCATCCACCCATCTCGGCCTCCCCAGGTGCTGGGATTACAGGCGTGAGCCACTACACCCAGCCCAAGGCTGGGTAGTAAAAATTTATTTTTAAATTTTATTTTGTATTTTTTTGAGATGGAGTTTCTGCTCTGTTGCCCAGGCTTAGATCTTGGCTCACTGCAACTGCTGCCTCCAGGGTTCAAGTGATTCTCCTGCCTCAGCCTCCTGAGTAGCTGAGATTATAGGCGCCTGCCACCACGCCTTGCTAAATTTTGTATTTTTAGTAGAGACGGGGATTCACCATATTGGCCAGGCTGGTCTCAAACTCCTGACCTCAAGTGATCCTCCCACCTTGGCCCCCCAGACTGCTGGGATTACAGGCGTGAGCCACTGTGCCCGGCTGGGGGACCACTTTCTTTTCAGAGCAACAGCAGCACCAGCTAAAGCAAAATGTTTTCCTGTTCTGTGGGCTCCTGGGGGGAGGAAGGGGTTTTGGGGATGGCTGAATTTTCCAGGAAGCAGAGTATTTAGAATCACCCAAAAGTACGCTAATGGTTAAGATGCGTCCTGTGCCTGATCTGGGCCGGACACTGTGCTGGGTACTTGCCATAAGGCCTCTCTGAGCACCAAGTGTCAGCCAAAAAGGGGCCGTCAGCTGAGAGCCCTCTTTGGAGCAAGTGGCTGCGACCCATGAGAACGTGGCGGTAAGGAACTCTCCTAGGATAACACCGTGGTGAGATGTCTACACTAAGGAACTCTCCTAGGATAACACCGTGGTGAGATGTCTACACTAAGGAACTCTCCGAGGATAACACCGTGGTGAGATGTCTACACTAAGGAACTCTCCTAGGATAACACCGTGGTGAGATGTCTACACTAAGGAACTCTCCTAGGATAACACCGTGGTGAGATGTCTACACTAAGGAACTCTCCTAGGATAACACCGTGGTGAGATGTCTACACTAAGGAACTCTCCTAGGATAACACCGTGGTGAGATGTCTACACTAAGGAACTCTCCGAGGATAATTCCATGGTGAGATGTCTACACTGTCATGGATGCCACAGCTACAAAGACGGGTGTTTAGAGATGGAGTAGGGAAAAGGAGACAGTTACCACTTTGGAGGGGATGTTCACCATGGGATGTCTGAGATGTTGGAACCACATCAAAGACTTTGCCAAGGAAATGGTTCCTAGGACTTTTTATGTCTTTTCCTACTTCTCATGACAACAGAAGGAGCATCGACGTTGAAAGCTGTCAGTAAAAAATGGAAGGATAACCGGCCTTCTAACTTCGGGTGACGCATCTTCCGAGATGCCAGAAACGGGCCCGCTATTGTGGGTTTTAGGACTAAAAGCGTCCAGGGTCCTACCTGGTTTGCCCTTTCAAGGTCCGTCATGATCATTTCAATCTCGTCGGCCCTAGGAGGGTGAGAGGGAGAGAGCAGGTTAGTCACAAGGAGACCGGCTCAGGGGGTGACTGATGGGACAGCTTCCTAGCTCAGGGCTCGGGAAGGGCTGTGCAGACCCGTGAGTCAATGCTGTCCAGCAGGAGGAGGTGGGCTCACACTGGGGGAAGAGATGTGCTTGCTGATGCCATGCGCTCTTTTGATAATCATGTGTCTGGTGCGTATGGGGTGCCTGCCTTTGATGGGGTCCCAATCTCATTGGGGAGACATAACCATAAAAATATAAAATACAGCATGTCCTGCCAAGGGTTCAAAAAGAGCTCTGAGCAGAGTGCTCTGAAAAAAAGAGGGAGAAATAAATTCTCTTTGTGGGAGGGAATCAAGGAAGGCTGCAGAGGAGGTGACAGGTAAGTGGGGTTTTGAAGGATGAGTAGAAGTTTGCCAGGCTGGGGGTGAGAGGAGGAGCTGGGGAAAGGCTACTTTAGGAAAAGGCACTTGGCAGTGAAAGCCTCACCAGGAATGAGGAAACCAGGAGAAGGTGGCCAACTGGAGGTGAGGAGGGCAGGTGAGGATGGTGACACAGGTTGGGGGACTGTACAGGCTGCAGTGCAGACAGCCTGGGTTCATTGCTATGGCCCAGCCTGGTCGTAAAAGCAATTGTCCAGG
Organism: Homo sapiens; assembly: GCF_000001405.40. Lineage (NCBI taxonomy): Eukaryota > Metazoa > Chordata > Mammalia > Primates > Hominidae > Homo > Homo sapiens. The sequence continues at coordinate 102,157,906 of NC_000007.14, read as the reverse complement.
TTCTGTCTTTCCCTTTTTCTGTTTTGAAAGTACTTCCTTGAGTAATCTGAAGGCAAATACGCGAACCCAACACAGAGCATCATGAGAGAGGAATGCGGAGAGTGCTTTTATGTTTGTATGTTTGTTTGTTTTGAGACAGAGCTCTGTCGCCCAGGCTGGAGTGCAATGATGAGATCTCGGCTCACTGCAACCTCCGCCTCCTGGGTTCAAGCAATTCTCCTGCCTCAGCCTCCCGAGTAGCTGAGACTACAGGCGTGCACCACCACGCCCGGCTAATTTTTGTATTTTTAGTACAGACAAGGTTTTGCCATGTTGGCCAGGCTGGTCTCAAACTCCTGACCTCAGGTAATCCACCCACCTTGGCCTCCCAAAGTGCTGGAATTACAGGCATAAGCCACCGCGCCCGGCCTGGAGAGTCCTTTTGAGAAGGGCACGGCCAACTCCAAAAGCCTATGGGAGGTTAGAGCAGCACACCCGGGCAGACCACCACCCCAATGTCTGCAAGCAGGTCCTGAGGATGGTCTCTGTTAGAAGGCCACAGGCTGGAACTGTCTGTGACCCAAGGAAGGTTTTTTTTTTTAGCATACCCAAGGGCCATGGAGCCAATGTTACAGCCACAGGGACCTGGTTGGGGTTGAGGGCTCTCATGCTGTGGCTCTGAGTCCACATGCACCTGCACTCTGCTGCCTTCAGGATGCAATCCCTCCCTCAGCCACACGCAAGGCCCTTCCATGCCAAGGCTCCTTCCTCCTCTTGGCCTTACCCGCCACTCTTTCTCAGGACCCTGTGCTCTAACAACTCCCATCTCGTGCGGGACCCCAAAGAGCCAGGCCTTCCTCGGCACTAGGCCTCCACCTGCGCCGCCTGCCTGAATGCCTTCTCGTCCCAGGGAACCTCATCTCCTACTTCCACCCCATCCACCCTTCCCAGACCCTCTCAGCAGCTCTGTCTCAGGAAGTGGCACTGTCCCTAGTCCTAGTTTCCAGGTTTGAGTTTTCACTGGGTGCCCACGCTGTGAGCTCTCTCTGAATGCTGGGCCATAGGTCCCTTTTGCCCTATATCCCTAGAATTTGTCCTGTATTCACAGGGCTGCACGTCACGTTGGATGCCAGAGTCCTGGATGTGGCCCATCCTGTCTGTGACGGGCAAGTCTACTCCTGGGGACAGCCCAGGGTGCTGGACAGGCCTGACAATGAGAGTTCTATCCTTCCGAAACCTGCTCCATGGTCCCAAGGAGGCACGTCCAAGTGAGAGTACCCACCCACCCTGCTATGGTTTGTCTCCACCAAAACTGCTACTGAAATTTGATCCCCAGTGTGGGGGCATTGGGAGGTGGGGTCTAGAGGGAGGTGTTTGGGTCATGGCAGTGGATGCCCTCATGAATGGCTTGGTGCCATTCTCCTGGCAGTGAATGAGTTCTTGCTCTGACCAGACTTTAGGGACTGGATGAGTTCCCTTGAGACTGGGTTATCATAATGCCAGGAACCTCCCTGGGTTGTCCCTCTTGGCACGCATCCACCTCCCCTTTGACCCTATCCGTACTGTTATGATGCAGCATGGAAGCCCTCGCCAGGAGCCAGGGCCATGTCCTTGAACTTCCCAGCCTGCAGATCTGTGAGCCAAATAAACCTATCTTCTTTATAAATCACCCTGGCCTCAGGTGTTCTGTTGCAGCAACAGAAAACAGGCTAAGGTACACCCTGGACGCTGAGAGTTGGAAAAACTGTCTCCGGGCCCCTGGGCTGGGGAATTTTTGTGGCCTGAGGCTTTTGCAGCCTTTAACTACACACAGCGATTTGAGGTAGTCTTATCAACTCCCAGCAGCCTGAATAGGGTAACAGATGCCTTGTGATCGGGTTCAATGTTCATTGTATCTGTTTGAAATAATATCCGGCTTTCAGACTGGTCTGAGAAAAAGTCTGAAAAAGCCTGTCAAATGGCCTAGTTAAATGAAGCTATTTTTAGGACGATTTCATGAAGAAGGCAGCGTCTCTGTAAGATAAATACCCAAACTGGGCCTCTGCAATACAGTGCTGGGTGCAGGGAGTGGGGAAGGGTCAGGGCTTCTTAAATGATGAAACATCCTTCTGTATCATCTCAAAGTGAAACCTCCAAGATCTGACAGAAAAATTGCTGTGCAAAGATAGTCTAATACTACAAATGGTAATTAAAAAAATTAAAAGTGTTAAGGGTCTTAAAACATATCAGAAAAGGATAATCACCAGTCAATGCAGAAAGCTGCTACCTTGACGCCCTGTTGAAGAATTCAGAGCGTAAACTCCTTCAGACACAAAATAAAAGCTTGCAAACTTTACTTAAGGCAAATTGCAAGGATTTTTTGTGTTGTTTTTTTTTTTCTTTTTGAGACAGGGTCTCACTCTCACCCAGGCTAGAGTGCAGTGGTGTGATCTTGGCTCACTGCAACCTCTGCCTCTTGGGCTCAAGCAGTCCTCCCGCTTCAGCCTCCAGAGTAGCTGGGACTAGTGGTGTACGCCAGCATACCTAATTTTTTTTTTTTTTTTTTTGGTAGAGACAAGGTTTCACCATGTTGCCCAGGCTGGTCTTAAACTCCTGGGCTCAAGCCATCCACCCGCTTTGGCCTCCCAAAGTGCTGCGACTATAGACATGAGCCACTGCGCCTGTCCCAAATCACAAGTTTTAAACACAATTTTGTACTTCAGTTAGTTACCTATCGTGTATTTCCAATGTCCACATACACAGGTCAAAACTGCCCTGGCTACCGTCATTCACTCATTCACTAGCTCCACTAGTGTTTCAGACCCCTAAAAGTTTCCTGGTGCTGGAATGGGCACATAGAGATGCAGGCTTAGGTCCTGCGTATCTCATCTATGTCATAGATTTAAAAGATGACAATGAAAATACATAGCTGCTGCGTACCCACAACAAGATGTGCAGAGGTTGACAATTGCCTAAATCCTCCTCTGAATGCATCAGCAGAGCTGGCTGCAGAACTTGGGAGGTGGATGGGGACTGGTCCGGCTGGTGAGTGAAGAGACACTGAATGTGGGTCTAGGTGAGCACTTTTCCTAATGGCTCCAGTGTGCCCCTATATAAGCCCTCTCTTTCTTTAATTCTGGCTATTTTCATTTGAATACTTCTATTCTGTTTGAGACTACTGTTATTTGGATATTGTTGGCATAGCTACTTCTGTCTTCCATGTCATTTAACTTTTCTTTTATATTTTGCTATTTCTTTATCCTTTTCTTGCTGCCTTCTGGATCAAGGTTAACTTGATCTAACTGGTCTTTAGCTATTTATTTATTTATTTATTTATTTATTTATTTGGAGACAAGCTGGAGTACAGTGGTGTGATCACGACTCAAGGCAGCCTCAGTCTCCTGGGCTCAAGCGATCCTCCCACTTCAGCCTCCCTAACAGCTAGGACTACAGGCGCATGTCACCATGCCTAGCTAATTTTTCTATTTGTTTTTTTTTTTTGGTACAGATGGGGGTTTGCCATGTTATCCGGGCTGGTCTTGAACTCCTGGGCTCAAGCGATCCTCCCACCTCAGCCTCCCAAAGTGCTGGGATTATAGGTGTGAACCACTGCACCTGAACTATTTTCTACTTCCTCTTTCTGGAATTCCTATTAGGTGGATGTTGGAGCTCCTGAATTGATCTCTAATTTTCTTTTCTTTCTAACATCTACATCTATATCTTTTTAGTTACTTTCTGGGAAATATCTTCATCTTTATTTTCCAGGCTTGTGTTGATTCTTTTATTTATTTACTTAAAAACATTTTGTTTATAGAGATGGGGTCTTGCTATGTTGCCAGGCTGGTCTCGAACTCCTGAGCTCAAGCAACCCTCTGGCCTTGGCCTCCCAAAGTGCTGAGATTCCAGGCATGAGCCATCAGACCCAGCTGGCAATGTATCCTTTCTTCTTTGCTCCTAAGTTATTCAATTTTTTTACGCTGTTACTTCCACTTGGTCCATTTGAAAATTACCTGTTGGTTTCGCTTCACACTGCCAATATCTTCCTCTGTTTCCCTGAGTGCCTTTGTGGTGCTTTGTCTTTGTGGCCCAGCTGTCCTGCCTCATATCACACCCACTGTTGGGGTCTGGGTGTGTCTTTCAGAAGCACTGCCCTCCTCTGGGGCCCAGCTGTTTTTGCTTGTGTGTTTGGGTCCTCCAGGGATACCAGCCGCTCTTTCTGGCAATGTACACGGTGGGAGGACAGAGAAGCCAGCCCTGCTGCGTGTCTCTCAAGCGAATTGAAGGAGAAAAACACACGGTAGGCATTCAATGCCTTTCTGCCGAACATAGGAAGGAAGGGAAGGGGATGGCCCCCATCTCTGAGATGCCTTGCCGATGACTCCTCCCTGCTGCTTGGCAACCAGGAAAACCCTCTGGCCAGGTAGCTTACTTAGCCTTGACTCTTCCGGGAGCAGCAGCAACAGGAGGACACCGTCTCCCTGGGTGCAGCTCCCTGATCTTGGGAGTGCGGAGCTGAAAAGCTGGAGGCGTGGCTGCCTGGGGGTGCTGGCCCGCCCCTGGCTGCTTTCATCCACTCCTCACTTGCGACCTGGTGTTGCCAGTGGCCAAAGGCCCAGGCATAGAGAAGAGCAAAGTTCCAGGGGCCCAGCTTTACACAGAGGCCGGCTTGGCAGGGCTGGGGTCCATGTGGGTCGAGTCCAGTTCCTGCCAGGTTTATGGGGCCTGGGTGGGGCTTGGGCACCTCCTGGAAAGTGCACACTCTCTGGATTTCTTCTCAGATAGCACATGGCTTTGGATTTTCATCAGGACACCGAATATCCGGAAAACCACGCCTCATCTCCAGAAGATTTCACATCATTTATAAAAAAATCAGTCCCACTGACGCGGGAAGGTGCAGACTTGGCAGTGTGAGGCAATCCTGGAAGTGAATTTCAAGTTTTCCATCTCCTGGTCAGTTGTGCTTTGGTTACTAAGCAACTGCTAAACGGACCAAAATACTGAATGTGATAACAAGGACTGCACTTACCTTTCATGACAAAAGCAACTCTCTTTCCCCAGGCTTTCGAATGACAATGACGACACCACACTCTGCAGTTGCAGGGCAGGCCTATTCCATACCAGGGATTGTGGTGACAGCCAGGCTCGGAGGGGCTGCTGTCTCCATTCACAGAAGGGACCAGAAACCACAGGAGGAGACAATGGGAGGAACCAGGGATGCAGTTGGCGAGGAAACGCTCTGATTATTATTTTAAAAGTCGGCCAGATGCAGTGGCTCATGCCTGTAATCCCAGCACTTGGGGAGGGCAAGGCAGGTGGATCACCTGAGGTCGCGAGTTCGAGACTAGCTTGGCCAACATGGTGAAACCCCGTTTCTACTAAAAGTACAAAAATTAGCCGGGTGTGGTGGTGCATGCCTGTAGTCCCAGCTACTTGAGGGGCTGAGGCAGGAGGAGCATGAGCCAAGATGGTGCTACTACACTCCAGCCTAGGTGACAAAGTGAGACCCTGTCTCAAAAAAACAAACAAACAAAAACAAACAAACAAAAATCTGTATGTTTGTTACTCATTTTTCTGAGAATTCTTTTTTATTTTTGATACAGGGTCTGGTTCTGTTGCCCAGGATGGAGTGCAGTGGTGCGATCATAGCTCACTGCAGCCTCCAACTCTTGTCCTGAGCTCAAGTGATCCTCCTGCCCCAGTCTCTTGAGTAGCTGGGACTTATAGGTGTGCACTAGCAAGCCCAGCTAATTTAAAAGAAAAATTTGTTTTTTAGAGACAGGGGTCTTACAATGCTTCCCAAGCTGGTCTTAAACTCCTGAACTCAAACAATCCTGCCTTGGCCTCCCGAGTAGCTGGGACTACAGGTATGCACTGCCACACCTAGCTAGTTTTTTCTTTTTTGTAGAGACAAAGTTGATCTTGCTATGTTGCCGAGGCTGGTCTTGAACTCATGGCCTGAAGCGATCCTCCTGCCTTAGTTTCCCAGAATGCTGAGATTACAGGCCTGAGCCACTGTGCCTGGCCCATTATTAATTTTTCTAAGGAGGTATTCTTTTTTAAAAGCCGAAAGAAAAATACAACTAGCTGAGTAAGTGCGATCGGGGGCTTTGGAAGATGTGAGTGTGGCCATCAGTGTTTGCAGACCAGGACCAAGGAGGCGGGTCTTGCTTTGGGGCACCTCCCAACCAGGTTTTTTTTTTTTTTTTTTTTTTTTTTTTTTTGAGACAGAGTCTCACTCTGTCGCCCAGGCTGGAGTGCAGTAGCACAATCTCAACTCACTGTAGCCTCTGCCTTCCCAGTTCAAGTGACTCTCCTGCCTTAGCCTCTCCCAAGTAGCTGGAATTACAGGCACACCCAATCACAGCTAATTTTTGTATTTTTATTTTTATTTTCTGAGATGGAGTTTCGCTCTTGTTGCCCAGGCTGGAGTGTAATGGCATGATCTCAGCTCACTGCAACCTCCATCTCCTGGGTTCAAGCGATTCTCCCTGCCTCAGCCTTCCGAGTAGCTGGGATTACAGGTATGCGCCACCACACCCGGCTAATTTTTGTAGTTTTAGTAGAGACGGGGTTTTATCGTGTTGGCCAGGCTGGTCTCGAACTCCTGACCTCAGGTGATCCACCCGCCTCGGCCTCCCAAAGTGCTGGGATGACAGGCGTGAACCGACGCGCCCAGCCCCACCCCAGTCTTAATCATCCACTTTCTCTCCAAACTGCTGCCTCCTCCCCCCACTGAATTAATCCTGCCTGACAAACTGTCTGCAATAAGTAATACAAAAATGCCCAGGGGTTAATACCACAACTGTAAATGTAATCTTGGAAGCGCAGTAATGAATTAAATGGCATGTGGTTTCATGGTGTGAGTGTCAACAGTATTCCAAAGATTTTTCATTCTCTTCATGCTGAAGGCTCAACTAACCACATCAGTATCTGCAGCCTGACATTGGTCTAAAATCATTTATTTTCCAAAGTCTGTAATAACCGCACATATTGTTTGCTCAGCAAAATGATTTATTATAAAAATTTAGATCTCTCACGTTTTTATGAGCTGACGAAACAGCTTCCACTGATCTATTAACCTGCCCGGTATTATGCTCAGCTCTGACTTCAAATAGCGAATAATTTCAGTTTGGCCTAGAATATGTAGTTCGTTCAATCAGTTCACCACAGATCATTTCAGGGTATTCTCTGGGCTAACACACAGTTTTTATGAGGAACTGAAAAGGACATGGTCAAGGTCGATGGAAGGGAAATTATATCCACGCTGGAAATTCTAGTATTTACTTTCACGCAAGCCTCCTGGGGGCTAACGCGTGGCATCGGGGCACGGTGTTGGCGCATATTTCAATACCCAAATAAGCACGCTGGCATCAGGAGCTGTTAAAACGAGCTGTTAAAACAAAGTATATCTACAAGGCAGTTGGAAAAACATACAGAGCGGCCTTCAAAGACTAGTGTATCTTCTTAGACTTGATTCATAAGCCAATAGTCTCGGCCGGGCCCAGTGGCTCACGCCTGTAATCCTAGCACTTTGGGAGGCCGAGGTAGGTGGATCACTTGAGACCAGGAGTTTGAAACCAGCCTGGCTAACATGATGAAACCCTGCCTCTACTAAAAATACAAGTATTAGCCGGGCATGGTGGCGAGCGCCTGTAATCCCAGCTACTCGGGAGGCTGAGGCGGAAGAATCGCTTGAACCCCGGTCACAGAGGTTGAAGTGAGCTGAGATCGTGCCACTGCACTCCAGCCTGGGTACCAGAGCGAGACCCTGTCTCAAACAAAACAAAACAAAAAAACAAAGAAAACAAAAAAAACCCACCAATAGTCTCAATACCAGATCATAAAGTTCTTTGGCATTGAAAGGAGAAATATCTACAGATTAATTCTTCCTGCTTTAAAAGAAAAGCTCCAGTTAGGTTTGATCAAGCGAACTCTCCCCTTCTACCCCAGGGCTGCACGTGATGACCTGCTCTGTCCTTAAGGGGGGACATTTTTCACCACAACCTACACTGCAGGTGAGGCTTCCTTAGCACAGGGGGTAGAGGAAACGGACAGAGGTGGGGCTCGCTGGACCCTGTCCAGAAAGAGCAGGTTGCTGAAGCGGTGGAGACAGGGCCAGGCTCTGAGGAAGGTCACTTGGCTCTAGGTCTGGAATCCCCTTAACTCGGGGGGTCAAAGAGTTGGGCAAGGGGTGGGGGACAAACCTATAGGAAAAGCTGATCGGAGCACAAACGCCTGAACTTACGGAGAAGGGCTGGTCTGCAGTCTCATGCGAGCCAGGGCAAGATTACTCCCAGCAAAGGCACCTGCTGTGGCTGTCGTGCCCTGATGGCGATGGGCCCAGCTCAGACTGAGACAGGGAGGTCTCCCACCAATAACGCCCATGGGGCACCTACCATGAACCACACCCAAGGGAAACAAATGTCCCAGGGGAGGAGTGGGCAATGGCGTAGTGGCGCTGGGACTCCCTTCTCGCTAGCACACAGGAATACACCCTGCACATCCTAGGAGCTCAGCAGGGATATACCGGGCATGGGTGGGTGGGTGGGCAGGGACCCCCTTCCTGTCTACCCAGTGGGAGGCGGAAGGAAATGGCAGCCACCAGCGATTCAGCACAGTGACATCCCAGAAAGTGGTACAAGGGCCTCTGCAGACACCAGGAGAAACAGTATCCCGGAGTAGGGGACATCCAGTCTGTACCCTGGAGGATGAGTACAGATTTACTGAGCAGGGGACACTGGGATAGAGAGGTACGGCTGTCTAGAGAGAGAGGCCACAGGGAAATGGAAGCCTGTTCAATTTTGTAACAACTTTTCAGTGGCTCTCTCGGGGTTGCGAGGCATCCTGTGACCACATCTGCAAATAAAGACGGCAGAGTCTCTTCCCACACCCTTTGAATATTTCTTATCTCACGACAGAATACTACTCAGCCCTAAAAAGGAACGAGTTAATGACATTCACAACAACCTGCATGGGAGTGAAGACTATTATTCTAAGTGAAGTAACTCAGGAATGGAAAACCAAACATTGTATGTTCTCACTCGTAAGTGGGAGCTAAGCGATGAAAATGCAAAGGACTCTGGGGACTTGCGGGGAAAGGGTGGGAGGGGGGTGAGGGAAAAAAGACTATATATTGGGTGCAGTGTATACTGCTTAGGTGATGGGTGCACCTAAATCTCACAAATCACCACTCAAGAACTTACTCATGTTCTTGAGTAATATATAATATATATATATTAATATATTATATATATATAACACATACATTAATGTGTAGTTATATATAAAATACATTATATATATACATTTATTAATGAAATATCCAACTATATCCCTATTTTATTAAGATTTTTAAAATAAAAGATGGGCATTTCTTTGTTTTTTGTTTTTTTGTTTGTTTGTTTTTGATACGGAGTCTTGGTCTGTTGCCCAAGCTGGAGTGCACTGGTGCAATCTCAGCTCACTGCAACCTCTGCCTTCGGGGTTCAAGTGATTCTTGAGAATGCCCCAGCCTCCCTAGTAGCTGGAATTACAGGTGTGCACCACCACGCCTGGCTAATTTTTGTATTTTTAGTAGAGACGGGGTTTCACCATGTTGGTCAGGCTGATCTCGAACTCTTGACCTCAGGTGATCTGCCTGCCTTGGCCTCCCAAGGTGTTAGGATCACAGGTGTGAGCCACCGTGCCCAGCCTCTTTAGTCCTGTTCTGTTTCTTGGAAGCACCATGCTTGTCCCACCTACAGGCCTGGGTCTCAGCCCTCCTGGCCCTCCTCTGAGAGGCCTCTCCACAGCCACACTCTCCATTGTCCATTCATTTTGTTTCTGTTGCATTTATTCCCGTCTCAAAGTCTCTTGTTCATATATTGATTACTTGCTTATCCACTGCCATAGTTCCAGGGAACACAGCAGGTACTCACAAAATACTGGTTGACCAAATATGCAAATTTATTTATTTATTTATTTATTTATTTTTGAGACGGAGTCTCGCTCTGTCACCCAGGCTGGAGGGCAGTGGGGCGATCTCGGTTCACTGTAACCTCCGCCTCCTCAGCCTCCCGAGTAGCTGGGAGTACAGGCATGCGCCACCATGCCCGGCTAATTTTTCTATTTTTTTAGTAGAGATCAGGTTTCATCATGTTGGCCAGGCTGGTCTCGAACTCCTGATCTCCAGTGATCCACCTGCCTTGGCCTCCCAAAGTGCTGGGATGACAGATATGAGCCACCGCACCGGCCCAAATATGCAAATTAATGACACCTGTGATACCTGAGGTCCCCTGTCTTCTTGACAGACAGCCATTCACTGGCTAGTATTCTAAAGGGCAGAAAGGGTAGAATTCTTTTGGCAAATTGTAAATACAACTTTTAAGGAAAGAGCCTACAAGATGTTATTGCAGAAGGAAAATGATTCGCTTTTCAGAGCCTCTGAAAAACAAGGCAATAATAGTCTTGGGGGAGAAGTATTGAAAGACCCAGAATTAGGCTTCTTTTTGTCCAATGGACCGTGAGGTCCTGGAGTGCAGAACCAGGTGGCCCAGCTCACCACTCATCACTCATCCCCGTGCCCAACACGGATCTGTGAACCAGGTCAGGACTGAAGACACGGAGGCTGATGGGGAAGGGGAGGAGGGGAGGAGAGAGTGTTTTTCGGGGAAAGGTTTTCTTGGCAGCCCTCATCTGTATGACTTGCCCTATCTTTCGTTTTCCACCCAAGGTTAAACCACTTCTGCTTTGGCAGAAGTAGAGGGGAGGATGAAGCCATCTTGCATCTGCCAAGCCCCGGATCAAATGTGTCACACTCCACGGTGGCCCCACCCCTCCCCAATCAAAGGCCTGGAAAGAGAGTCGGTCCAGTCTGTGGAGCTTTATCCCTACAGATAACCTTCTGGAAATAGCGGTTTTCATTTTTGCTGGAAGTAACACTGTGCCGAGAGACAGTTAAACGGCCAGGATGTCACCTCTGTCTGCTCAGAAATTAACCAGAATTTGTTCTCTGTAGATTACCATTATACTAATTTAAATGATACAAAAGTAATGATTAAAAACAAGTTTAGGCCAGGCGCAGTGGCTCACTCATGTAATCCCAAGCACTTTGGGAAGCTAAGGTGGGTGGATCACTTGAGTTCAGGAGTTTGAGACCAGCCTGGCCAACATGGTGAAACCCCATCTCTACTAAAAATACAAAAATTAGCTAGGTGTGGTGGCGTGCGCCTGTAATCCCAGCTACTAAGGAGGCTGGGGTGGCAGAATTGCTTGAACCTGGGAGGTGGAAGTTACAGTGAGCCGAGATCACGCCACTGTACTCCAGCCTGGGCAACAGAGTGAGAGTCTGTTTAAAAAAAAGAAAGAAAGAAAGAAAAAACAAACCAACGAACATAAGAACGAGTTTGGTTAAGCCTCATCTTTTCAATCCCAAACGGGAAGAAAATTTCCCTTCCTGCCCCACAAGTTGACGTGTTCATGGGAAACGATTTCAATAAAATCTTCCTTTAGCCAGTCCGAGTATAGCTGATGAACCGAACGAAATGACCTTCTACGGCACGTGCGGGGTCAACTTTCTACCTGTGCCAAACCAATAGCACAGCTCTGGCCGGCTGGGTGCTCACCAGAGCGTGTGACCCCAGCGTGATCGGGAACAGCCTGTGACTGTCACTCGGGCTTCAGTCATCTCCAGGCAGGGAACATGGGACAGCTGCGGCCCAGGGAATGAGGCTCTGATATTGCATAATTCATTCGGCTTCTGCTCCTGAGACCGCACAGTGCCTCCAGGGATGAGCATCTGGGTTCATCGGCGGCTGCTTCCTGCATCTCTCTAGAGTTCTAACAGCCCTGCTCTACCCAAAGAAGTGGAGAGCAGGCTGGGTGTGCAGGTTCCTTTGTTCTTTAAAATCAAGTGAAATTAGGAAAATTGTGGTCTACAGAAAAGAGTGTGGCTGGTGGAAAATGGGTTGGAATTCTTCTCCACTGCATTTTTATTTTGTAAAAATTTTTATTTATTTATTTTTGAGATGGAGTCTTGCTCTACTGCCCAGGCTGGAGTGCAATGGCACGATCTCGACTCACCGCAACCTCTGCCTCCCAGGTTCAAGCAATTCTCCTCCCTCAGTCTCATGAGTAGCTGGGATTACAGGAGCCTGCCACCATGCCCAGCTAATTTTTGTATTTTTAGTAGAGGCAGGGTTTCACCATGTTGGTCAGGCTGGTCTTGAACTCCTGACCTCAGATGATCCACCCACCTCGGCCTCCCAAAGTGTTGGGATTACAGGCGTGAGCCACCGCGCCCGGCCCTCCCATTGTCTTTTAGTTGTTTGACCTTGGACAGACTTCTGAGCTGGACAGTCACCTATACAGGAGGAGCCATGAAATTCAAAGAAATTAGCATGAGGATAAAACAAGAACACAAAAAGAAAGGAAAAGATTTTGTAAACCACCAAGCTCCATGCCTGGATTCATTATGATTGTGTATCAAAGTCAGGACCTTTCTCTTCTGGTGAGCGCTCACTTCCAGTACCTGACACCATCGCGAGATCATCACAATCACCCACAAAGGGGCTTTTGGCCAAAAACTTCTAGCCTGAATCTGATCAAGCCTCTAGATTCAACCACAAATTTTCAGGAAAGCATGAGGACAGAGGAGCATGATAAACTATTTCTGGGGAGGCAATCAGTAAAATCTCAGCAGTGGGGTGGAGAATCTTTTCTGGACAAATGACCCCATTTCTAGCACAAATACATTGCAAGGAAAAGAAAAAGTGACGAAGAGGGAATCTATACAATGACCAAGACTTAAAGATACACCAGCCAACTGCAACGTGTGGATCTTACTTGAATCGAGATTCAAATTTTTTTTTTTTTTTTTTTTTTTAAGACGGAGTCTTGCTCTGTCGCCCAGGTTGGAGTGCAGTGGTGCGATCTCGGCTCACTGCAACCTCCGCCTCTCCGTTCAGGTGATTCCACTGCCTCAGCCTCCTGAGTAGCTGGGACTACAGGTGTGTGCCACCACACCCAGCTAATTTTTGTGTTTTTAGTAGAGACGAGGTTTTGCCATGTTAGCCAGGCTGTTTTCAAGCTCCTGACCTCAAGTTATCCACCCACCTCGGCCTCCCAAAGTGCTGGGATTACAGACGTGAGCCATTGCGCCCAGCCTAAATTAAAATAATTTTAGAAAATAAAACCATTATGAAGTTTGGGGGCAACTAGAAATTTCAAAACTGGCTAGATTTACCTGATCATATTAAAAAATTATTATGATTATTATTTTTACTGTTTTTTTTTTTTTTTGAGACAGGGTCTTGCTTTGTCACCCAGGCTGGAGCGTAGTGGTGTGATCATAGCTCACTGCAGCCTCAACCTCCCGGGCTCAAGCAATCCTCCCACCTCAGCCTCCTGAGTTGCTGGGACTGCAGGTGAAAAATTATTTTTGAATGTGCTAATTGCGCTGTGACTATATTAAAAAGAAAGTCCTTATTGTGAGGATATGTGTGTTAAAATGTTTAGAAAGGAAATGAAAGGATTCTGGGAGTAGCTTCAAGTCAAAACAGGAGTGGGGACAGGTGAGACGGGATGGGCCATGAACGGGAGATGCTGACACCAGGTCACGCGTACGTCGGAAATTTAACATATGAAACATAAACAAAAAACCCAATAAGACAACAAAAAAAGTGAAGAGCATCACAGTAGTCAGGTATCCCTCCATCGTCACTCATTAATTGTAAAGCGTGCACTGATGCTGACTGCTACTATTCCATTTGCAATGAAACAAGGTGATAAGCAAGACATAAAAATACTCAAGAAGAAGGAGAATCTAAAGGACGCTGCATGGCTGTGGCTGCAGCTGTGGAAAAGAATATGGATTAGAAGTGGCCGTCCTGGCTGGGCGCAGTGGCTCACGCCTGTAATCCCAGCACTTTGGGAGGCTGAGGTGGGTGGATTGCCTGAGGTCAGGAGTTCGAGACCAGCCTGGCCAACATGGTAAAGGCTCGTCTCTACTAAAAATACAAAATTGGCCGGGTGGGGTGGTGCATGCCTGTAATTCCAGCTACTCGGGAGGCTGAGACAGGAGGATGGCTTGAACCCAGGAGGTGGAGGCTACAGTGAGCTGAGATCGCACCACGGCACTCCAGTCTTGGTGAGACAGATTGAGACTCCGTCTCAAACAAAACAAAACAAAAAAACAAAAGAAGAAGTGGCCGTCCTGTGCGGTCCACCTGATGCCAGACTCTGCTAACTTTAGTCAAGACAGTTACCTTCCCGGAATCCCGTTTACCCACTTGCCAAGGGGAAAAAAATGTATACAAAGAGCACATCTCTATAAGAAGAATGTGACTTTAAAAAATAATATACCATATATATGTTTTTCTTTGACACAGAAAATGATTGGGCCAGGCGCAGTGACTCACACCTGTAATCCCAGCACTTTGGGAGGCCAAGGTGGGAGGATCGCTTGAGCCCAGGAATTCGAGACCAGCCTGGGCAACATGGTGAAGCTCCGTCTCTACAAAACATTAATACAAAAATTAGCTGGGTATGGTGGTATGCACTTGTGGTCCCAGCTACTTTGGAGACTGATGTGGGTGGATCGTTTGAGCCCAGGAGTTGGAGGCTGCAGTGAGCTATGATCGCGCCTCTGTGCTCCAGCTTGGGTGACAGAGCAAGACTCTGTCTCATAAAAAAGAAAAAGATTGTTAGCCAAGAACAGAGAATGGGAAGAAAATGAATTCTGGAAGGGAACCCCCCAAGTACCATCTGACCCAGGAAGGGAACTGTCATGGTGAGAGGCCTACACTTAGGTGATGGAGGAAACTGAGGCACAAGTTCCTGCTGTTGACATCGTGGGCCGGCAGCCTGCCATCCATTGAGCCCCCTGGCCATGGGACAGTTACAAAGACGCAGGCAACATGGCTCCTGCACTCCGGGGACTTGCCCCAACTGTGCCAGGAATCACGGGTAGACAACAACCTGGCAGGAAATGGGGACCGGTTGTTACTTCTTTACTTTCAGATTTGTTTTTATTATTATTATTATTTTTTAATAGATGGGTCTTGCTCTGTTGCCCAGGCTGGAGTGCAGTGGTTTGACCATGGCTCACTGCAGCCTTGAACTCATGGGCTCAAGAGATCCTCCTGCCTCGGCCTCCCAAGTAGCTGGGACTACAAGTGTGCATCACCTCTCCCGGCTAATTTTTAAATTTTTTGCAGAAACAAGGTCTCACTATGTTGGCCAGGCTGGTCTTGAACTCCTGTCTTCAAGTGATCCTCCTGTCTCGATCCCCTGAATACCTGGGACTACAGGTGTGCACCATTACACATGGCTAATTTATTTTTTGTAGAGACAGGGTCTTGCTCTGTTGCCCAGGCTGGAGTGCAGTGGTACTATCATGGCTCACTGCAGCCTCAAATTCCTGGGCTCAAGTGATCCTCCTGCCTCAGCCTCCCAACTAGCTGGGCTTACAGGTGTGAACTACCACACCTGGCCCTAGTTTCAGACTTTTAAAGGCTGTTTAGGAAGGGATGCTGTTCTGTCATCTATACCCATTGTTTTTAACAGTCTCCTTCATGTTTTAGTGTGAAACTTCGCCAGCAAACCTTCCTACAGGTGGGAGTACTGCTTGCCCAGTTTCTGCATTCTCTCTTTCAGAACCACCTTTCAGGTTCTGTTTGCCATTCCTGGTTTACTTCACCTGTGAGCATCCCGCCTGTACCTCCAACAGACGCTGCCCAAGAATGCGCCAAATCATATTTTGGACAAGACGCGGGCTTCTCTCTCTCATCTGCCTCCTGCGCTGCACAAAAGACACACCACAGGGGAGCAGTGCAGACCTACAGAGGAAGACTGCTAGGATTTCACAAGTGGGGAAACTGAGGTGCAGGGCGGCGCAGTGGTGCATGGGCTCAAGGGCATGGTAGGCAACCTGTCTCTACTAAAAGCCTGGCCTTTACTCCCAAGTACAAGGGTTTCTAATGACTTTCTCCCCTAAGTACTGTGTGGTAGGAAGTGTTAAGGAAAGGTTGGGACCAGGCATGGTGGCTCACGCCTGTAATCCCAGCACTCTGAGAGGCTGAGGCGGGTGGATCACTTGAGGTCAGGAGTTCAAGACCAGCCTGACCAACATGGAGAAACCCCGTCTCTACTAAAAATACAAAAAAAAAAAAAAAAAAAAAAATTAGCTGAGAGTGGTGGTGTGCACCTGTAATCCCAGCTACTCGGGAGGCTAAGGTGGGAGAATTGCTTGAACCCGGGAGGCACAGGTTGAAGTGAGCCAAGATTGTGCCACTGCACTACAGCCTGGGCAACAGAGTGAGAGCCTGTCTCAAAAACCAAAACAAAGCTTTGGTGGCAGAGGCAGAGAAGCTAAAACTAAGAATAAAAAAAATTTCTGATTGCATACTAGTTATCGCTCTCAGCTTCCTCTCCTTCCCCATCCCCAAGCCCAATCCCACTTCCTGGGCCCACCTCCCTGGCTCAGGTCCCAAATCCTGGCATCTTCTGACCAACCCAAGCTCCTTCAACCTTCTTCCACCTGGTTTTTCCCCAGTAAAGTCAATGCTTGGCTCACCTGTGGCTTCAGAGTTCTATAGATTTGTCCACAATTCCCTCCCCGCTTAATTGCCTTGCACTTAAGTTAGCTGGTGGTTTCCTGTACCCCGCAGGGCTGGGAAGTGAAACTGAAGACCCAGGCAGTGGAGGCACGAGAACGTTCATAGGAAAGACAGCATCCTTCCTCTTCCTCTCGCTGGCACCGAAAGTCTGCCTTTCGGCAGGCTAAGTACCTTTTTTAGGGCAACTTGAAAATGAATAATTCAGCGGTTCCTATTCTGCTTGTGAAGTGTTAGACAAACAATTCAGATGGGGCCAGACTTGCTGGCCCCACGAAGACCGTCCGTTCCCTTCACTCTGACATCATTGGATTTGGCCATGAATCTTTAAGAACGCCCTCCATCCTGTCTAATCACTAAAATACCACAAAGGAAGTTCACAATACTTAGACGTAGCGAAAAAAATAGAAAGGTTAATTGCAACAAGAAGTTTTCCCTCCTAGCCAAGCAGTGTATCAGGGTGGCATAGTAATGCTGTTTTTTTTTTTTTTTGAGACGAAGTCTCGCTCCATCCCCCAGGCTGGAGTACAGTGGCATGATCTTGGCTCACCGCAACCTCTGCCTCCTGGGTTCAAGAGATTCTCCTGCCTCAGCCTCCCCAATAGCTGGGATTACAGGCGTGCACCACCACGCTCAGCTAAATTTTTTTTTGTATTTTTAGTAGAGACGGGGTTTCACCATGTTGGCCAGGCTGGTCTTGAACTCCTGACCTCAAGTGATTCTCCCGCCTCGGCCTCCCAAAGTGCTGGGATTACAGGTGTGTGTCACTGCACCCAGCCTCGAACTCTTAACAATAAAAAAAACACATAGAGGCTGGGTGCAGTGGCTCATGCCTGTAATCCTAGCACTTTGGGAGGCTAAGGCAGGTGGATTGCCTGAGTTCAGGAGTTTGAGAATAGCCTGGCAAACATGGTGAAACCCCGTCTCTACTAAAATACAAAAAACTGGCTGGGCATGGTGGTGTGCACCTGTAGTTCCAGCTACTTGGGAGGCTGAGGCAGGAGAATTGCTTGAACCCGGAGGTGGAGGTTGCAGTGAGCCGAGATCGTGCCATTGCACTCCACCCTGGGTGACAGAGCAAGACTCTGTCTCCAAAAACAAACAAACAAACAAACAAACAAAAAAACAAACCCACATAGGTAGAGCATGTCTTAGTCACACCAAGCTATTGAAGAGTTGGGCTTTATTCAAAGCCAAGCCTTAGAAGTCATCTTCCCCACTGAGCTATGCTCCTTTAAATCTCAGACTTCACTTAAGAGCTTTATTGATGCTGTGTCTTGTGTTAAATCCACCTCAAATACTTTGTTGGAAGTAGGGGTAATGAAAGTTTTAAGGTAAAAAGCTAAACAAAAAACAACTTTTCTGGTTTGGTTATAGAATTTGTTTTGGGCTGAGCAGAGTGGCTTAGACCTGTCATTCCAGGACTTTGGGAGGCTCAGGTGGGAGGACTGCTGGAGGATCGCTTGAGGCCAAGAGCTTGAGACCAGCCTGGGCAATGTAACAAGACCCCGTCTCTACAATAAATTAAAAAAAAAAAAATAGCTGGGTGTGCTGGTGTGCCCCTGTAGAACCAGCCACTTAAGGGGGTGAGGCAGGAGGATGGCTTGATCCCAGGAGTTTGAGGCTGCAGTGAGCTATGACTGTGCCATTGCACTATAGCCTGGGTGACAGATCAAGATCCTGTCTTAAAAAAAAAATTCATTTTGGAAAGTGGTTTTAATTTTTAGTAGAGATGAGTTCTTGCTATGTTGCCCAGCCTGTCTCGAATTTCTGTGCTCAGGCAGTACCCCCGGCTTGGCCTCTCAAAGTGCTGGGATTACAGGGGTGGGCCACCATGCCTGGCTGGAAAGGAGTCTTAATGGACAAGCCAAAAGCTGTTTCAGGTGGTAATAATCTCTCCACTTGGAAGATGTATATCCAATAACCAGCCTTACAGCTTAGCTATGCTTTTGATCATCAATGTATCAATACAATGTCATTGTAATTCTGGACAGGAAATTGGATTCAGCCACTTTTCAAATGCCAGGGTAGGGCACTTCCCAGGTTTTAACTTACAGAAGGACCCTGGGTGTCGAGTTGATACCATTCCTTTTTTTTTTTTTTTTTTTTTTTAAGATGTAGTCTCTCTCTGTTGCCCAGGCTGGAGTGCAGCAGCACGATCTCGGCTCACTGCAAACTCTGCCTCCCGGGTTCAAGTGATTCCCGGGTCTCAGCCTCCTGAGTAGCTGGAATTACAGGTGCATACCACCACACCCAGCTAATTTTTGTATTTTTAGTACAGATGGGGTTTCTCCATGTTGGCCAGGCTGGTCTCAAACTCCTGACCTCAAATGATCCGCCTGCCTTGATCTCCCAAAGTGCTGAGATTAGAGGTGTGACCCACAATGCCCGGCCAAGCTGATACATTTCTAAGTTTAGTGAAAGCTAAAATGGCAGCTGGATTGTTTAAAACAATGTGATGAGAAGAATGCCTTTGTCTATGTGTGTAAATCCCGTGGGATCTACGTGGCATACCTCAAGTTGGTAAAAAATATTTACCATATGCTAGGGAATAAAGGATTCTTACCACTAATGGATAATCCTGCTAAACAGCAGCTGCTTTGTAAAGGGAGTAGACGATCGTTGAAAATCCATATAACTTTAAAGAATTCACCAGCAGGAATTTGTAGGTCCAGAGTATCTTATAAAAGATCGGGTCTCATTGTAGAGGGAAGTGGCAAGGTTAATATAATGAAGTATAATTTGCTGCTATGCTAGACATGTAATCTAATAACAGTACAGTTTGATAAGAAAATTTAAATATATAGTTTTGAAAAGGTTTCAGAAGGGCTCAATGGTTCTGCATCAGAAAGTGAATTTCAGTTACAAGAGGAGGCTCAAGGCAGGGCGGATTAGAAGGCTCAGGGGACATTCAGAGGGTCAATTAGGCTGTTCACTCAATCTTCCTTAAATAGATCAGAAAGCCTAGGACAGAGATACTGTGAATTAGAAAAAAGAAAAGGATCAACAATTCAACAATAAAGAGAAATTTAAGTTAAGAGTTATATCAGTAAAATGTAATTAGGCCAAATTTACCCATAAAAATAAAATACATATTTTTTAAAAATCCAAAAAGGGTGGTAGAAACACATTTTGAGTAAAAAGGCAATGATTAACTAGACTTTTTGTTTTTGGAGACGGGATCTCACTTTGTTGCCCAGGCTGGGGTGCAGTGGCACGATTTTGGCTCACTGCAGCCTTGACCTCCTGGGCTCAAGCAATCCTCCCTCCTCAGTCTCCAAAGTAGCTAAGACTACAGTGAGCACCACCATGCCCAGCTAATTTTTAACTTTTTTTAGTGAGACGATCTCACTACGTTGCCCAGGCTGGTCTCCAGTTCCTGGGTTCAAGTGATCCTTCTGCCTTGGCCTCCCAAAGTGTTGAGGCTACAGGTGTGAGCCAGTGTGCTTGGCCAACTAGATTTTTTTTTTAAGGCTAATTAAGGTAAGGTTTGAAGCCAGACTAATCAATATTATATGTAGCATAATAATGTTAGGGAGAAATAAGAAATGCTAAATGGCACAGTAAATAGAAACATAAGCTTCAACTTGTCTTAAATAAGCAAGAAAATCTATAAAATATGTAAAATAAAAATGGAATGAAATGTACTATTTAAAAGTGTAATCCTACTATTAGGTCGGTGCAAAAGTAACTGTGGTTTTGCCATTACCTTTTTCTTTTTTGACGGAGATTCACTCTTCTCGCCCAGGCTGGAGTGCAGCGGTGCCATCTCAGCTCACTGTAACCTTCACCTCCAGGGTTCAAGCAATTCTCATGCCTCAGCCTCCCGAGTAGCTGGGATTATAGGCATCCACCACCACGCCCGGCTAATTTTTGTATTTTCAGTAGAGGCAGGGTTTAGCCATGTTGGCCAGTGTGGTCTTGAACTTGTGACCTCAGGTGATCCGCCTGCCTCAACCTCCCAAAGCGCTGGGATTACAGGTGTGAGCCACCGCGCCCAACCTGCCATTACTTTTAATGGCAAAAACCGCAATTACTTTTGCACCGACCTAATAGAAAACTACCCCACTAGAAGGATCTAACACAGTTGCGGGGCTTTGATCCCATGGCATCTAAAAACCAGGTCACAGTTCAATTTACAGAGGGGAAATCATTGGAGCATTTGATTAACATGGAAAGGGACACAGGCTTAAACCAAGAGCCTCCACGATTCTTCCCAGACCTATAACAGAATGCTCCTTCTGAACACAGGAATGAAAGAAGAGGATCAGAAGTTCTGAGTGTCACACAGGGTGCACGTTCACTACTTGTAGGTAATGCAGTCCCGTGCTCCCCAAATCCCAGGGATTCACTTGAGCAAATGGGCTGGGACAATCAAGCGTTCAGCAAAGCCCTATGTTTCTTGGTAAACACAAGAAAATAACAAACTCCCCTACACCAGTAATAAACATCCACAAAATGAAATAAAAGATCTGTCTCATTTACAACAGAGGTAAACACAGAAGCACGTGGGAATTAAAATAACATAGCATAAACTCCATCTGTAGAAAAATTGGATTACAAAATGCTTGGAGCAAAGGAAGAGAATGATACATTTATGTGCAGCTGCATTAAATACAAAGAAACATACATTTCTCTCCCAAGTTAATTTATAAAAGTTGGTAAAATGGCCGGGCACGGTGGCTCACGTCTAAAATCCCAGCACTTTGGGAGGCCAAGGTGGGCGGATCATGACGTCAGGAGTTTCAGACCAGCCTGACCAACATGGTGAAACCCCGTCTCCATTAAAAATACAAAAATTAGCTGGGTGTGGTGGCGGTGCCTGTAATCCCAGCTATTGGGGAGGCTGAGGCAGGAGAATTGCTTGAACCTGGGAGGTGGAGGTTGCAGTGAGCTGAGATCGTGCCACTGCACTCCAGCATGGGTGAGAGAGCAAGACTCCATCTCAAATAAAAAAAAAAAAAGTTGGTAAAATGACGAGATGCATACAGAAAAAATAGGTGACCAAAATACTAAAGGTTGTTGTTTTTTTTTCTTTTAAACTAAAAACAACAATAGTAAACTGGCTATACAAATACTGAAATAGAAAACAAGGAGACGTCATCAAGAGTGTGGCACTTATTAGAGTGAAAAACTAGACTGATAGAATGAAATTATAGACAGAAATCCAGAGCTATATGTATTTATACCTGATTTGTCAGATATTATATGTTGGGGGAAGAAATCATCAATATTATTGGGCAAACTGAGTATTAAAGAATAACAAACAGAAACAAATATTATTTTATATGATATAATAAACTTCAGACACATTAAAGATATAATAGGTCATTGAAAAATAAGAAAATGGATTGAGGAGAAAAAACCATTTTCTTTTTTTTTTGAGACAGAGCCTTGCTCTGTCTCCCAGGCTGGTGTGTGGTGGCGTGATCTCAGCTCACTGTGACCTCCACCTCCCGGGTTCAAGGATTCTCCTGCCTCAGCCTCCCAAGTAGCTAGGACTATAGGCACGCGCCACCACACCAGGACAATTTTTGTATTTAGAGTAGAGATGGGTTTACACCATCTTGGCCAGGCTGGTCTTGAACTCGTGACCTCAAGTGATCCGCCTGCCTTGGCCTCCCAAAGTGCTGGAATTACAGGCATGAGCCACCGTGCCTGGCCTGAAAAGACTATTTTCTCTCACTGAAACCACATTAGAAATGATTAAGGATAAGATTGCTGGGACTCATGTTTTTATATATATTATTTTTTGTGTGTGTGTACATACACACACACACACACAAACACACACACACACAAGTTGACCCTCAAATATGGGTCTGAACAATATGGTTCCACTTCAACTTGAATATTTTTCAGTAAAATTACACTGAGTGTGTCTGGCCCCCCTCCCACCTCCTCCACGTCCTCCTCCGCTGTCACCCGAGACAGCGAGACCAACCCTCCTCTTCCTTGGCCTACTTGATGTGAAGACAACAGGGATGAAGACCTTTTTGATGATCCACTTCCACTTAATGAACGGAAAGTGTGTTTTCTCTTCCTTAGGATTTCTTAACATTTTCTTTTCTCTGCCTTACTTTATTGGAAGAATATTGTATATAACATATGTAACTTACAAAACATCTTAATCGGCACTTCATGTAACTGGTAAGGCTTCCGGTCACTAGCAGGCTGTCAGTAAAGCTTTTGAGGAGTCAAAAGTTGTACTTGGATTTTTCACTGTGTCGGGGGTCAGTGCCTCTAACCCCTGTGTTGTTCAAGGGTCAACTATACACGATTCTTTTGGACAGTGAAAATCACTAAAACTCGAGTGAAAAGAAAAGCAATTAATTGATAGGTAAAAGTAACCATAAATGTGAGTAGCTAAAATCCAGAATACGTGTAGAATTACTGCCCAGTTTCCACTGTACCCATTTTTACAGGATATAAGGAAACACACAAAGAGTAAAATAAATAGGGACCTGGCGCTGTGACTCCTGTCTGTAATCCCAGAACTTCGGGAGGGAGAGGTGGGAGGATCGCTTGAGCCCAGGAGTTTGAGACCAGCCTGGGTAACACAGTGAGACCCCATCTCTAAAAATAAAAAGAATTAGCTGGGTGTGGTGGCACTTGCCTATAGTCCCAGCTACTCAGGAGGCTGAGGTGGGAGGATCACTTGAGCCCAGGAGGTCAGGGCTGCAGTGAGTCGTGATTGCGCCACTGCATTCCAGTCTGGGCAACAGAGCTGGATCCTGTCTCAAAACAAATAAAAAGTCATGTGGCACTGTGCAAAGCGGTGGGGGAAAGACGGAGGAGGATCCGGTCAAGACACTGTCAGTCTGACGCAGATGCTTAACCCTTCCTTTGCCACGGTCCCCTCTGGAAGTCTTGTCAAGAATACAGGCATCTATTTGGAATGTTTTAAAGACGTAAGTCCACAAGGCCATTATTGGACAGAAGTCTAATCATGTTTTAAGGACCAAGGAAAACAATTATTTTGAAGTGCAGTTATTGCAATTTTTTTTAATTTTTATTTTTGAGACTGAGTCTAGCTCTGTTGCCCAGGCTGAAGTGCAGTGGTGCAATCTCAGCTAACTGCAACCTCCACCTCCCGGGTTCAAGCGATTCTCCTGCCTCAGCCACCAGAGTAGCTGGGATTACAGGTGCCCACCACCACTCCCAGCTAATTTTTTAAACTTTTAGGAGATATGAGGTTTCACCATGTTGGCCAGACTGGCCTCGAACACCTGACCTCAAAGTGATCTGCCCACCTTGGCCTCTCAAGGTGCTGTGATTACAGGTGTGAGCCAGCGCGCCAGGACAATCTTTTTTTAAAACCAGATTTGTGATACAGGAACAACTGTTCTTTACTGTTGCACTAAATAACAAATCTAAGAACCACTGACATTTTGAAGTAGTGATGAATCCAAACAGCGTTTGTGACCTCCGTAACAACGGGAATGAGATGTGAAAGCCTCTGTGATTTCCACTCGCAACGAGGTCACAGTCTGCAATTACCCCGGTGTGGGGGCTTCATTTACAATGGAAGGAAATGCTACATTGCAGTTAGACACTGATGGAAATAAAGATGTATTTTCTAGGCCGAGTGTGGTGGCTCACGCCTGTAGTCCCAGCACTTTGGGAGGCGGAGGCGGGTGGATCACGAGGTCAGGAGTTCAAGACCAGCCTGGCCAACATGGTGAAACCCTGTCTCTACTAAAAACTACAAAAATTATCTGGGTGTGGTGGCACATGCCTGTGGTCCCAACTACTTGGTAGGCTAAGGCAGGAGAATCGCTTGAACCCGGGAGGCGGAGGTTGCAGAGAGCCACAATTGCATCACTGCACTCCAGCCTGGGTGACAGGGCAAGACTCCATCTCAAAAAAAAAAAAAAAAAAAAAAAAAAGATGTATTTTTTTCTGGGTCCAATTCATGAAGCCCCCAGGTTCTCTCTATAGACCCCACATGAAGAGCCCCTAGAATGAGGGAGACCAGAGCCCTCTTTCACCACAGCAGGTAAGTGTGGGCATAGGAGCAGGCAAGGCAGGGCAGGATCAGCTTGTCAGGAAAGGTAGAACCGGCTGCAAGGTGAGCTGGGGAAAGAAAGGCCTGGGATTCTATAGGACGGTGGAGTTTGAGTTGGCCTAAGATGAGGCTGGGAAGGCAGGGCTGCATCCCAAAGTGCCTTGTGCATCATGCTGTGATTTTGGACTTTCCCTTAGATATGAGAGAGGGTGCCACGGAGAGATTTTAAGTGGGACAGGTTTTAGCAGGATCAGACAGATTTTAGAAAGATAACTTTAGCAGATGCTTGGAGGGTGGTTTTGTCCAGGGAGATACTGGTGGCAGAGGGTCAAGTTCAGAAGATCTTGAAGTGAGACCAAGAGACGAAAAACAAATTAAGGCCGGGTGCGGTGGCTCACGCCTGTAATCCCAGCACTTTGGGAGGCTGAGGCAGGTGAATCACTTGAGGTCAGGAGTTTGCGACCAGCCTGGCCAACATGGTGAACCCTGTCACTACTAAAAATACAAAAATTAGCCAGGTGTAGTGGCGGGTGCCTGTAATCCCAGCTACTCAGGAAGCTGAGGCAGGAGAATCGCTTGAACCTGGGAGGTGGAGGTTGCAGTGAGCAGAGATTGCGCCACTGCAAGTGACAGAGCGAGACCCTGTCTCAAAAAAAAAAAAAAAAAAAGAAAAGCAAAGAAAAACAAATTAAAATGACGGTAGTGAGAGTGGTGATGAAGTTGGGAATGTACAATGTTGCAAGAAGGCGGAACTAACATGAATTAGACAGGAGGGCTCACAAAGGAGTGACGAAATACCCTCAGTTTCTGGAATGAAGGAGGAGCAGGTATGGTCGGGCAGAGGAAGAAAGCAGAAGGGGGCTGACTATAGGGAAGGGGGAAGTTACGGAGAATAACAACTTAATCTGAGTTTGAGATGCTCATAGTAGAAATGTCTAGTAAGAAACTGAAAATATAGAGGTTTTACTATTGGGAAATGAAACTTTTTCTTATTGTTCTGTAAAGATGCGTGTGTGCGTGGCGTGCGCGCGCGCGCGCGCACACACACACACACACTCTCTCTCTCATATATATTGCAAATATTTTTGCCAGTCTGTCTAAATCCATCTGCCCATCCGTCTGTCCATCCATCCATCTATCCACCCGCCCATCCATCTATCCACCCGCCCATCCATCTATCCACCCGCCCATCCATCTATCCACCCGCCCATCCATCTCCACAAAGCTCTGAATTTCTTCCCTTTGTGATTTCTACTTTTGGCATCATGCTTAAAAAAAAGTTTTTCCACCCCCTTATTATATAAATATACACCTAAAATTGCTCCTAGTGTTTTTATGGATTTCTTTCTGGTCACATTTAAATGTTTTAAACATCTAAACTGAGCGTGGTGGCTCACGCCTGTAATCCCAGCACTTTGGCAGGCAGAGGTGGGTGGATCACTTGAGGTCAGGAGTTCAAGACCAGCCTAGCCAACATGGTGAAACCCCATCTTTACTAAAATACAAAAATTGGCTAGGCATGGTGGTGCGCGCCTGTAATCCCAGCTACTCAGGAGGCTGAGGCAGGAGAACTGCTTGAACCTGGGAGGCAGAGGTTGCAGTGAGCCAAGATCACGCCACTGCACTTCAGCCTGGGTGAGACAGCAAGACCCTGTCTCAAAAAAAAAAAATAAATAAATAAAATAAAAAATAAATAAAAATAACTAAATAGATTTTATTTTGCATGGGGCTCAGCTCTGATTCTACTGGCTTCTACATAGTTGGCTTGTTATTCTACCATTTACTAAAGACTCTGTCCTTCTTTAATGTACTTAAATTTGAGCAGTTTTTATGTTCAAACTTTTTTTTTTTTTTTTAAACAGAAATTATGTCTTGCTGTTTTGCCCAGGCTGGTCTTGAATTCCTGGCCTCAAACGACCCTCCTGCCTCGGCCTCCCAAAATGTTAGGATTAGAGGCGTGAGCCACTGCACCTGGCCAATTGAGCAATTTTTATATACAACTTTTTCTTAGTTTTGACGTCTGCAAAAATTCAGAAAGCTACTATAAGAAAATGACAATCAACCATCTGCATAAAAAAAGAATTAGCCACTTAACACAACTGGTCCTTTTTCCATTGGAAAAATCGATCGGAAATTGGATTTCTAATTACATTTGGGCTTTCCACGGAAACCGCAGAACAGCCGGTCATCTATATATTCATTAAATCCTACAAACTGGAGAGTTTTTTTTTTTTTTTTTTGAGATGGAGTCTCACTCTGTTGACCAGGCTGAAATGCAGTGGCATGATCTCGCTGACTCAGCTTTCTGAGTAGCTGGGACTACAGGCGTGTACCACCACGCCCGGCTAATTTTCGTATTTTCAGTAGAGACAGGGTTTCATCATGTTGGCCAGGCCGGTCTTGAACTCCTGACCTCAGGCAATCTGCCCACCACAGTCTCCCAAAGTGCTGGGATTACAGGCGTGAGCCACCACTCCCAGCCTGCAGAGATTTTTTTTTTAAGGGTGGGAAGATCACAGAAATGCTTCGAAGCACACATCGTCCAACTTAGAAGAAGCAAAAAGGTCAAAATATAGGCTATTCCATAAAATTTCAAGAATAAGCTGTGCTTTTGTGCTTCAGGCTATTTGGATAGCAAGGATTCTCAACACTACATAATTTTTTTTATAAGATGGAGTCTTGCTCTGTTGCCCAGGCTGGAGTGCAGTGGCGTGATTTCAGCTCACTGCAACCTCTGCCTCCTGGGTTCAAGCGATTCTCCTGCCTCAGCCTCCCAAGTAGCTGGGATTACAAGCTCCCGTCACCACGCCCAGCTAATTTTTGTGTTTTTAGTAGAGATGGGGTTTTGCTATGTTGGCCAGACTGGTCTCGAACTCCTGACCTCAGGTGATCCACCCATCTCAGCCTCCCAAAGTGATGGAGTTACAGGTGTGAGCCACCTTACCCGGCCAACACTACATAATTTTTATTTTTTCCCAACCCTCTTTAGGAAAATCAGAGGGCACTGCTGTGGTCATGTGGGGGTTAATTCTCACTGATGTTGAATGCCCCAGTCTTTGCTCTGTTCATTGGAGCATTAAATCTGAAGGCTCAGGAGAGTGATGCAGTCGGGCTGTGCGGGAGTGATGCCATAAAGCTCGGCATTAAAAATTCATATTGCAGGCTTGCCTTAGAACTCAGCACTGGCTGAAAGGAGAGGTGGCGAGGAAATATGAGACACCCCACTGTCTTTCTGGCAATTGGAGACATTCCTCAACAAATAGCACCTCGGGAAGAGAATGAAAGGGCAAACAAGCCGTGAAGGAAATCAATGAGTTCAATTATCTCGCTCGCTCCTGCCTTCCTATAGGAAACTTTTCATTCTTTGAGGTGGGTTCCAAAAAGTTTTTTAACGAAATCCCCGAACAAGAGCCCTGGGCATCCTTGCTGGGTGCCTGGCTGTTTGGCACCTCTTTTAATTTGTTTCACACCAGCCCACGGTGCCCCAAATTTTCCAAGTCAGATGGAACCAGATCTCCAATGCGGGCCGCCACCTTGGTGTCACAGTCAGCTGGGCGGGGACCGAACAACTTGTTCTCACTTTAAAACTTGGATCTTGCAAAAATGTGGCACATAGAAGACAGTTAGTTACTAGATTATTAACCTCTGGTGTTGATTTTTTCTTTGAGATGGAGCCTCACTCTGTTTCCCAGGCTGGAGTGCAATGGCACAATCTCGGCTCACTGCAGCCTCTGCCTCCCAGGTTCAAGCCATTCTCCTGCTTCAGCCTCCCGAGTAGCTGGGATTACAGGCACCCACTACCACGCCCAGCTAATTTTTGTATTTTTAGTAGAGACAGGGTTTTACCATGTTGGCCAGGCTGGTCTCGAACTCCTGACCTCAAGTGATCTGCCCATCTTGGCCTCCCAAAGTGCTGGGATTACAGAGGTGAGCCACTGTGCCCAGCCCTGGTGTTTGATTTTTTAGAGACCCATCTATGAAGGCATTTGCAGCTGTGCAATGGTTTGAACTTGGAACTTTTGGCCACCACATTTAGTGGCACCTCAATGGTGACTGATGCAGATTTTAAAATTTAGGGTCCCTGAGGAAGATGATGGGAAACAAAGCTTTACACCTGGGTGCCCCAGCTGTGGCACGCTAATATGGATGAGTAGGTCTTGCAGTGCGGATAATGATTTTTACAAACTCATCATGGAAAGCGACATAATTCTTAAGAGTGGGAAGAGACCTTGAGCAGGGGGAGGTAAGCAGACCTTTTTAAAATGTGCCAGGTGATGCCAGGTGCCTTGCAGGCAGCAGGAGCAGCAATGTCAGCCACCCTTTATAGAGGTCCTGTACCAGGCACTAATGTGGCATTCTTTTCTCTTTTTTTTTTGAAACAGAGTCTCTGTTGCCCAGGCTGGAGTGCAGTGGCGGGATCTCAGCTCACTGCAACCTCCACCTCCCCAGTTCAAGTGATTCTTCTACTTCAGCCTCCCGAGTAGCTAGAATTACAGACACATGCCACCACGCCCAGCAAATTTTTGTATTTTTAATAGAGACAGGGTTTCCTCATGTTGGCCAGTCTGGTCTCAAACTCTTGGCCTCAAGTGATCCACCTGCCTTGATCTCCCAAAGTGCTGGGATTACAGGTGAGGCGTGGCATTCTTTTATTTCACTTATGAAAATACTAAGGTCTGAGTAAGGAAACCTCCTGCCCTGCTTGAGGTTACATAATTCATGGAGTTGGGAATTAAACCCAGGTCTTTACGATGTTGCGACCCAGGTTCTTCCCACCGTGACTCATGCTGTGCCCGGTGCCCTGGATGCAGCCCTGCCTGAAGGCCACTCCACAAACAGGCCCTGCTGGGGGACAGCATCCGAGATCCAGGTCTCTGGGAAGTAGAACTGGGCAAGAAAGTGCAAGAGGCTGACAAAAGGGCCAGCTCCTCCGTCCTGCCTGGCACCCGGCCCAATCCGGTGCTGCGGCCGAGGGAGGGGCTTTGTGGGGTCACACCTGGGGACAGATGGGACCAGAGTCAGGGTCTCTGAGCCGTGCATATCATCCACTGTCCCTGACTTTTCACTAGAGGCATCTACAAACGTCATGGAGCAGCAGTCTAGGAACAGAGGCCCCGTGCCAGTACTGCCATGAGCCCTTGGAGAATTCTGGGCTTCCAAACGCTCTTGTCTGATGATGGCCTTGGGAGGCTACCTCAAGATGCCACAGCCGGCTGGGCGTGGTGGCTCACGCCTGTAATCCCAGCCCTTCTGGAGGCTGAAGTGGGCCGATCACCTGAGGTCAGACCAGCTTGGCCAACTGGCGAAACCCTGTCTCTACTAAAAATACAAAAATTCACTGGGCGTGGTGGCACACACCTGTAGTCCCAGCTACTCAGGAGGCCGAGGCAGAAGAATCGCTTAAATCTGGGAGGTGGAGGTTGCAGTGAGCCGAGATCATGCCACGGCACTCCAGCCTGGGTGACAGAGCAGGACTCCGTCTCAAACAAAACAAAACAAACAAACAAACAAACAAAAAACACGAAAAAGATGCCACAGCCACTGGCAGAACATGAAGGCATAGAAAGAACAGGGACAAAGCTCCCCAGATTAAACCCCAAAGGGCAATGAAAGCAGTGTAATAAATCAGGCTCCTGAACAGCAGGGAAATAAGTGGTAAGTCTTAGGGCTCACCTACGTGATGGAATGTTATGCAGTATGCACTGTGTTTCTGAAGAATATTTAATGATAAGCAAGAAATATTTACAACATGTCAGGTAAAAAAAAAAACAAAAACAAAAAACAAACCCTAGAAATCAAAATCATGTTATCAGTCTATGCCACTGGTAAAAAACAGACGAGTTTGGGCGAAGCAGCTCATGCCTATAATCCCACTCAGCACTTTGGGAGGCCAAGGTGGGAGGATTGTTTGAGCCCAGGAGTTCAAAACCAGCCTGGGCAACACGGCAAGACCCTGTCTCTACAAAAAATACAAAACTGGCCTGGTGTGGGGTGCACACCTGCAGTCCTAGCTACTCGGGAGGCTGAGGTGGGAGGATCGCTCAAGCCCAGGAGTTGGAGGCTGCAGTGAGCTATGATAGTGCAACTGCCCTGCAGGCTGGGTGACAGGGTGAGACCCTATCTCGTAAAAAGAAAAAAAAGAAAAAAGAAAGCACTATATAGATCAGGGGTCCCCAGTCCCTTGGCCACATCTGTGGCCTGCTAGGAACTGGGCCGCACAGCAGGAGATGCGCTGCAGGAGGGAAGCTTCGTCTGTATTTACAGCTGCTCCCCATTGCTCTCATGACTGCTTGAGCTCTGCCTCCCGTCAGATGAGCAGCAGCATTAGATTCTCATAGGAGTGCAAACCCTACTGTGAACTGCGCATGCGAGGGATCTAGGCTGCACACTCCTTATGAGAATCTAATGCCTGATGATCTGTCACTGTCTCCCATCACCCCCAGATGGGACTGTGTAGTTGCAGAAAAACAAGCTCAGGGCTCCCACTGATTCTACATGATGGTGAGTTGTAGAATTATTTCATTATATATTACAATGTCATAATAATAAAGTGCACAATAAATAGAACGTGCTTGAATCATCCTGAACCGCGCCCCCCACTGCACTGGT
Organism: Homo sapiens; assembly: GCF_000001405.40. Classification (NCBI taxonomy): domain Eukaryota; kingdom Metazoa; phylum Chordata; class Mammalia; order Primates; family Hominidae; genus Homo; species Homo sapiens. The sequence goes on along the minus strand of NC_000007.14, from coordinate 102,126,739 downwards.
CCATGGAAAAATTATCTTTCACAAAACTGGTCCCTGTTGCCAACAAGGTTGGGGACAGCTGTGTTAGATGATTTTGCCTAACTGTAGACTAATTAACGTGGGTGTTCTGAGCACGCTTAAAATAGGCGAGGCTAAGCTATGACATTTAGGTTAGGTGTGCTAAACACATTTTAGACTTAAGGTATTTACAAGTTACGATGGGTTTAGGGGACATAATGCCATTGTAAGGAACAATCTGTATAGAAAAAAAGACTATGGAAATAGGCCAAAATGTTAACAATGATCATCTTTGCTGTGGGATTATGAGTGATGATCTGCTTCCTTTAAAAAAAATCTTTGAGAATTTTCTAAACTTTGTATAGTAAACATGTATGGCTTTTGTACTTAAAAATAATGTCACGGGCCGGGCGTGGTACCTCACACTTCTAATCTCAGCACTTTGGGAGGCCGAGGCGGGTGGATCACTTGAGACCAGGAGTTCAAGACCAGCCTGGCCAACATGATAAAACCCCGTCTCTACAAAAAATACACACACACACACACACACACACACACACACACAGCCGGAAATGGTGGTGCACACTTGTAGTCCCAGGTACTCGGGAGGCTGAGGCTGGAGAATCGCTTGAACCCAAGAGGCAGAGGTTGCAGTGAGCTGAGATCGCACCACTGTACTCCAGCCTGGGCAACAGAGTGAGACTCTATCTCAAAAATAAAATAAAATAAAACATAAAAAAGGGAAAATAATGTCATGTAAAAGGAAACAGCCTATAATTCCAGCTACTTGGGTGGCTGAGGTGGGAAGATTGCTTGAACCCAGGAGGCGGAGGTTGTAGTGAGCCAAGATCATATCACCGCACTCCAGCCTGGGTGATAGAGTGAGACCTTGTCTCAAAAAAATAAATAAAATAAAATAAAATAAAATAAAAACAGCAGGACTGGCTGAGACTGCATGACAAAATTTTTTAAAAAATTATTTATGTATATTCATAAACATGTTTATATACATGGACACATGTACAGTGCCTTTTTTTTTTTTTTTTTGAGATGGAGTTTTGCTCTTGTCACCCAGGCTGGAGTGGAGTGGTGCGATCTCGGGAGTATTCCACAGGAAGGACGGTTCTCCTTTCTGCCAGCCTTCCCGCGTCTCTTCACAAGGTCCCTGGGTGGAACCGGGCAGCGTGAGGCAAGTCACTTTCTCCTCTGCCACTTCTGAAGCAAATAAGACGTGCTATGTCACTGAGATTTGCATGGCCAAGGCCCTCCCAGCGGCGGCCAGGGACTCCCCGTGGTGAGTCAGAACCTCATAGCTTTAAGGAATTTTACTGGGGGCAGAAGGTGGCGTGAATGTTCCAGGCTGGGCCTCCGTCCTAACTCTTCACTGTTGAAGCACTTGAAGGCTGGGTGGCGCCTGCTTTCTGCTTAGGAGCCAACAGCATCCTGAGTTTACCTTTCCAGAGCGCAAACGTCCTCATTGGGCAGGCTGCAGGCTGAACGCTACAGAGGCCGTTCAGCTCTGCGGTAACCCTGACCCACTCATCATCATGGGGAAGGCTCAAGAGTTCCTGGAGAGCCACGACGTGCTAAGCCTGTGGTGTACAGAGTGTGGGATAAAGCCGGTCTTTTGAGGTAGTTTTCAGTCAACACTTAAAAAATGGGGCCAGACGCGGTGGCTCATGCCTGTAAATCCAGCACTTTAGAAGGCTGAGGTGGGCAGATCACCTGAGGTCAGGAGATCGAGACCAGCCTGGCCAACATGGCGAAACCCTGTCTCTGTTAAAAATACAAAAATTAGCTGGGCGTGGTGCCCTGTGCCTGTACTCCCAGATACTTGGGAGGCTGAGACATAAAAATTGCTTGAACCCAGGAGGCGGAGGTTGCAGTGAGCCGAGATCATGCCACTGCACTCCAGCCTGGGCAACAGAGGGGAGACTCTGTCTCAAAAAAAAAAAAAAAATTTCTACTAACCAATTTTACAATATACCGGCATTAACTATAGTCACTGTCTAATACATCTCTCAAACTTATTCCTCCTGTCTACCTATAAATATGTATCATTTAACCAACCTCTCCTCACCCCCTGGTAACCACCATTCTTCTTAACTTTTATGTGATCAACGTTTTACATGAGTGAGATCTTGTGGTATTCGTCTTTCTGTGCCTGGTTCATTTCACTTAATGTAACATCCCCCAGATGAATCCACGTTGTTGTTGCAAATGGCAGGATTTCCTTTTGTAAGGCTCCATCATATTCCACTGTGGATCTACACATTTTCTTCATCCATTCATCTGAAGCTGGGCACATAGGTCACTTCCTCACCTAGGCTGCTGTGTGAACAGCGCTGTGATAAACGTGTGAGTGCAGGTATGCCTGCAACACAGCCATTTCCTTTCTTTGGATAAATACCCAGCAGTGACATTGCTGGATTGCAGCCTGCATTCGGCACTGCTGTGCAGGCTGCAGAAATGCCCGTTATCCACCCTGACCCCCACAATTTTGGGATGCAGGAAGGGGTGTGTCATGACACCCCCGTTTCACAGATCACCATATGTGCTACAATCTATACACTGTATTCACTCAACAGTCCGTTACCCATTTCCTTCACATATACACTGCAAGATCCCTAGGCTTACCTTAACAGTGAATCAGAAAAACTTTAAGGATCTCTTAAATAGGTAAAATCTGTAGGAATGCACGCCAAACCCAGGTGACAGTCTGTGAATAATGATTTTCTCTACCCTCTCAAAGGATGCTGGATGAATATGATTGCTTTATTGGCCAGGCGCGGTGGCTCATGCCTGTAATCCCATACTTTGGGAGGCCGAGATGAGTGGATCACTTGAGCTCAGGAGTTCAAGACCCGCCTAGGTAACATGGTGAAACCCCCATCTCTACTAAAAATACAAAAATTAGCCAGGTGTGGTGGTACACACCTGTGATACCAGCTACTTGGGTGGCTGAGGTGGGAAAATCGTTTGAAACCGGGAGGTAGAAGTTGTAGTGAGCCAAGATCGCATCACTGTACTCTAGCCTGGGTGACAGAGTGAGACCCTGTCTCAAAATCAATAAATAAAAAAAAGCAGTAGGACTGGTTGAGAGACTGTATGATAATTTTTTTTTTTTTTTTTTTGAGACGGAGTCTCACTCTGCCACCCAGGCTGGAGTGCAGTGGCACAATCTCGGCTCACTGCAAGCTCTGCCTCCCGGGTTCACGCCATTCTCCTGCCTCAGCCTCCCGAGTAGCTGGGACTATAGGCACCCGCCACCACGCCTGGCTCATTTTTTATATTTTTAGTAGAGATGGGGTTTCACTGTGTTAGCCAGGATGGTCTCAATCTCCTGACCTCATGATTCGCCCGCCTCGGCCTCCCAAAGTGCTGGGATTACAGGCATGAGCCACTGCGCCCGGCCGATAAAAATTTTTTAAAAACTGATTGCATGTTTATATTCACAAACATGTTTATATACATGGCCACATGCACAGTGCCTCTCTTTTTTTTTTATTTTTGAGACAGAGTCTAACTCTATTGCCCAGGCTGGAGTGTAGTGGCGCGATCTCAGCTCACTGCAACCTCTGCCTCCTAAGTTCAAGCAATTATCCTACCTTAGCCTCCCGTGTAGCTGGGATTACAGGCATGCGCCACCACACCCAGCTAATTTTTGTATTTTTAGTAGAGACGGGGTTTCACCATGTTGGCTGGTCTGGTCTTGAACTTCTGACCTCAGGTGATCCACCCATCTCGGCCTCCCAGAGTTCTGGGATTACAGGTATGAGCCACCGTGCCCGGCTGCCTCTCTATTTATGTGTACGTGTTTTTGAGTACAGAGTGTGTGAGCCTGTGTGTGTGCATGTGACGTCTGTAAGCCCCCTCCCACCCTGTCCTTACTCTATCGTTCCAGCACCTGACACCACACCTACCACAGTAAAGCAGCCCTTCCCTAAACATCAATGAAGGAGAGGAGTAAAGTTTGGCAATTCTCACTGATGCTTTGCAATAGACATGTCTATTACATGTCAATTACATTTCCTAGCCATGTCTGGGGGCCACAGAACTGGCAAAGAATCGTCAGCGCTCAGAGGAATTTCTACCTGGACTTGGAACTATGAAGCCACCCCCTTGTTTTTGTCTAGCCCCCAACCTGGGGAGACACCAGGTCATGGTTGTACTATTCAGAGGGGGCCAAGACAGCTGGTGTTACTACAAAAGACAAGGAAAATCCTTCAGGGCTCACCCAGGCATCAATTTTTAGGTGTGGAGCAAAATACTTGTACAGAGATGAAAAATCCCAAGAATTCTACAAAATCCACAAGCCCCTTTTGGAGATAAGACACAGGAAGAAAAAAAAAAAAGGCCATCGGTTTTTCCCTGCAAGTCTGATTTAGTGCTCTCTAAGGTTTAAAGGACAGGAGGTTCTTTATTCAAGTCCATACTCTGAAAACCATAAAAGTGGCTGCTTCTCTATTTTTAGGGAAATTAATCCAACCAGGGTAATTACAGCAACTCGTACTGGAAACTGATGACTCATCAAAAAGACAGGAAATAGAAAATTTTACATTCTTAAAGGTACAGCAGACAGACTCTGTTTTCAGGATGCTTAAGTTGTCCCTTTCAAATTCAATCAGGGGATGCAATATTTGTCTAAATATGATGGTCAAGACAGCTGGGTGATTCTCAGGTTTACTCAACCGGGCTCTACCTGGCCCCAGTTCTGTGAGTCTTTCATGAGGAATTATTGTTCAAAAAGGGAAAAATCAATCTGCTATGGTAAATACAACGGGGGCTTGTGAGGCTGGGAAAGGCTGAACCCCCCAGGAACGCCTGCCTTCACCTGACTAGCCCTCACCTTTGCTGCTTGATTACAAAGCTGGCACCAGAAAGGGGCTTTGAAGACCGCCGTGGTCTCAAGCAAAAAGCACTGGAATTTGAGCCTAAAGGACCAGGTCCAGGGCCTGAATCTGCGTGTTCCTGGGACTGCTTCCTCATCCATGCAATGAGCACAATAAAAGCTGCCCCAGTGACTTCAGGAAAGGGCAAACAAGATAACACTCAGGAAATCATTGTGAAATAGTCCAGAACAGTATGTAAACAAAGTATCCATCCCAGCTGCTCACACCTGTCATCCCAGCACTTCAGGAGGCCAAGGCGGGCAGATCACTTGAGTCTGGGAGTTCGAGACCAGCCTGGCCAACATGGTGAAACCTCGTCTCTACTAAAAATACAAAAATTAGCTGGGTGTGGTGGCAGATGCCTGCAATTCCAGTTACTTGGGAGACTGAGGCAGGAGAATCGCTTGAACCCGGGAGGCGGAGGATGCCGTGAGCCAAGATCGTGCCACTGCACTCCAGCCTGGGCAATAGAGCGAGACTCAGTCTCCAAAAAAAAAAAAAACCAAAAAGCAAAAATTAGCCAGGCATGGTGGCACAAGCCTGTAATCCCAGCTCCTCCAGCAGCTGAGGCAGAAGAATCACTTGAACCCGGGAGGTGGAGGTTGCAGTGAGCCATGATCGCACCACTGCACTCCAGCCTGAATAACTAACAGAGACCCTATCTCAAAAAAATAAAAAATAAAATAAAAAGAAAGTATCCATCCCACCCACATTTGCCATGCAGACTTGTGTCTTGAACTGCTGGTATCCTCCTCCCCTCCTTTTAAAAATTATTATTATTATTTTTAGAGATGGGCTCTCGTTTTGTCACTCAGGCTGGAGTACAGTGATGCAATCATAGCTTACTACAGGCTGGAACTTCCAGGCTCAAGCGAACCTTCCAACTCAGCCTCCCAAGTAAATGGAACTAAAGGCACAACACCATGCCCAGATAATTTTTGTATTTTTTGGTAGAGGTGGGGTCTCACTATGTTGCCCAGGCTGGTCTCAAACTCTTGGGCTCAAGTGATCCTCCCACCTCAGTCTCCCAGAGTGCTGGGATGATAGGCGTGAGCCACCATGCCCAGCCTCCTCCCCTTTTCAAATTCTGTCTTATGTCCTCCTTTGGGATCTGGAGTTCTCTATCCCTCCAAAGAAGCGTAGAGGCTCCCCAGTGCTGAGTTAGCTACGGGAAAGTTTTCTGCTGTTTCAGAGCACGTTGTATTTTGTGATAAAGTACTGGTTATATACATGTTATAAAGAAAATACTCTAAAATTAACCTAAGTGAAGTTCCTCGTAAATGTCTCTTTTGTAACCGTACTATGTAAGTATGTGTATACACAATGTCGTTCTTTGAAAAAAGCATATAGGCTAGGAATACAACATGAGTAACCTTAAGAAATACGAATTTTACTGGCAGGAAAGGTTTGGGAGGTGCAAATTCTCCTAAGACTAACATTAGCTATAAAAAATGTAGTATTTCAGTGCGATTCAATATTTTCTTTCATCGAGGCTCAGTGCCTCGGCCCACGAGTGGGGAGGAATGCAAGAAGCTGACTGTGTGTATTGCAGCTGGAACTCCTTTTCCAATCCAGATTCTTGGGGACAGGGCATAGGATCGTGGACTTCAGCAAAAATGGGAATTCCTGCATTTTTGCCCAGAACACTAGCCGCTTGGCTGGGAGGGCGACATTCCTGCTGGAGGGTGCAGTAGCAACCCAAACCCAAGATCAAGTAAGTGAACAGCTGCAGGAGACGGATGCAGGAACTTGGGGCAGTGAGGGATGCCCAGGCCTCTCTCTGGGCTGCCTACTGCTGCGTGATTCCAGGGATCTGCCACCTCCACGGCCATCCATCCCAAGGAATTGTTTAGATGTTAAAATCCACAGCACGTTCCTTTGCTAGAGTCTCCAAGGTTAAGGCTATTAGGGTGGTAAATCTCCATTTGCTAAGAGAAGCGGGAAGATCCGTACACAGGGTGACCATCTGAGAAGGAGCTATGTTTTTAACTAAAGAAAAAAGAATGTCAGGCGTAGTGGCTCATGCCTGTAATCCCAGCACTTTGAGAGGCTAAGACGGGAGGATCACCTGAGGCCAGGAGTTTGAGACCACTCTGGGCAACACAGTGAGACCCTGACTCTAAAAAAATTTCAAAAAAGAAAAAAAGGGCAGAAATAATTCATTTATTTAACCCAGAAATGGTTATAATCGGAAACCTTGCAATCCTCTTACACAACAACTGTTTTGGCAAAGCCCCCATGTTCCAACAAATATTAAACTGTGCTTGCCATTTGTCTAAGGAATCTTGCATTAATAAACATGAAGAAGAACACTTTTACCTCCCACTCTCAACGACAGGACAAAACAAAGACCAGCTGTATTCATCAATGGGCCCTTGTTCTGCACATAAAGGCTAATTACATTTTGCTTCAAGCCTACACATGGAAAACTTTACTGCCGTTGTCTGCCACAGTCAGCCCGTGCTGTCCCAGCTGACGCATGGCGATGACTGCTCACGATAAACCGGGGTCTCGGAGCAGCCTCAGTACCACAGACCTGCGGGCTTCTCTCCAAAACGGGAGAGGGATGGGTACCCTGTGACATCTCCCCACGACAGACAGACAATGTGGGCCCAGTCCGTCGTGGTGATGCGGTGAAAGTCAATTTCCTCCAAGGCCGTTAATTTCAGAAACGCATACCACGCCCTGCTCTGAGCTTGCTGGGAATAGCTTCTATCTCTCGACAGCTTAGCCTCAGACTCTCACCATGCCAGGTGCTATACACACACATCCCATTCCTGCCTCTTCAAAACCACCTAGCATGCTGGGTGCAGTGGCTCACGCCTGTAATCCCAGCACTTTGGGAGGCTGAGGTGGGCGAATCATGAGGTCAGGAGATCAAGACCATCCTGGCTAACATGGTGAAACCCCGTCTCTACTAAAAATACAAAAATTAGCTGGATGTGGTGGCGCACGCCTGTAATCCCAGCTACTTGGTAGGCTGAGGCAGGAGAATCGCTTGAACCCAGGAGGTGGAGGTTGTAGTGAGCCAAGATCGTGCCACTGCACTCCAGCCTAGACGACAGAGCAAGATTCCATCTCAAAACAAAACAACAACAACAACAACAACAAAAACCACCCAGTGACTTGACTTCCGGTATGCCCATTGTACAGGTCAGAAAGGGAGGTGGACAGCTCATAGCTCATTCAGGGTCACGCAGAGAGCTCGTAGTGGACCCTAGTGAATCAATCCCAAGTCAGTCTTTCTCCAAAACCCATCTTCCTTCATGCCTCTCCAATTCCCGTCAACAAATATTTAAGAATCCCTTTTTTTTTAGACAGGGTCTTGCTCTGTCACCCAGGTCGCAGTGCAGTGGTATAATTAGGCTCACTGCAGCCTCGACCTCCTGGGCTCAAGCGATCCTCCCACTTCAGACTCATAAGTATCCAGGACTACAGTTAGGAGCTACCATGCCAGGATAATTTTTGTATTTTTTGTAGAGACAGGCTTTTGCCATGTTGCCCAGGCTGGTCTTGAACTCCTGGGCTCAAGTGAGCCGCCCGCCTCAGGCTCCCAAAGTGCTGGGATTACAGGTGTGAGCCACCGCGCCTGGCCCTAAGAATCCCTCCTTCAGAAGAGGGAAAATAAATTGTTTTTGAAATGCTGTAAGACCATATGTGAAAAGATTTGCCCCAAGGGGCTTATATTCACAAACATGAATGAAAACGTGTCTGGTCTAATAAAATACATGTAGGTTGGACTTGAAGCAGACGGAATAGTGACAAATCTGTCCTGGAAAATAAAAGGGGAGGCAAAGGCAGTGGGGGAGGTCTCAGAATGAGCCCATGGCCTCCAAAGTTAAAAGAAAGTAGCCAAGATCCAATTCTCTCAGGCCATTCTCTGCATTTTTGGGGGATGACTTACTCTGGGAACTATTACATTACGTGGTTGGTCCTAGGCTGCCTTTGTCAGTGTCCAGACCGTTTCTGATGTGGGAAATGCCCCACCAGGCTGCCCCATCCTACCCCACAGGCAAATCGTTCGGAACCTCTGGCAGGTCCTCCCCAAGACAGGCTTCGCCAGGCTTGCATCTTCACAAACCTCTGCAAAACCTGACTTGACTCATCTTCCAATCCCGAATCCCATACCACCCTCTTTAGGAAGGCTTCCTCGACAATTCTTTCCCTGCGCTCCCCTGATGCTAGGGATGTACTATGCCCTTCCCCAGCTCCCCTGGCTGGTGGGAGGAGAGAGGGGATCAGTTAAGGGGTCCCTGGCGCTGCCCTGGGTCCCTCTTCCCTCCCCAAGGCCACGGCTCCCCTCGAGGGGGCCCTCACCTTCAGTCTCTAGCTACCTTTCCCCGCTCTGGCTCATTCAAACCCAGGCGTGGAAACCCTGCCGGTACTATGAGCCTAGGAACTGCACCTCTGCAAATAGGCCCAATATTGACCTTTTTTTTTTTTTTTTTTTTTTGCGATGGAGTCTGGCTCTGTAGCCCAGGCTGGGGTGCAGTGGTGCTATCTCGGCTCATTGCAATCTCTGCCTCCAGAGTTCAAGCGATTCTCCTGCCTCAGCCACCTCAGTAGCTGGGGTTACAGGCGCACGCCACCATGCCCAGCTGATTTTTATATTTTTAGTAGAGATGGGGTTTTGCCATGTTGGCCAGGCTGGTCTCGAACACCTGACCTCAGGTGATCCACCTGCCTCGGCCTCCCAAAGTGCTGGGATTACAGGCGTGAGTCACTGCACCCTGCCAAACTTTCTTCTGACTATCCCAATGGGAGTGCCCTGCCTGCCACCTGCAGGCTCCCTGTCTGACCTGCTGACCGTCAGCGCCCTGTCCCCTTGATTGCAGCACTGGGCATGCTGGATTGCAATGGCCTGTCTCCCCATGGAGCCGTAACAGTCTCAGAATTTGCACAGGGCGAGGCACAGAGGAAGCCTCTGTGAATGTCTGTTGAATCAATGAATGAATCTATTATCTCTGAGCCATGCCTATCATCTAACCGAGTGAGTCTCTCTCCCTTCATGCACACCACACCCCTCGGCCTGGCTCACCACTGGGGAGACAAGAATGTTTCTTACTTCAGAGGGCAGGTGGGGCGCACCCCAAGAGAGCCACTGCCCTCTCAGCTACAGTCCTGAGACAGGGCTAATTTTTATGTGAAGGACAATCAGCCCCTGACATGTTTTTTAAAACTAAAACAATATTTTAAAAATTTTTTTAGGGGCAGGGTCTTGCTCTGTTGCCCAGGCTGGAGTGCACTGGTACGATCACAGCTCACTGCAGCCTCAACTCCTGGGTTCACGTGATCCTCCCACCTCAGGCTCCCAAGTAGCTGGGACTACAGGTGCACACTGCCATGCTCGGTGAAATATAGTAAGTTTTAAAAATCAGATTTACTGAGAAAAACAACCTACTTAGTGCAAGTAAGTAAGTTGCTTAATCAGGTCCAAGCAGTAATTGAGAGAAGAGAGTAGCTGATCTAGTGGTGATGTTTTAGTCTTTGTAAGTTTCATACTCATGATCAGAATCCATTCTGACCACCAGGCTACGAAGCTGGGCTCTCGAGGTCTCAGGCTACTAAATGACCCAGAGCAAAGGGCCAAGAACCCCACACAGCATCCTGAAAGCAACAGACCCAGCAGCACCCTCAAAGCCCAAGGTCACGTGAGATGGGGCAGAGGGACAGTAAGTGCCGGCACCCCATACAGAGGTGGAGCCTGGTGGGACAGCGGCGCCATTCAGAAGTACCCGTCTTCTTGCCGATGCCCACGGAGGCACTGTGTGAGCAGAGTGCGGGGACCTTTGTAACTGGAATAGGGAAACCCAAGAGACATGGCAGTAAGCACGCGTGTGTGTTTCCGCGGAAGATGGGAAGAGCCTTCCAGAACAGGAAAAAGTGGTTCAAACTCTAGCCTGGCATTGCTCCCCGGGAGTTTGGTAGAGGAGGCAATGGCTAGGAGCAATTTCTGCCATTTCTTCATCTTTTCATGATTTATGTCAATTATTATTTCTTCCTTGCTGGTGTTCTGCATGAAAGATGGGCGGGTAAAAAGTACACTTGTAGTGGACACCTCTAATTTCCTTTGGACAAGAGCTGGGTAGGAATTGGCCTTTTGTGACTCTGCCTGCCCGAATCTGTGTCTATCCGTATATCCACACCTAGCGTTGTTAGGTGTGACATGAACCCCTATGCCTGCGTGGGAATGTGCTTATTCTGGGGCAGGCCTTCCTAAAGGGCCCTGGGAGAAATGAAGAACTGTGGCCCAGCGAAAAAGACATGTGATTTACCCAGACTCAACTCCACACAAAAAATGTCCCATGTGTCACATCTTATATAAACTAACTCCCAAATTTTCATGGCAGAAGGCATAGCAGTGACCAGCCTTCACAATAAAGAAGGAAAGAAGTTTGTTGGAAGGATTACCCAGTGAGTGCTAGAACGTGCATTGAACCGACGCAAGTAACTCATGGGAAATACACTGTGTCCCTGCAGCAGCACAGAGGTCAAGAACCTTCTCGATCCTGCCCTACTCAAGCAAAATCAGGTGAGAAATGTGTACGGATAAGGGAGGCCAAGCAGAGAGACTTACTTTGCAGTAGTTTCTTCATCGTATTTGGTTTTCAGGTCAAATAATTCTGTTCGAGTTTTTTCCAGGGCTGAAAGGCAAAGAATTACTAACTATTTAAATGAAATTTTAAAAGAATGCATACACAGGTAATCTATTCCCATTTCAAAAGAGGCAAAGATTTCTGTGAGGAGCGAGGTGCGTGGAAAAATAAAGATTAAAAACACACAAAAGAGGCCAAGATGATGAAAATACAAAAAATGGAATAGGAAATCCCCCTTCATTTCTGCCTCATCTAATCCCAAGCACCTACAAAGACAGAACCAATGTTAATAGTTTCCTCCCTCCCTCCCTCCCTTCCTTTCTTCTTTCCCACTCTCCCTTCCTTCTTTCTTTCTTTCCCTTCCATTTTTAAGAGACAAGTTTTCTCACTCTGTCACCCAGGCTGGAGTATAATGGCACAATCACAGCTTACTGCAACCTTTAACTCCTGGGCTCAAGCCATCCTCTTGCCTCAGCCTCCCAAGTAGCTGGGACTACAGGTGCAAGCCACTACGCTTGGCTAATATTTTAAAACACTGTTGTAGAGACAGGGTTTTGCTATGTCGCCCAGGCTGGTCTGGAACTCCTGGCCTGAAGTCATCCTCCCACCTTGGCCTCCCAAAGGGCTGGGATTACAGGTGTGGGCCACTGTACCTGGATGATTTCATGTTTTAAGGTGTATTTTATTATTTCTGGTTGGGCGAGGTGGCTCACACTTTGGGAGGCTGACACGGGCAGATCACCTGAGGTCAGGAGTTTGAGACCAGCCTGGCCAAAATGGCGAAACTCTGTCTCTACTAAAAATACAAAAATTAGCCAAGCATGGTGGCGCATAGCCTGTAATCCCGGCTACTTGGGAGGATAAGGCAGGAGAATCACTTGAACCCTGGAGATGCAGGTTGCAGTGAGCCGAGATCATGCCACTGCACTCCAGGCCTGGGTGACAGAGCGAGACTCATTTCAAAAAAGTGTAACAAAATAAAAGAAAGTGTATTTTACGTTAAGAAAAAATTTTCCATACATAATTGCATGTATATATGTGTGTGTATATATCTTTTTTTATTTTCTACCCCCATAAATGGGACGGTATGAATATTTCTTGAGACTAGCCTTTTTCCCTGGGCAGTATGGTATGGGAGTCCTTCCACATGTGGACCCAGGCAGTGGCAATAACCTTCAGTTCTCTCATCAGGATACCTGGAAGTGAAGCTGCTGGCTGAACAGCTTGGGCACTGGAGCTTTACATAAATGCCACCCAGCTGGCCTCCCAAGAGGCTCCTTCCATGCCCATCCATTCCATAAGTGCCACTTCACCGTCACCAACACTGGATGTTTCAATAATTTTTGACAAGTCTTTGTCAGGCCAGAATTGCTATATTTTTTTTAAAGGCCAGGTGCGGTAGCCCACACCTGTAATCCCCCAGCATTTTGGGACACTGAGGTGGGAGGATCACTGGAGGCCAGAACTTCAAGACCAGCCTGGGCAACACAGTGAGACTCCATGTCCATAAAAGAAATAATGAAAAAAAAAGTAGCCATGTGTGGTGGTGTTTGCCTGCAGTCCCAGCTACTTGGGAGGCTGAGGCAGGAGGATCACTTCAGCCCAGGAGTTTGAGGCTGCAATGAGCTATGATTGTATCACTGCTCTCCAACCTGAGCGACAGAGAGAGACCATGTCTCTAAAATGAAATAAAAAATTAGGCTGGGTGCAGTGGCTCATGCCTGTAATCCTAGCACTTTCGGAGGCTGAGGCAGGTGGATCACTTGAGGTCAGGAGTTCGAGACCAGCTTGGCCAACATGGCGAAACCTCGTAAAAATACAAAAATTAACCGGGCATGGTGGCATGCGCCTGTAACGCCAGCTACTCGGGAGGCTGAGGCAGGAAAATCACTTGAACCTGGGGCAGAAGAATCACTTGAACCCGGGGAGCAGAGGTTGCAGTGAGCCGAGATTGTGCCACTTCACTCCAGCCTGGGCAACAGAGCAAGACTCCGTCTCAAAAATAAATAAATAAATAATTAAAAAATGCTGTCAGTCTGACAGGCAAAACAGTCTTTCACTAATTGAATCTGCATCTCCCTGACTGTAAAAAAAACTTTGCATTTTTTCATATGTGTAGTTTCCATTTGCATTTCTTCTGTGAACTGACTGTTCATATCCCTTGCTTATTGTTCGACTGCACTGTTTCTCTCCTTTAATGGATTGATTTACAGCCTTTACATTTTTTAATTATCCGTTTGTCAAATTTGTGGTGATTATTTTCTCCCACTCTCGTCATTTGTGTTTTAAGTTGAATTATGACTTCTGATGTCTGTCTACATTTAAATAATCTGCTCAGTTCTGGGTCATCAAAAAAAATAATAAAAATTTAAAAATACATTTAAATGAAATACATGGTGATGCTTCTCTTTCAGAAATAAAAAAGAGAGGCTGGGTGTGGTGGCTCACTTGAGCTCAGGAGATACAGACCGGACTGGCCAATGTGGTGAAACCTCATCTCTACTAAAAACACAAAAATTAGGCGGGTATTATGGCGGGCATCTGTAATCCGACCTACTGGGGAGGCTGAGGTGGGAGGATTGCTTGAGCCCACAGAGGTAAAGGTTTCAGTGACCTGAGATCACACCACTGCACCCCAGCCTGGGTGACAGAGCAAGACCCTGTCTCAAAAAAAAAACAAAAACAAAACAAAACAAAAAAAGAAATAGAGAGAGGGCTGGGCGCGGTGGCTCACGCCTGTAATCCCAGCACTTTGGGAGCCTGAGGTGGGCGGATCATGAGGTCAAGAGATCGAGACCATCCTGGCTAACATGATGAAACCTCGTCTCTACTAAAAATACAAAAAATCAGCCAGGCATGGTGGTGGGCGCCTGTAGCCCCAGCTACTCGGGAGGCTGAGGCAGGAGAATGGCATTAACCCAGGAGGCGGAGCTTGCAGTGAGTCAAGATCGTGCCACTGCACTCCAGCCTGGGTGACAGAGCGAGACTCCGTCTCAAAAAAAAAAAAAAAAAGAGAGAGAGAAAGAAGTTTAAAGATACTGTAAAAACTTGAGCATAACCTTTTTTGGTGGCTTTTAAATTTTAAAGGTCTGAAATTACTGTTCTCCTTAACTTCACTTAGGGTAGAAGTGAGTTTTTTTTTTTTTTTCTATTATTGTTCCAAATGAAATGTCAGTCCTTGACAGTTTGGTGATTTAGAAGTGTTTGTTGGAAAAAGAGCAGGAAGCAAGGATGGCGTGTGGAAGGGATGAAAATGGAATCGAGATCCTCCCACCTCTACATTAACAACTCAAAGTCAGTGAGGAATGAGGCGCAGCAGCTGGCGGGCGTGCTGCGGAATTCTTCAGCGTGGGCTCCCGGCAGCTCCCACGGCCCCGAAGAGCAACAGGTATCCGCGGGGACCGGGGCGGTCAGGGGCTGACCCAACTCTCCCCCTGGGTCCTCCCCACATCCATGGTACTAGGAAGGAGAGTATCAAACCTGTTTGTAGGCTCTGAACCTTATGCTCAGCTTCCTCCAGCTTTGAGGTGGTGGACATCTGTGTCTCCTGCAGCTTTCTGCAAAGGAAGAGGACGAAGCCAAATTGGTCATCTCCTTTACCAACTGAAATGCACGTGTGCCTTTCGGCTGAGCTCAGCTCCCTCCCTGCGCTCAGCTGGCGGCAGGCGCACCACGGGGTATCGCCCGCAACGACACGTGTGCCGTGGGCCCCGCTCCCGCAGCTTCCACACCCCAACTTTGTAACTGCGTGTCACATCACGGCAAGTGTGCAACCCGTGGGGCTTGATGGGTGGTAACTGGCGTAGAAGGTTATCCTAAATGTAATTTGTTCTTGAAATGCCAGATTTTAAAAAGAAAAAAAAAAATCATCATCATGCACTCATTGTTTTCTGAAGTTAGCGCAAGAAGAATGATCCATTTACATTCTGCTGACACAATGAAGGAGTTTGTTGGAATAAAGGATGCACTAAATAGATGTGGCAGCTGTTCCGTCTCTGTTATAATGGAATGCAAACGCAACTGCAATACCTAATGGGGACATTGTGAATGCTCGCAACTGCATTCCACAGATTCAGATTTCCCAGGATCTCTAAGTGAATTCCCTGGTCAATAAATAGCATTCCTTCCTCTTAATCTGGGGGAAAAAAAAAAACCCCTCCAAAAATAAGTTGATTATTTTTATATCATATGAATTTAACATATGCTCTCATAATAATAAACTGGGATACAGAAAAGTAGAAATGACACAGTTTACAAAGTCAACCCAATTCTCATCACCTCTAGAAAAGCACTGTTAATATTTTCATGTATTTCAATTATGGACACTCAGGGATGTAATCAAATATGACAAGAGCATGGGAAGTGAAAGAGTCTTACTATTCCTTGGCTCATTTCCGCTCCTCAGATGGAGTTCATTTGTATTTTTCTAAAATGTTTCTGCATGTACAGAAATACGACATCATATGTAACAGTCTAAAGTGTAATATAAACAAATATGTAACATACTATAGCAAAATATGAATATGTAACATATGATATGTAACAGCCTATAGTGTAATATAAGCAAACACATAACACACTATAGCATAATAGAAATTAATGCATAACAAATGATAGTGTACTATGAACTAATATGTAATAAGCTATAGCATAATATGAACTAATACGTAACACACTATAGTGTAACATAAACTACTATGTAACACGTTATAGGGTAATATGAACTAATACATAACACACTACAGCGTAATATGAACGAATGCGTAACACACTAGAGCGTAACATGAACTAACACGTAACAAGCTATAGTGTAATACAAACTAATATGTAACATGCTATAGCATAATATGAATTAATATGTAACATTATAGTGGAATGTGAACTAATGTAATATACTACGGCTTAATATGAACTAATATGTAACATGCTATAACATAATGTGAATATGTAACACACTATAGCACAATATAAATTAATATGTCACATAGTATAGCAAAATATGAATGAAATATACTATAGCATAGTACGAACTAATATGCAGGATACTATAGTGTAATAATGAAGTAATGTAATATACTATAGTGTAATATGAATATGAAATAGGCTACTGAAATAGAAGTGTTTAATATAGTATAGTATAATATAATCTCCCTGCCCTGTTCTTTTAATACAAAGGTGATCACAACGTGCACCACATTCTGGGGTCCCTTATTCACTTTTCTCTGTATTTTGGAAATGTTCTATTCCAGCAAACATAGTTCTCCCTCATTCTTATTAAATAATTAACTTAAGCCTCTGTGGACACTCAGATTGTTTCTAGGTTTCTTTCTACTGAACAGTCCCTCAACGATCATTGTGGAGATACTGCTGTATAATTTTGAGAGTGAATCTGTTGGAGATGAAATGCTAACAGAGGAATTACAATGGCCAAAGAGTATCTGCAATTTTTTCTTTTTTCTTTTTTTTTTTTTGGAGACAGGGTCTTGTTCTGTCACCCAGGCTGGAGAGCAATGGCATGATCTCGGCTGACTGCAACATCTGCTCCAGGGTTCGAGCAATTCTCATACCTTAGCCTCCCAAGAAGCTGGAATTACAGGTGTGCACCACCAAGTCTGGCTGTTTTTTGTATTTTTAGTAGAGATGGGGTTTCACCATGTTGGCCAGGCTGGTCTCGAACTCCTGGCCTCAAGTGATCCGCCTGCCTTAGCCTCCCAAAGTGCTGAAATTGCAGGCATGAGCCACCTCGCCTGGCCACTTTTCTTGTTTTGATAGATAGTGAAAAACTTCCCAACAAAAAACTTTCACCAATTTAAACTCCCACCAACAATATGTAAGTGTGTTTTCGTATACTCTGCCAACACAAGATAAAATCAAATTTAAATTTTTACTGCTGAGTAAAGCTATGTTATTTCTCTTTGTATGACATGCCTACTTATCTCCTTTGCCTATTTTTGTAGAGCGGATTTTGTTCTTATTAATTTAGAAGTCCTCTTTGTATATAAAGAAAATTAGCCTTTTGTCTTACATGGTACAAATATTTCTTCAGTTTGTTGATGTTTTTAAAATGTTATTATTTGTTTTTGAGAATCTGTTTTAAGTTTTATATAGTCATATTAATAAAAACAAATATGCACCCCAGTTTTCTTCCAGTATGTTTGTGACAAAAAATTATAATATTTAAATCCTAGATCCATCAACAATTTTTTGTTATAAAGAATGACGCCTGTAATCCCAGCAGTTTGGGAAGCTAAGGTGGGCAGGTCACTTGTGGTCAGGAGTTCAAGACCAGCATGGCCAACATGGTGAAATCCTGTTCTACTAAAAATATAAAAATTAGCTGGGTGTGATGTTGGGCACCTGTAACCCCAGCTATTTGGGAGGCTGAAGCAGGAGAATTGCTTGAACCCAGGAGGTGGAGGTTGCAGTGAGCTGAGATCGTGTCACTGCACTGCAGCCTAGGTGACAGAGAGACTTTGTCTCAAAACACACACACACACACACACACACACACACACACAAAATGAATGAAGTAAATTCTAGCTTCAGCCCTTCCCTCTAAGAATCAGTTATTGTATATTTTAATATAGCTAATCCCTTTACCTAATTTGAAAAGTCAAGAGCTGGGCACAGTGACTTATGTCTGTAATCCTAGCACATCAGGAGGTGAGGCGGGCAGATAACCTGAAGTCAGGAGTTTGAAACCAGCCTGAGCAACATGGAGAAAACCTATCTCTACTGAAAAATTAGCCAGGCTTGGTGGCACACACCTGTAATCCCAGCTACTCAGGAGGCTGAAGCAGGAGAATCACTTCAACCTGGAGCGGAGGGTTGCAGTGAGCTGAGATTGTGAGACTGCATTCCAGCCTGGGTGACAGAGCAAGACTCTGTCTCAAAAAACAAGAAAAGTCAACTTAATAATATTTAATTCCCATATGTGTTTATTTCCACATTGTGGTAATGCATGAGTTTGCTGTAGGAAGATGTACAATCATACTGCACTGTAAATAATTTTGTACGGTGCATGTTTTGACTTCATATTATATTAGGTACGTTTCTCATGTTACTATGAATTCTCCATAACTATTATTAATATTTTAACGGTGACATAACATCCCAGTTAGGGATGGTCCGTTCTTTTTACTAACCCATTTCTCCATGGCAGGGCACTGAGATTGCTCGCGTTTTCCCCCTTGATCACTCACTGGTGAGGAGTGCTTTCCTAAAAGGCATTTACTTAGGACCAAATCCGTATCAACGGGGTCAAGGGTCTGCCCATCTGTCCGAGCCTTGACTCTGTGATGCGCACTCCTTTCCTGGAGTCTGTGCCCTGCCGCGCTCCCCCAGGGACGATGGATGCGGCCTCCACCTGCAGAGTTGGGCGTGGCCCCAAGGGACTGGCCTTGGTCCGGCAACCAGGGCTCCAGGTGGCCACAATGGAGCAGACGGGGAGGCAAGGGCTGCAGAGATGGGCAGGTGCCAGTCTGGAGTTGCAAAGTCCCACCTCTGGCCCTGATTAGCCGCAAAAGCTGTAGGAGGTACCTCACCCACGACCTGCTTTCTCCCTCTATGAAAAGAGATGGTCTACATTGCAGATCCATTCTGGGCAATTAGTGAGAGAATGTACTGAAAGCCTACGGCCAAGTTCTGATGCAGGGAGGGCCCCGGGTGGGCGGGAGCTGGCAGTTCTCTTTTCTTTTATTTATTTTTTATTTGGAGACAGAGTTTTGCTCTTGTTGCCCAGGCTAGAATGCAATGGTGTGATCTCGGCTTACTGCAAACCTTTGCTTCCTGGGTTCAAGCAATTCTCCTGCCTCAGCCTCCCGAGTAGCTGGGATTACAGGCATGTGCCACCACGCCTGGCTTATTTTGTATTTTTTCAGTAGAGATGGGGTTTCACCATCTTGGTCAGGCTGGTCTTGAACTCCTGACCTCAAGTGATCCACCCACCTCACCCTCCCAAAGTGCTGGGATTACAGGTGTGAGCCACTGCGCCCAGCCTCTTTTCTTTTCTTTTCTTTTTTGAGACAAGGTCTTGCTCTGTTACCCATGTTGGATTGCAGTGGCCTGATCATAGCTCACTGCAGCCTGGAACTCCTGACCTCAAGTAATCCTCCTGCCTCAGCCTCCCAAGTAGCTGAGACTATAGGCACATGCTGACATGCATGGCGCATTCATACATTCATTCATGCCATAGAGATGGCATATCTCTATATTGCCCAGGCTGGTCTCGAACTCCTGAGTTCAAGGGATCCTCCTGCCTCAGCCTCTCAAAGTGCTGGGATTACAGATGTGAGCCACTGTGCCCAGCCAGTTTTCTTTTTGAATGAAGTCAGCTTAATGGCATTCCTCAGAGGCCTTCATGATGCTGCAGGGCAGGCGAGCCCCAAAGGAGGGCTTAGCTGGCAAGGGCTCTGGGCTTCAGCCAGGAGGGAATTCAAAGGCGAGCTGGTGGTAGGGCTGAAGAAGGCAGCTTTATGGAGGTGGCAGCGTTACAGCTCTGTGACTGGTCTCGTGAGGTAGGACTGCCCCATAGGCCGTGTGCTGCCAGTAGCAGCTGAGGACAGTTTTGTACTCATATTTTGTACTCATAATCTGTACTCAGATTAAGAGGCAGTTTATACAGAAATTTCTAGGGAATGGGTAGTACCTTTTGGGCTGTGAGATCATTGCTGTGGAAAGGGGTGGTAACTCCTGGGTGTTGCCAAGGCAATGGTAAACTGATGTGGCACACTGGTGGGCATGTTTTATAGAAAGCTGCTTCTCTCCAGGCCCTGTTTTAGCTAGTCTTCAATTTGGTCCAGTGTCTAAGCCCCACCTCCTAACCCAATGATATTGTTACAGAGCCCACCTTAGAAAAATTCACCAAGAGCCGGGTGCGGTGGCTCACGCCTGTAATCCCAGCACTTTGGGAGGCCGAGGCGGGCAGATCACAAGGTCAAGAGATCGAGACCATCCTGGCCGACATAGTGAAACCCCGTCTCTACTAAAAATGCAAAAATTAGCTGGGCGTGGTGGCGTGCACACCTGTAGTCCCAGCTTCTCAGGAGGCTGAGGCAGGAGAATCACTTGAACCTGGGAGGCGGAGGTTGCAGTGAGCCAAGATTGCGACACTGCACTCAAGCCTGGGTGACAGAGTGAGACTCCATCTCAAAAAAAAAAAAAAAAAAAAAAAAAAGAAAAAAGAAAAGTTCACCAAGTATTCAGCATAGGAAGTCAACTGAAAATAAAACAACAAAATCCCACACCAGCCACAGTCCCACTTGGCCCCTTACCTGTAGTCATAAATTTAGTGCTTCCTGTTGATGGATACATACATTTCTTCATACTAGAGTTAAAATTCAGTATCTTTTTTTTCCCTTTTTTGCTTTTCTTTTACTTGATGGGAGCGGGTATAAAACTTAATACCTTAATTTAACCCATGAGTTTAAAAAAATCCAATCTAGGCCAGCCGTGGTGGCTCACACCTGTAATCTCAGCACTTTGAAAGGCTGAGGTGGGTGGATCACCTGAGGTCAGGAGTTCAAGACCAGCCTGGCCAACATGGTGAAACCCCAACTCTACTAAAAATACAAAAGTCAGCCAGGCGTGGTGGCGCATGCCTGTAATCCCAGCTTCTTGGGAGGCTGAGGCAGGAGAATCACTTGAACCCAGGAGGCGGAGGTTGCAGTGAGCCGAGATTGCGCCATTGCACTCCAGCCTGGGCAATGAGAGTGAAACTCTGTCTTAAAAAAAAAAAAAAAAAAAAAAAAAGATCTATATGGTTGGGATCCGTAAGCTCAATAGTCCTTATTGTTGTTACAAGGAATCTAACTTTCATTAACTCATCACACTAGGGGAAAACCAACTCATTATTTGTGGGAAACGTTTTTGGTAATGTAAGTCATTAGAAATCTAAAACTCACATCAGTTACATAGGGCATTAACATATTTTACTGATACTAACTCCCTGATATGTGAGGTAATGAAAGAGGCAATACCAAAAAACCCACTGAGATTGTGTGTGTGCGCGTGTGTGTAATATTAAATACATCAGAGAGTCTGTGTGTGTGTGTGTGTGTGTGTGTGTGTGTGTGTGTGTAATATTAAATATCAATTTGCTTGAGAAGGCAGAAAGAGTTTAGCACTAGCCCAGGGCTTGTCCCCAGAGGACACACACTGGGAAATGGGCTTTCCTCTCTGGTCTCAGCCCAGGTCCAGCTGCCAGGTGCCGCCTTGCTAACGACTCATGCCTTGAGCTTCACCTCTGCACCTGCACGGCTTGGATAGTCTTGGGCCCACTGGCTGCCTGACACCATCCACCGATTGGGAAAGACAGATGCATTTCGCTCAAGGAAACCTCACAAATGTAGAATATCTTTTTTTGGAGATGGAGTCTCACTCTGTTGCCCAGGCTGGAGTGCAGTGGCGCGATCTCGGCTCACTGCAACCTCTGCCTCCCGGGTTCAAGTGAGTCTCCTGCCTCAGCCTAAGTAGCTGGGATTACAGACGTGCGCCACCATGCCTGGCTAATTTTTTTTTGTATTTTTTAGTAGAGACGGGGTTTCACCATGTTGGTCATGCTGGTCTCGAACTCCTGACCTCATGATCCACCCACCTCGGCCTCCCAAAGTGCTGAGATTACAGGCGTGAGCCACCACACCCAGCCAGAATATCATTTTTGAAACATTTTACCCCTTATAGATTTGGGGTTACAACCTGGGCTTATTTTGCAGATCCATTTATCAACATGTCTGATGATGTGAAGTTCAGGGGCAAATGCTATGTCAGTCTGTGTGTGCCTGGAAGTCATGCTCACCTCTCCTTTTCTGCAAAGTCATTCTGTAACTTCTGTTCCTTCTCAAGAGCTATGGTTTCGGCTTGGTTCTTCAGTGTCTGTTCATATTCTCGGATTTTCTCTTTAAGTGCTTTTATCGTAACCTCTGCAGAAAAGAAAAAAAAAAACCTACAGTAAGAGAAGCATACAATTCCATATGGCTGTAGGTACAAGGCTCTCATAACCTGGTAGGATCGGTGTGTTTTAAACCTTAGCTCTTCAACTCTGACACAAAATCAATGGTTATGAGTCCCTTCAGAGACCTTTTACTCCCTAAATGTTAAATTGAACTTTAAACGTTTAGGCTGAGGAGGATCAATGGATTTTGCTGAAAAGAAGAGCTTTGGTTTCTGTAGTACCAGTTAAAGAAAAAAAAGGGTGGGGGGAGATGGAAATCAATGGTAAAATATCATATCATCTTATTGATGAGTCTTAAATTAGTCCTGTAACTGAGGGATGATTAATAAAGTTTTAGGTGGGTTTAAGTACTTTCTCAGAAAAAAAATAGTTCATAATAGTGTGTGCATTTTGGAAGAAGCAATCGAAGTGGAGTCAAGAAAGTCTACGGTACCCCATTCTCTATGATGTGATGTTTCACATTGCATGCCTGTATCAAAACGTCTCATGTAGCCTATAAATATAGACACCTACTATGTACCCACACAAATTACAAATAAATTAAAAAAAAAAAAAGATGAAAGTCTACAGGCCAAGCACAGTGGCTCACATCTGTAATCCCAGAACTTTAGGAGGCCAACGTGAGAGGATCCCTTGAGCCCAGCAGTTTGACACCAACCCCAGAAACACAGCGAGCCCCGCCTCTACAAAAAGGGCAAGAATTAGCTGGACGTGGTAGCACACACCTGCAGTCCCAGCTTAGGGACTTGGGAGGCTGAGGTGGAAGGATGTCTTGAACCCAGGAGTTTGAAGCTGCAGTGAGCTATGATTGCGCCACTGTACTCCAACCTGGGTGACAGAGTGTGAGTGAGTGAGTGAGTGAGTGAGTGAGAGAGAGAGAGAGAGAAACGGAGAGCAAAAGAAAGAGAGGGAGACAGAAAAGGAAGGAAGGAAGCAAGCAAGCAGGCCTGGCCCTGCAGCTCTGCTGGTTCACAAGTGACAAGAAACATGTGGTGCTAGGTGGATAAAGCATGGAGGGAGTGGGCTGGAAGGGACCCACCCTGGAGTGCCCACCACTCTGGTGGTCATGGGCTGTGTGCAGAGCAGAGGGTGCCGTAGCCTGGGGGAAGATGCTCCGGTGACTGGCATGTGGCCTGGAGGAGTCCTAGAGTGAGGTGTGAGCACCAAGGATGTGGGGCAGCGAGGGGCCCCTTGGGAGGCAGGGCTGTCTTGGGAAAGCGCAGGTCCAGACGGCTCTGGTACCACCAACTGCAGGTTCACAGACATCACCTCAACTGCCCAAATGGGGAATATCAAAGCGGATTTGATGAATGGAACAGACCTGTGGGTGGCTCTGGGGCAGGACAACTACACCTGCGCCCTCCTCCAGATACGCCTATGCCACTCCGCATGCTGGATGCTTTGTGTGTGGGTGGCTCTGGGGCAGGACAACTCCACGTGCGCCCTCCTCCAGATACGCCTATGCCACTCCGCATGCTGGATGCTTTGTGGAAAAGCACTGTGGCCCCAGCCCCCAAGAGAGGGGAGCTCTTAGGAATTGTCGCCCGCTGCTACAGATCTACCTCTTAGCAGGCGAGGCTCATTTTCTTTGTGTTCCCAGTGCTGGCAAACAGACGTGTGCTCAGGAAAGCACTGTGGCATGAATGACTGAAGGAGCCGAGGCCGGGCAGAGCTGGGGGAAGCCCAGACAGGGCTTGTGGCAATGGAGCTCCCTCTGGTGCAGCAAGGGCACCTGCCAGGTGTGTAACTCACATCCATTCCTGCTCCCTGAGCTGCACGGACATGCGCTGGCCAGAGCAGGAGCAAAACACCTGGGCGATTAACACCCACGCGGCTTAGTGCATACAAGCTAAAGGCTTTTTTTTTTTTTTTTTTTTTTTGAGGCGGAGTCTCGCTCAGTGGCCCAGACTGACATGCAGTGGTGCAGTCTTGGCTCACTGTAACCTCTGCTTCCTGGGTTCAAGCAATTCTCCTGCCTCAGCCTCCCGAGTAGCTGAGATTACAGGCGCGCACCACACCTGGCTAATTTTTGTGTGAAAGGCTCTTTTGTTAAGAGGTTGGCCTTTTTCATGAGGTGTGTCCCAGAGTGCTTTCCGTAGAGAGGTGGAATTCCACCAACGATCCCATCAGGGCACAGCAGAGGGGACTGGGCAACTTTCCGCCTTTTGGTTTGGCTGTTCAGGTCCTGGAAGAAATGCTCTGTGCACACAGTGGTTGGTGATACGTCTCTCTCAAGCCATACGGACGAGGCCAAAGTGAGGCAAGAGCTGGACACTTCCAGAATGGACTCCAGACAGGTCAGCTCTGAAAAAGCCTGAACTGCTCTGCTACGTCAATGGTCTACACTC
The DNA here is from genome assembly GCF_000001405.40 of Homo sapiens. Classification (NCBI taxonomy): domain Eukaryota; kingdom Metazoa; phylum Chordata; class Mammalia; order Primates; family Hominidae; genus Homo; species Homo sapiens. The sequence continues at coordinate 102,101,955 of NC_000007.14, read as the reverse complement.
TCGTGTAAACATACAGCATTTTTGTCTTTTTTTTTTTTTTTATTGAGACAGATACTCGCTCTGTCACCCAGGCTGGAGTGCAGTGGCGCAATCTCGGCCCACTGCAACCTCTGCCTCCCAGGTTCACACAATTCTCGTGCCTCAGTCTCCCGAAGAGCTGGGATTACAGGCGTGTGCCATCACACCTGGCTAATTCTTGTATTTTTTAAGTAGAGACGGGGTTTCACCATGTTGGCGAGGCTGGTCTCGAACTCCTGACCTCAAATGATCTGCTCACCTCGGCCTCCTAAAGTGCTGGGATTACAGGCATGAGCCACCATGCCTGGCCTCATTTTTGCCTTTAAGGACCGGCTGGAAGTGGCTGTACAGCACTTGGACGCTAACGCTTGCTCCAGTGGGGCTCCTCAGTGACACATCACAGTGTGTGACCTCGACAGTGTGCTGTGCCTGATGAGGTCTCTTTGCCACCCCCTGGACCCGGGTGAGTGCTCACGGACCAGCCCAACCTCAGCCAGAGGCCACTTTATCCTAGCGCCTCTGGCCTTCTGGCCCAGGCTGTATCCCGGGCAGATGCTGGGTGTCTCAGCAGGCCTCCCAGGCATGTGTAGGGGAGGACGGGGCCAGCATAACAGAGAGGAATCTAAAGGGCTTGGCATTACCTGGGGCCTCCATTTACTCATCATTGCGGGATGGGTGGGGCTGTGGCCCATGAGGCAGAAGTTCCCTCTTTGCTCTAACTTTTATTATGTACCTGATATAGTTTAGATGTTTGTCTCCTCCAAATCTCAGGTTGAAATCTGATCTCCAGTGTTGGAAGTGGGGCCAAGTGGGAGGTGTCTGGGTCATGGGGGCGAATCCCTCATGAATGGCTTGGTGGCCTCTCTCTGGTGATGAGTCACTGAGATTTGGTTAAGACGTCTGGGATGCCCCCTCCTCTCTTGTCCTGTGGCATGCCTGATCCTCTTTCACCTTCTGCCATGAGTAAAAGCTTCCTGAGGACCCTCAGAAGCTGGGCAGAGGCTGGCATCGTGCTCATACAGCCTGCAGAACCATGAGGCAAATAAACCTCTTTTCTTCATCAATTACCCAGACTAAGGTATTTCTTTACAGCAACACACAATGGACTCACACCATCTTTTTTTTTTTCTTTTTTTAAGAGATAGGTCTTGTTATGTTGTCCAGGCTGGTCTCGAACTCCTGGCCTCAAGAGATCCTCCCGACTTGGTCTCCCAAAGTGCTAGGATTATAGGCATGAGCCATTGTGCTGGCCCCTGCTCTAACTTTTTAATCATTTACACTACTGGTGTGATAATTACAAGAAGTGATGTGCACCGCCCACCTTCCCAAATTATAATCACTTTTATTCTTGGAAGTGGGGGAGAGGAAATGACATTTTTCTGGAGCTTGGGAAAACTTGTTATCCAAATAAAGGAGGGTAAATTTCTTTCAAAAACCACACTGCTGAATAAGTAGCAGGTACTATTGAGTGCCAAATGCTGTGTGTATATGCATATTTAAGCTCACACCAACCCTACCTGGTAAGTATCAGAATTGCCTCCCAAGAGAAAGAGGCTTTTAGCAAAGTGAGATAATTTGCCCAAGGTCACATAGCTAGGTGGTAGCAATAAAAGGACTCAAACCAGGTCTGTCTGTCTGCCTCCAGAGCCATTCTTTTTTAGAGATGGAGTCTCGCTCTGTTGCCCAGACTGGAGTACAGTGGTGTGATCTTAGCTCACTGCAACCTCCACCTCCCAGGTTCAAGTCATTCTTCCACCTCAGTCTTCTGAGTAGCTGGGATTACAGGCGTGCCCAACCATGCCTGTAATTTTTGTATTTTTAGTACAGATGGGGTTTCGTCATGTTGGCCAGGCTGGTCTCGAACTCATGACCTCAAGTGATCTGCCCACCTTGGCCTCCTTAAGTGCTGGGATTATAGGCGTGAGTCGCTGCACCTGGCCTGGAGCTGTTCTTAAATCTTGGGCTCTATAACTCATTGTGAAAAGCCACTCCTGAGTGTGGATGAGATCTTTGGGGAGAGAACATCCACACCCAGCTTGGCTCCTGGTCAGCCCCTGTGCAAAGCCCTGGCCACTGGGAAGCTGGTAATTTAGGCACCAGTGATAGAAGGAGAAGGGAAGGACAATCCTGCACAGCCCACCAGGCCCCACCTGCACCACCCTCCAACAAAACAAAAGCAAACTCAAAAAAATAAAATAAGCCAGAAAGAGGCTGGGCACGGTGGTACACATGCCTGTAGTCCCAGCTACTCAGGAGGCTGAGGCGGGAGGACTACTTGAGTCCAGGAGGTCAAGGTTGTTGCAGTGAGCTATGATCATGCAACTGCACTCCAGCCTGGGTGACAGGGCGAGACCCTGAATCTAAAATAAATAAATAAATAAAAAACACTCACCAAACAAACCAGAGAGTGGATCTATCAAAATTAGATACCAGAGGACAATGAAGGGGAAAAAAAAAAAAAACCAGGATACTCCCCTTTAGGGTAGCGTATCTATGAAAACTCAATGTGCAGATTTGCAGGTTACCTTTTACTGCAATACTGGCGTGATTCTGGCAAGAAATGCTTCCTACAAGGGAAGGTAATACCTTCCCTCACAGCAGTTCCAGCCCTAGTAAGCCCAATGCCTCGCTCTCTAGCAGGACAGAGTTGTCCCTTCTAGTCCTAAAGGCTCACCACTCTCTGCAAAGCCAGAAAGAAGCGGGGTCTGGCTTCCCCAGCTGCCTGTCACCTCGTGCCCCCAAATTTCAGCAAGGAAGCTATGCTGGCCTGAGGGCTTGAGTACCCCCATGCCCACACTACAGGGAGGTGTGCTCGGAGGTCTTAGGCACCGCCGCCCTCACAGCCCATGCCTCTACCTCTGGCTCTTCACACATCATCACAGATGCTTTCTGGATCATTCCCATGGACAATTCTTCTTCCCTGGTCTATCTGCAGTGTTTTTAAAGCCAAAGGACACTTTTAGAAAGTCTTTGCCAATTGGCTGGGTGCGGTGGCTCACGCCTGTAATCCCAGCACTTTGGGAGGCTGAGGGGGGTGGATCATGAGGTCAGGAGATCGAGACCATCCTGGCTAACACGGTGAAATCCCGTCTCTACTTAAAAAAAAAAAAAAAAAAAAAAAAAAAAAAAATTAGTTGGGCGTGGTGGCGGGCTCCTGTAGTCCCAGCTATTCGGGAGGCTGAGGCAGGAGAATGGCGTGAACCCGGGAGGCAGAGCTTGCAGTGAGCCGAGATCGTGCACTGCACTCCAGCCTGGGCGACAGAGCGAGACTCCATCTCAAAAAAAAAAAAAAGAAGTCTTTGCCAATTAACTTTTTCTGTTGTTGTTAAAGACTGGATCTTGCTCTGTCACTCAGACTGAGTGCAGTGTCACAATCATGGCTCACTGCAGGCTTGACCTCCTGGGTTCAAGCGATCCTCCCGCCTCAGCCTCTTGAGTGGCTGGGACCACGGGTGTGCACCACCATGCCCAGCTAATTTCTGATGTTCTGTAGAGACAGAGTATTGCTACGTTTCCGAGGCTGGTCTCGAACTTCTGGCCTCAAGCAGTCCTCCCACCTTGGCCTCTCAAAGCGCTGGGATTACAGGTGTGAACCACCGCACGTGGCCCCAATTAACTCTTTATTGAAGTCTCTACAAATGGTCAATGGAAGGCCACTAGGAATGGGCAGCCTCCCCTTTCAATTTAATTCCGTACTCACATTCCCAAACCAAAACAAACTGGCCGAATTATTCTTTGGAGCTGGCTGAAAAGCCTGCTGCTGCTGCTGTCAGACGGGAGCTGTGATTTTCCTTCAAGCCAAGGAAGCCAACAGGCTCCTGGATCCTGAGTGCCTCTGGATTTTAGGTAAAGGAGAGATTCCTTTGTTCTTCCCTGACGGGAAAAGCCAGGCAACCTTTGCCCTCTCTGTCTTGTTGACGGCTGGGCAAACACACCAAGAGGTTGTTTTCTTTCATTAAATTCCTAATGAATAGGCGATACTGACAAGGCAACAGCGGGGCTTAAGCATGCAGCCTTTAAGATGTGTCTGAAGCCTTAATGTATCCACAGCAATTATTAAATGACTTACTGTGTGTGACCCTTTGATCATGAGCTGGCTCTCTGACAGGTGTCGCCTGGAGGCAATGCATGGGCCTTTCAAGAGGCAGACCCAATCACGTAATGATACGGGAAGAATTTTCAAAGAATCCTGATCGGTCTCATCAGAGGGCAATAAAATCTTACGTCGTTGTTGTGCAGAGGAAAAGTTTTACTTCGAAATAGCTCAGCATGATTATCATCTCTCTTTAACGACTCAGATTCCTGCCCCACCCTGACTTTATGACGTGTATATTACAAGGAGAGCTGGTCTCAAAAGTATGGGAAAAGCCAATTAAAATAAAAAGAAGAGAAAAAAAAGAAGAAAAGAAAAAGCAAAGAACGCATTTTCCACCAACCTTGATTTTTCACTTCAGCAAATTCCTTGTTGTATTCTTCCAGAGTTTCCCTAAGTTTCTGGTTCTCTGTTTCAATATCGTGCAGGCGCTGCACTTTGAGCTGGAGTTGCTGTCCGAGATCCAAAGCTGGTACGGGATCTGCACAACAGGAAAACAGCCATCACCCCACTCGGCCAGCAAACAGGCCCCCTCCACGGCGGTACACAGGCTCAGAGTGGGGCTCCTGGGACATCAGCTCCGGGGGCTCCCCAGAGGCCACAGTCATGCCCCTGCAGCCAGCCCCCTTGCTGGGTGGGAGAATTCTCCAGTGCTTTACAAAGGATGGACCCAGCCCGGGGTCCTCGAGGTGTGAAAATGGGGTGGCAATAGCCATGAGATTCACTGGTATTTGCCGATTACTCCTGCCTGGTGTGACACTTTCATGATTTTCATTCTTTGATCAGATAAGTAGAGAAATACACCAGGTAGCAGCCCCAGGAGGTCAATCACATCCCCGGAGCTGCACGTGGAGGACGGACAAGTCCGTGGACAGGTGCCGGGATGTTTAAGGGTCCAGTGATTATGAGGCTGGAAGTGACACCTGATGCCTGAGAACGCCACACAGTTCACGGGACACTTTATGGAGATTGTGTCTTTTGAGCCTTACAACAATCTCGAGAAAGAGGCCTCAGAAACTAAAGCCCAGGGAAGCAGAATGACTCACCTGAGGTCACCCAGCTAGTTGGTTGGCATGGAGAATGCACACCTAAGTCTGTTAACTCCAAGTGATCATGCTTTTTTGTTTGTTTGTTTGTTTAAGACAGGGTCTCACTCTGTCGCCCAGGCTGGAGTGCAGTGGCATGATCATGGCTCACTGCAGCCTCCACCTCCTGGGCTCAAGCAATCCTCCCACCTCAGCCTCCCAAGTAGCTGGGACTACAGGCATGCACAAGCACGCTGGGCTAATTTTTGTATTTTTTGGTAAAGATAGGGTCTTCCTATGTTGCCTAGGCCAGTCTCAAACTGGACTCAAGGGATCTGACCGCCTCAGCCTCCCAAAGGATTACAGGCGTGAGCCACCCCACCCAGCCCTGAGTGACCATTCTTTACAACAAGGTAAAGAATGAAGCAGAGGTGAAGCAGAGGAAAGAAACACTTAGGCTTTATAAAGCCACCCCATTTCATGACATGACCACTTTCCATTACGATCCTCCTTCACTAATGAAGGGTGTTCAGAAGAGTCAGGGGTTAGCGGCCGCAGGTCCCAAGGCTGGAGACCCCTGCAGAGGCACAGCTGGTGACCCGGCATGGCCCTGTCGTAGACCAGCTGGCCAGGAGGCCACCACACTCCTGATGATAACTAAGTGCAGAGCAGCGCGCGCTGCACGGCAGCCAGGCCAGCGCTGGGGTCTTGCAGCCAATTCAAGGTCATATCTGCCATCAGATTCACTTCCAGAAAACTGGATTTTAATCCAAAGTCAGAAGTCACAGACCTGGAATTTACAGTACAAACTCACGGCTCTCGCCTTTACTGTGAATTCAACACAGGATAGAGAGACCTTAAATGTTCTTCCGCATCAATGTGATCTTTAGTTTTCTTTCTGCTGCCTAAGAGGCAATTATATTCCGCCTGCTGGGTACCTGGGGCATACTTCCTTTGGAATTCTCAGGCTCCGTCAGAGTGGAAGAATACCCAAGTCCACAGGGCTTAGAAAGATTATTGAATATATTTCTGGTATGGGCGCCAGTGTCACTTGTGAGATGGCTGCAGAGATTTAGTCTCCAGTCGAAGAATGCCAAACACCATGCCCAGCGGATCAACAAGAGTATATATTCAAGAGCTCACTTAATTTTCAAATGCCAGAGTCATTAATTTTTCAGACCACCCTAGGTTCCTGGAATCGAGGGCCAGGTCTACCATGCCTCGGTTAACGTATCCAGCAGGAGCCAGGGACTCTTTAGGATGCCAGCGTCTTTGCAGAGTTTACAAAAGGCAGGCGCTGGGATATGTTGGGCTCAACGTCAGCAGATCCCGGGTGCTGGGGTTTCACAGCAACACAGTCCATCATGCAGAATCCCTGGCTGCTGGGCACTTACTCTGCACGTATACACAGCCTATAATTGCATCTCTTTCTGGTGCATGGCTTTTCATTATTATTTTAATCAGCATCAAAATATTTATGTTAAATTTGACTCCAAAAGCTATTTTGGAGGCCGGCTGCAGTGGCTCATGCCTGTAATCCCAGCACTTTGGGAGGCCGAGGGTGGCCGGATTGCTTGAGCTCAGGAGTTCGAGACCAGCCTGGGCAACATGGTGAAAGCCTGTCTCTACAAAACAAAAACACAAACCAAAAAACTAGCCAGGCATGGTGGCATACCCCTGTAGTCCCAGCTACTGGGGGGCTTAAGGCATGAGAAGTCCTTGAGCCCTTGAGGTCGAGGTTGCATTGAGCTGTGATTGAGCCACTGCACTCCAGCCGGGGCAACAGAGCGAAATCCTGTCTTGGAAAAAAAAAAAAATGCTATCTTGGGGAGATGGTTCTTTGTAAGCAGGAGTCGTGATAACACAAAAAAACAGAATTCCTGAAAAGATTCCAGGTGCTGTTTGTAAAAAAAATTTCCATAACTTCTCTGGATACCTTCACCTTCTCAGCCTGCCCCTCTTCCCCACCTTCACGACCTTGTGCTGGGCAAATGGTTTCAAGAAAGTGAACAGCCCGTTCACAGCCTCCTTTGTACAGAACCACGATTTAAACTTGACATAGAGGTCAGGGAAGAGGAGGTAAAGAGAGGAACCTTTGATCACGTATAAAATTCTATTAAGAGTTGCTCACGTAGGCTTTCTAGCACAAGTGCCAGCAAATTATATCTTTAAAGAACACACCTAGTATACTGCCTGCCCTCCCTAAAAGTTCTGTCAACATTTCCAGTTCATTCTTTTCAAAAGGCCAGGACCCCACTGTATCTGCTTCGAATTAAAAAATAGCTTCTCCCATGCGGTTAAGCAAGGAATCCGGTGACATATGAAAATGACACGCACATTATCAAGTGAGGAGGAACCAGACCTTTACACCAATTTTCAGAGCCTTATACTGTAAATGAAAATTCAGGCAATCTCATAATCATTCATCATGGCATGTATATTTAGTCTGACACTATTAAAGGTTAATGCCTATGTAGCAAAGCTGGTCACAGACTAAAGGATGAGCTAAATGTTCAAACATCTCTGTGCATTAAACTCCAAACTTTACTACAGCACAGTTGAATGGCTAAATGCCTACAGCATTTGAATATTGTTTTGGGATATGTAAGAGGCATTGCTAAAGAACTTCTTAGGCTTAATTTTTATTACTTGTATTAAAGGAACAGCTAATTACTGCATGACAATATAATGACTCTAGCATGTTTGGGCTAAAGACCAAAACAATGAATTTTGGCGTGCCAAAACCCAACCTGTGTGTTAATCTACGGAAATAATAGCTTTTTGTCTTGTTAATGATTTCCAATGCCATTTAAACCCCACACAAGGATTGTCAGGTCTTATGCGAACGTCAGATGCCTCCGATCTTAGCAGCTCAATTAGGGAATTGTCTGGAGGAGGCGAAGAGGACACACCCATATATAAAACAGGAACACACAAAATCCGGTAACCCCTGTCTTCCCAGCCTCCTCCTCCTCCGATTCAACACGCTTTCCTGCCAGCTCCGCCCACCCAATGCGACAATCTTGTAAAGTGTTTTACAATCATCTGATACTTAATTCCTAAAGCAATCTTGGAGGTATTATATAGCTTGTTATGCAACACAGGGCTCAAGGAACATAATTATTACAAACAACAATACTGTACATATTCAGCACCTTTTCCTAAGTGCACGCAATATTATCTCGTTAATTCCAGCCATTACAGTCAGAGGCTGGCGGAGCCCGCTCTGCAATGTATGGGGTGGATGCATCTCACCCAGGGAGGGAAAGAAAAAGGAAAGAAGCCCGCCAGGCAAACGACTTTGAAAAATTCTCAGTATGATTTCTGCTTACTGGCCAGGCACAGTGGCTCACACCTGTAATCTCAGCACTTTGGGAGGCCGAGGAGGGAACATTGTTTGAGCCCAGGAGTTTGAGGCCAGCCTGGACAACATAAGTGAGACCCTGTCTCTGGAAAAAATACAAAAATTAGCCGGGCATGGTGGTGCATGCCTGTAGTCCCAGCTCCTTGGGAGGCTAAGGTAGGAGGATTGCTTGAGCCTGGGAGGTGGAGGTTGCAGAGAGCTATGACTTTCTTTTTTTTTTTTTTTTTTTAAAGAGATAGGGTCTCACTCCAGCCTGAGGGACAGAGTGAGACCCTGTCTCAGAAAAAAAAAAAAAAAAGCTTCTGTTTTCTTAACCAGCAGCCAAAGAAAATCTCTTTCAGTACTAATTTAACAAATATTTCCTAAGCAACGGAACCAACTAGCTGCTCTGGGAAAGGCTCAGCCTCATAGCAGAGATAAGCCATGCATGTAAATGACAAACGCAAGGCAGGAGACCAGATGAGTGGAAGAGCGCTCCTGGAGAAACCGGGAAAAGGAGCTCTTTTTTTCTTTTCTTTCTTTCTTTTTTTTTTTTTTTTTTTTGAGACGGAGTCTCACTGTGTCACCCAGACGGGAGTGCAGTGGCGCTATCTTGGCTCACTACATCCTCTGCCTCCCGTGTTCAAGCAATTCTCCTGCCTCAGCCTCCCAAGTATCTGAGATTGCAGGCGCACACGACCATGCCAGGATAATTTTGTATTTTTAGTATAGATAGGGATTCACACCCCATTGCCCAGGCTGGTCTTCAACCCCCGGCCTCAAGCAATCTGCTCACCTTGGCCTCCCCAAGCGCTGGGATTACAGGCATGAGCCACCACACCCGGCCTAAATGCATTTTTGACTCATGATATTTTCAACTTATGATGTTTGGTAGGTTAGGGGTATTGAATATATTTTTGACTTATGATATTTTCCACTTGTGATGGGTTGACTGGGGCACAGCCCCACTGTGAGTGAGGAGCGTTTGCGCTGCTGAGCATGGAGAGGAGAGGCACAGGGAGTGAGGGAAATGGGTCCTAGAGACAAGGGGACAGGGAAGGCCTCTGAAGAAGTGAGTGGGGATGAAGATCTGGATGGTAATGCCAGGCAGCGCAAGGATTCACCCCAGTCAGAGGCAGCGCCCAGTGAAAGGTCCCGTGGTAGCTGTGAACAGGGCATGGTCAAGGCATAGTGAGAAGCCAGTGTGGTCCCAGGGAAGGAGAGGCAGAACAGGAAGGGAAAAGAGATCTGGGAGAGGGAGCCTGTGCACAAGGATTTTAAGAAAAATAGGAGTGCAAGGAGGAGAGAAAAAGAAGATATAAAAAGAAGCAAACTAAATGCTAGAGCTGAAAGTACAATGTCTGAAATGAGCCAATGGTCAGATTTTGGATGCAATTCTTTTCCTGTCAAGAAGTGGCCAGAGATGGACGGCATGGCGCACGCCTGTAATCCCAGCACTTTGGGAGGCCAAGGCAGGTGGATCACCTGAGGTCAGGAGTTTGAGACCAGCCTGGCCAATACGGTGAAACTCTGTCCCCAGGAAAAATACAAAAATTAGCTGGGTGTAGTGGCACGTACCTGTAGTCCCAGCTATTTGGGAGGCTGAGGCAGGAGAATTGCTTGAGCCTGGGAGGTGGAGGTTGCAGTGAGCCGAGGTCACACCACTACACTCCAGCCTGGGTGATAGAGCAAGACTCCATTTCAAACCAAACCAAACCAAACCAAAACTGTAGTACTTCAACCCACACAATGGTTTGTTGGTTTTCTCTTGGCAAAAGCATGTAAGAGTTTTAAGCTTAAAGATGAGCTATATAATTTTCTTTAGAAAAGCTAAGTGATCCTGGCCGGGTGGGGTGGTGCGTGCCTGTAATCCCAGTGCTTTGGGAGGCTGAGGTGGGAGGATCACTTGAGGCCAGCAGTTCAAGACCAGCTGGGGCAGCATAGCAAGACCTCGTCTCAGCAAATAAAAGATAAAAAATTAGCTGGGCATGGTGGGAACACACCTGTAGTCCCAGTTACTAGGGAGGCTGAGGTGGGAGGATTGCTTGAGGCCAGGAGTTAGAGGCTGCAGTGAACTATGATCATGCCACTGTACTCCAGCCTCAGCAACAGAGCGAGACCCTGTCCTCAAAACAGAGAGAAAAAAAGAAAAGAAAAAAAAAGCAAGCTAAGGGATCCAAATTACCTGCCCTGTTTTGTGATGGTAAATGGCTATCATATCAGTAACATGCCGCTTGACAGATACTTTTGAAAAAATAAACACATACTCTAAGTTGTTGCAATAAATGTGGTGCTTTAATGCTTGTTGAGGAAAATAACTATTTTATGCTACAGTGACAGCATTCTAAAAGTGAATATTTGGAAATGTTTCCATCATCTATATACTGATGGGCAAAGACAGCACCTTTTACAAAAATGGTTCAATGCCTTATATCACACAAGAGGGAGTGTAGTGTAATGGTCTGCAGTATGAGCCAGGCTGCATGTGTTCAAGTCTCAGCTCTCTCATTTATTGGTTGTGCAATCTTGGACAAGTTACTTAACCCCTCTGTGCCTTAGTTTCTTCATGCATAAATTGGGCATACTAACTGTGCATATGTCATGGTGCTGCCGTGAGGATTAACTTAAGAAAATTGCCATACACAGAGTTAACACTCAATAAATGTTATCTACTATTATTTACCAACTCAAATCTGAGTAAACATTTGCCAAAAGAAGTTTCAAATCGTTTGTTAATTAATATAAGAAATGCAGGATCTTCTGAAAAGCTAGGAAAAAAAAAAAAAAAGAGGCGGGGTGCGGTGGCTCACGCCTGTAATCCCAGCACTTTGGGAGGCTGAGGTGGTGGATCATGAGGTCAGGAGATCGAGACCGTCCTGGCTAACACAGTGAAACCTTGTTTCTACTGAAAATACAGAAATATTAGCTGGGCGTGGTGGCGGGCTCCTGTAGTCCCAGCTACTCGGGAGGCTGAGGCAGGAGAATGGCATGAACCTGGGAGGTGGAGCTTGCAGTGAGCTGAGATTGCGCCACTGCACTCCAGCCTGGGTGACAGAGCGAGACTCCATCTCAAAAAAAACAAAACAAAACAAAAAAACAAAAAAAAAAACGGTATCATGGAAAATGAAAATTGACTAGCTGAGTTTCAACAAATACCTTCTCATAATTAGTACAAGCTGAATATCCCTAATTCAAAAATCCCAAATCCAAAACACTCTGATTCCAAGCATTTTGGATAAAAGACACTCAACCTATACCTAGATTTCATAAATATGAATCCTATTTTTGTAAAGATAGCCAATAATGTGTTTCTTTGGTTTGAATCTATTTATCTTTGTAAGTTATTTTTTCCAGCCATTTCCATGAAAACCAAAAATCAAAATTAACAGAACTTGGAGTCTCTGCTTCTGGCCATGACAGATCTACTGATACTCAACTTGTGCTCTGGTCATAAACAACTAGAAAACTAGGCAAAGTCAATGAAACAACTATTTACAGACGCTGGACAACTGGTGGAACAAGACTTCCCTGAAGGAAGGGAAGCAAATGAGATGAGCTCTATGTTACCCTTCCTGGCAGGAAGAACTCTCTGGATTGCATCACAATGAAGAAAAAAACCCAAGCGGAGTGTGATGGTCTCCCTGTCCATTGAAGGACACACATCACAAGATTGGGTGGCTGCAGCAATTGGAATTTGCAAGGCAGAGTGTGAAAAGGAGGGACAAGAGCTACAGAAATCTGCAGAGAGGCGATCTTTTGCCAAGAGCTAAAGTGCCTATGCACAGGGTGAAACTCCTAAGGCCAGGCAAGAATAGAAAGGAAAGTCTGAGCTGAAAACCTCCCACAGTTTGAGGGCTGGAGGACTTTCCAACTGCAACCAGCCAGAGAGGACACACTTGTTGAAGAGCAAGGACTTGTTGAAGAGTAAAGACACTGGAAGTGTCCCACCTGAGTGGAGGGCTAAACTCATCTTCAAGGCTTGCCCATATCCACTCCAAAAAGCTACAAACAAGTCTCAGGATGATCAAACTGACCTGCAAGTAACTTAACTGCCTGCCCAAACTTAAATAAGACAACAAAATCCAGTTAAAGCTCATGATGTCTAAAATTCAATAGGAAATTACTAGACATGCAAAGCAGCAGGATGATCAGGGGAAAAATCACTTCATAAAAACAGAACCAGAAATGACAAGAGATAATGGAAGAAGCAGACTAGAACATCTATTATCAGCATGTCCAAGGATTTAAAGAAAAATATGAATACAATACAGAGAGGAACAGAAAACATAAAGAATCAAATCGAATTCTGAAGCTTAAAGTATGTGAAATGGAAAAAATTCACTTGATTGGCTGAACAATAGATTAGACACAGTGAAAGAAAAAGATCAGTGAATTTAAAGATATAGTCACAGAAACAAACCAAACAGAAATACACAGAAAGATTGAAAAAAAAAGTTAGTAAACCCTCGGCAACCTATGAAACAAAATTAAGCAACCAAACATACATTTCCCAGAAAGAGGGAAAGGGTGTATTTGAAGAAACAGTGGCAAAATGTTCCAAACTTCATAAAAGCTATAAACCTAAAAATTCAAGAAACTCTACAAACTCCATGCAGGATAAACCCAAAGAACACCAGTAAGCGTAAGAGAGTTTCTGAAATCAAAATTAGAAAAGGAAAATCTTAAATGGTGAAGAGAAAAAGATTAATTGTATATAGGTTAAAAAAATATATATGAATTACTGGAGATCGCCTGTCTCAGAAACAGTCAGTCCAGAGAGAGAAAAAACCAGAACCCAAACCACCAACAAACTATTTCATTTTATTTATTTTATTTCTCTTTTGAGATAGAGTCTTGCTCTGTCACCCAGGCTGGAGTGCAGCGGCACGATCTCAGCTCACTGCAACCTCTGCTTACTGGATTCAAGAGAATCTCCTGCCTCAGCCTCCCGAGTAGCTGGGATTACAGGTGTGCACCATCACACCCAGCTAATTCTTGTTTTTCTAGTAGAGACAGGGCTTTAACCATATTGGCCAGGCTGGTCTCCAGCTCCAGACCTCAAGCGATCTGCCCGCCTCAGCCTCCCAAAGTGTTGGGATTACAGGCATAAGCCACCATGACTGGCAGACCCAAGAAACTATTTTATATCTGACAAAAAATACTCTTTAAAAATGAAGGTGGCTGGACGCGGTGGCTCACGCTTGTAATCCCAGCACTTTGGGAAGCCAAGGCAGGCAGATCACCTGAGGTCAGGAGTTTGAAACCAGCCTGGCCAACATGGAGAAACCCCGTCTCTACTAAAAATACAAAAATTAGCCAGGCATGGTGGCACACACCTGTAATCCCAGTTACTGGGGAGGCTGAGTCAGCAGAATCACTTGAACCTGGGAGATGGAGGTTGCAGTGAGCCAAGATTGCACCACTGCACTCCAGCCTGGGTGACAGAGCAAGACTCTGTCTTAAAAAAAAAAAAAAGGGTGAGATTAAGGTATTTTTTCCCCAGATGAATGAAAGCTAACAGAATTCATTGCCAGTGTGCCTATATCATAATAAATGTTAAAAGGAGATCTATAGACCAAAAGAAAATGATTTCACGTGCATACTTGAATCCACGCAAGGGAATAAACAACACTGGAAATGGTAAATAGATGAGTAAAAATAAAATATTATAATTTCATTTTTAATTTCTTTAAAAGTTAATGGTTTAAAGAAAAAATAGTAACCATGTATTATAGCGTTGTAGTATAGGTAGAAGTAAAATCAGTAAAAATGCACAAAAGAACAAGAGTGAGAAAGTGACAATGTATTATAAGATTCTTATATTGTATGTGAAATGGTGTATTATTTGAAGGTATAAAATGATAAGTTAAAGATGGTTACTTTTCACTTTTTTTTTGAGATGGAGTTTTGCTCTTGTTGCCCAGGCTGGAATGCAACGGCACGAACTCAGCTCGCCGCAACCTTTGTCTCCCGGGTTCGAGAGATTTTCCTGCCTCAGCCTCCTGAGTAGCTAGGATTACAGGCATGTGCCACCACGCCCAGCTAATTTTGTATTTTTAGTAGAGATAGGGTTTCTCCATGTTGGTCAGGCTGGTCTAAAACTGCTGACCTCAGGTGATCTGCCTGCCTTGGCCTCCCAAAGTGCTGGGATTACAGGTGTGAGCCATCATGGCTGGCTTACTTTTCACTTTAAAGTAACCCTTAAGAAAATAAGAGTTATAGCTAATAAGATAATTGGGGAGATAAAAACATTAAAAAAATCAGTTAATCAAAAGCAGGAAAAATACAAGAAAAAACAGGCAAGACAAATAGAAAAAGTAAGATGGTAGACTTCAATCCAACTTTATCCATAATTGCATTAAATGTAAATGATCTAACATTCCAGTTAAGAGGCAGATAGGATGGATAAAAAAGCAAGATGTAGGTATTTACATAACTTAAACATAAAGATACAGACAGGTTAATAGTAAAAGTATAGAAAAATATATAACATAAAAACTCTCATCAAAAGAAAGCCAGAGTGCTTATATTAAAATCAGAAAAAGAATACTTTACGATATGGAATATTTCCAGGAATAATGAAGGTCATTGTATAAACTTAAAAGAATCAAACAATTGAGAGACGATATAATAATCTTAAAGGTATATTTGCCCCAAAACAAAGCTTTAAACTATGCAAATCAAAAACTGACAGAACTGAAAGAAAAAAGAAAAATCCAAAATAATAATTAGATTTCAAAACGCCATCCACATTCAGGAGAATTGCATAAACCCGGGAGGCAGAGGTTGCAGTGAGCCAAAGTCGTGTCACTGCACTCAACTCTGGGCGACAGAGCGAGACTCTGTCTCAAAAAAAAAAACAACGAAAAAAGCCATTCACATTAATTAATATTATGATTTTTATATAGTCAATATGGATATAAGAGACTTGAAGAACACCACTAACTAAACAGAGCTCACTTTTCTAGAACATGCCATTCAAACAACTACAGAATACACATTCTCTTTAAGTACACATGGAACATTCATCGATGTACAGGATGAGAAAACAACTTTTGATAAATTCAAAAGAACAGAAATCATACAAACATGTACTCTGACCACAATGAAATAAAACAATGCCCACTTAGTAAAACTCATAAAGAAGAGCAAATTAAACCCAAAGTAAGTAGAAAGTAGCTAATAAGAACAGAAAGCAACAAAACTGAAAACAAGGAAAAAAAAAAAAAAGAGAAAAATCAATGCAAACAAAAGCTGGTTCTATTTTTAAATAACTTTAAAATTGATAAGCCTCTAGCCAGACTAATCAAGGAAAAAAGCCCGGGGGGAGGATTCACAAATTCTAATGTCAGGAAGTATAAGAAAGGACATCACTACACATCCTACAGATATTTAAAAGTTAATAAAATATTATGTACAATATTATGCCAACAAATTTGATAATTTAGATGAAATGGATCATTCCTTTAAAAATTCCAAATTACCAAAACTGACTCAAGAAGAAATTTAAAAAACTTAATAGCCTTGCATCTGTTAAAGAAGTTAATTTGTAATTTAAAAACTTGCCATAAAGAAAATTCCAGGCCTGGATGGCAACACTGATGAATTGAATTTTACGAAAAAATAACTGCAATCTTATACAAACTCTTTCAGCAAATAGAGGAAAGGGGGAGCACTTTCTAACTTATTTTACAAGACCAGTGCAACCTTAAAGTGAAAACCCTATATGGATATTCAAAGGAAAAAAACCAGAAAACTATAGTTGTATATTTCTGTATTAGTCTGCTCTCATACTGCTAATAAAGACATACCCTAGACTGGGTAATTTGTAAAGGAAAGAGGTTTACTTGACTCACAGTTGAGCGTGGCTGAGGAGACCTCAGGAAACTTACAGTCATGGCAGAAGGGGAAGCAAACATGTCCTTCCTCACATGGCAGCAGGAAGGAGTGACAAGCAAAGCGGGAAAAGCTCCTTATAAAACCATCAGATCTTGTGAGAACTCACTCACTATCCCAAGAACAGCATGGGGATAACCACCCCCATGATTCAATTACCTCCCACTGGTCCCTCCCACGACATGTGGGTTTTATGGGAACTACAATTCAAGATGAGATAGCATGGGAACACAGCCAAACCATATCGTTCCTCATAAATTTAACGGCAAAAGTCCTCAGTAAAACAGTAGCAAATTGAATCCAGCAAATTTTAAAATGCACAAAATATATTATAAAATGCATATTATGCATAAAATGCATGGCTAAGTAAGATTTATCCTAGGAATGCAAGATTTGTTTAACATTTGAGAATCAAATTATTTTACCATGTTAAGAGAATAAAGGAGGAAAATCATATGATCATCTCGAAAGATGCCGAAAACAATATGAGAAAATTCAATACCATTTATGACAAAAATTCTCCGCAAGCTAGGAATAGGAGAGAATTTCCATCTTATAAACGGCAACTACAAAAAAATCTACAGTTGATATTATACTTAATTATCAAAGTCTGAATGCTTTTCCCTAATGTTGGGTCCAAGGCAAGGATGTCTGCTTTCTCTACTTCTAGTCAACATTTTATACAGGTAGCAAGTGCCAAAAAAAAAAAAAAAAAAAAAAAAGCAAGGAAAATAAATATACAGCATTATAGATCAGAAATCAGGATGGATACAGGAAACATGAACAACACTATCAACCAACTTGACCTAACTGATGTTTACAGAACATTCCATCCAACATCAATAAAGTATATATTGTGGCCGGGTGCGTTGGCTCACACCTGTAATCCCAGTACTTTGGGAGGCCAAGGCGGGTAGATCACGAGGTCAGGAGTTCAAGACCAGCCTGGCCAAGATGCTGAAACCCCGTCTCCACTAAAAATCCAAAAAAATTAGCCAGGCGTGGTGGCGGGCACCTGTAATCCCAGCTACTTGGGAGGCTGAGGCAGGGAATTGCTTAAACCCAGAAGGCGGAGGTTGCACTGAGCCAAGATTGTGCCACTGCACTCCAGCCAGGGTGACAGAGCGAGACTCTGTCTCAAAAAAAAAAAAAAGAAAAAAGTATATATTGTCTTCAAGGGCATATGGACAATTCAAGAAAACTTCAAAAAAATTTCTAGAGCTAATAGGTGAGCATTAAGAGGTCACCTATATTATTATTATATAAACATTACATAATATAAAATATATATTTATATATTTTATTATTTGTTAAAATGTAAAAATTATATAATATATGAAATTCATTATATTTCTGTATAAAAGCAACAAACAATTGGAAAACAAATTTCAAAAGAAAATAAACTTTAATCTCGCACCTGTAATCCTAGCACTTTGGGAGGCTGAGGTGGGCAGATCACTTGAAGTCAGGAGTTTGGGACCAGCCTGGCCAACATGGTGAAACTCTGTCTCTACTAAAAATACAAAAATTAGCTGGGTGTGGTGGCAGGCACCTGTAGTCCCAGCTATTTGGGAGGCTGAGACAGGAGAATTGCTTGAATCTGGGAGGCGGTGGTTGCACTGAGCTGAGATCGCGTCACTTTACTCCAGCCTTGGTGATGAAGCGAGATTAAAAATAATAATAATAAAATAAACATTGTAGATTTTTTAAAAAAGAAAATATCCTTTAATATAACATTCAAAAACATGACTTAAACTTAGAAATAAACTGAACATAATCTGTGCCAGGTTTATACATCAAAACTGTAAAATACTGCTCAGAGAAATTAAAGATGAACTAAATAAATATATTATGGAAGAATAAATAGTGTTGTCAATTTTCCTCAAATTGATCTACAAATACAGTGGAATCCTAATCAAAATCACAGAAAACTCCTTTGTAAAAACTGACAAGCTGAATCTAAAACGTATACAGAAGCCAGGCACGGTGGCTCATGCCCATAATCCCAGCACTTCGTGAGGCCAAGGTGGGAGGACTGCTTGAGCCCAGGAGTTTGAGACCAGTCTGGGCAACACAGCTAGACCTCATGTCTAGAAAAAACAAAAAATTAATCGGGTGTGGTGGCACATGCCTGTAGTCCCAGCTACTCGAGAGACTGAGGTGGGAGGATCGCTTGAGCCTGGAAGACTGAGGCTGTAGTGAGCTATGACTATATCACTACACTCCAGCCTGGGCAACAGAGCAAGACCCTGTCTCCAAAATTCAAATGTGCAAGGGATTGAAACCTTTATAAATAAAAATCTATGAAAGCAAAAATGCACATGAAAAAATATTCTGCATCATTAATCATCAGGAAAATGCAAACTAAAATCGTTGTGAAATACATTACGCATTCACTAGGAATGTCTAAAATTAGAAAATAACCGATGAAACAGAAGACATGGAGCAACTGGAACTCCTCTCAATTTCTTATGAGGGGATAAAATAATACAACTGTAACTTTGCTATCCTGAGGAAAAGAAAATGAAAAAAATTAATAAAAAAAGATACATCTACATTGAAAAGCAGCTTGGCATTTCTTATCAGGTAAAATGTACAGGTTCCCTGACCCTCATCCTAAGTATTTGCCTAAGGGAAATAAAAACATATACCTATGTAACAACTTCTCCATGAATGTTTATAGACTGATTCATAATACCCACAACCAACCAAATGTCTGTCAACATAACTGTTGGATAAACAAATTGGTATATATCCACACAGTGGAATATCATTCATCAATAAAAAGGAAAGGACTAATGACACCAGTAACTTAGATGAATCCCAAAACACCGCGCTGAGTGAAAGAGGCCAGATGTAGGACCACAGACCAAATGATTCCACTTCTATACAACTCCAGAAGTGACAAAGAGCAGAACAGCAGTTGCTGGGTACTGGGATCAGAAGGGAACTTTTGAGGTGATAGAAATGTTCTACATCTTGACTGTGAAGGTGGCCACGCTATCACACTGCACACTTGAAATGAGCGCATTTCATTGTATGTGTTTATGTATGTATTTATTTTTAGACAGTCTCGCTCTGTTGCCCAGGCTGGAGTGCAGTGGCGCGATCTTGGCTCACTGTACCTCCTGGGTTCAAGTAATTCTCCTGCGTCAGCCTCCTGAGTAGCTGGGATTACAGGCGCCTGCCATTACACCAGCTAATTTTTGTATTTTTAGTAGAGACGGGGTTTCACCATGTTGGCCAGGCTGGTCTCGAACTCCTGACCTCAGGTGATCCGCCTGCCCTCAGCCTCCCAAAGTGGTGGGATTACAGGCGTGAGCCACCGTGCCTGGCCCAATTCAAACTTTTTTACTCTTGGGGTGCATAAGCAAAAGTAGTTTGGAGACCACTGACGTAGACCCGTCTGCCTGCTGTGCAAAGGACGTTAGGTGGAGGTGTGAGTGCAGTGAGGTGACAGAGACTGGTGGCTTGGACTAGGTGACAGTGGCTGAAGGGTAAGTGGGCGAATCTGGGATACATTCTGGAGGCTGCTGGCTCACTAGGACTTACTGACAGCCTGGCTATTGGGTGTGAAAGAAAGAAGGGAACCCAGGCTGAGTTGTGCATTATGGCTGTATGAGTCCATTTTCACACTGCTATAAAGAAATACCTGGGCCAGGCATGGTGGCTCATGCCTCTAATCCCAACACTTTGGGAGGCGGAGGCGGACGCATCACCCGAGGTCAGGAGATCGAGATCAGCTTGGCCAACACGGTGAAACTCTGTCTCTACTAGAAATACAAAAATTAATTGGGCATGGTGGCAGGCGCCTGTAATCCCAGGGAGGCTGAGGGAGGAGAATCGCTTGAACCCAGGAGGAGGAGGTTGCAGCGAGCCAAGATTATGCCACTGCACTCCAGCTTGGGCGATGGTGAGACTCCATCTCAAAAAAAACAAAAAAGAAATACCTGAGACTGCGTAATTTATAAAGCAAAGGGGTTTAATGGAATCACAGTTCCACATGGCTGGGGAGGCCTCAGGAAACAGTTGTGGCGGAAGGTGAAGGAGAAGCAAGCACCTTCTTCACAAAGTGGCAGGAGAGAGATGAGCGAAGGTGGAACTGCCAAACACTTATAAAACCATCGGATCTCGTGAGAACTCACTCACTATCATGAAAACAGCCACGGGGAAACTGCCCCCATGATCCAATCACCTCCCTCGACATGTGGAGATTACAATTTGAGGTGAGATTTGGGTGGGGACACAGAGCCAAACCATATCAGTGGCCAAAGCACCTGCGTGAATGGTGATGTCACTGACTATCTTGGGAGCACGTGGGGGGAAATGATCATTCTCTTTTGGTCATGTGGAGTTTTAGATAGGGAGGGAATGCAAATGAAAAGGAAAAGGCTAAGAATAACGTCCTGGCATACTCCAACATTTAGAGCCCTGGCAGAGGAAGAGGAGAAGGCCACAAAAGTCTAAGGAGGAAGAGTGTAAATAGGTGAAGAAGTGATTCAGCAGGCAGTCACCTCCCAGGGGAGTTCTGCTGTGATGGGGAGTAGCGAA
Organism: Homo sapiens; assembly: GCF_000001405.40. Lineage (NCBI taxonomy): Eukaryota > Metazoa > Chordata > Mammalia > Primates > Hominidae > Homo > Homo sapiens. The sequence continues at coordinate 102,081,029 of NC_000007.14, read as the reverse complement.
GTGGCCAGAAACCAGAAGGTATCGGTCATGTATTTTCCTAGTAAATATGATGTGTGTTAGAGATTGGGCAGAAAGAAGGAATGAAACAGCATATCTGGCGTGCGCAGTGGGATCTAAGGTCGGGGCCAGTCTAGGGCTTGTTTATATGTTATCGTCAACTAAGTCGCTCTGGGACTTTAATGCAAACATTTTGCTTTGAGTTCTTCGGATCACTCTGAAGGAAGTGCTGGTGTGCCCTGATAAAGCCCAACAGCCTCGGTGCAGAGAGGTCCTGTGAGAAGAAAGGACACATGGCTGGATCTCAGAAGAGCTGCAGAGGCCTGCAGGCGGCTTTTGGATTCGGCTGGGGGCGTGGAGAGGGCGCAGGGTGGCGAGGAGACTGCTGGTGGTGAACTGCTTTTCTTGTAGGTTGTGAGGGCTGAAAAAGCCAATCTTAATAGACATGAGGCTCATGTTTGCACAGTGCGCTCTGCGGGCGATGGGGGCTGTCCCCTGCCACCAGCCTGAGGATGAATGTCCCCCTTGTGAGCACCGTCCCCGCGATGACATCACAATGCGGCAGACGCTACTTTTCGCCAGGGCACTCTAGGCTAATGTAATCATACGATTACATAATTAACCCAGCTGTCTCATTAAGAAAATCAACTGGAATTCAGGGCATAATTAGTCATACGGCAATTAGCATGCTGATGAGCGACTGATGAAAAGCTGTCTAGATACCCGGCGTGCCAGGACCACCCCGGTCATGGCAAAGCGGGGCACAAACGACGCACCTCTCCACTCTCCACGCAAGCACACCGAGGAGGAGTCCCCAAGTCACATCCAGGGTGTTCTCACTCTAGTGCTGTGTCGAGGGACCGGGGGAGGATGGATGGAGAAGGGAAAGCCTTGGGAAGGACGGCAGCCGGCAAAACCTGGCGGCAACAGGCCTAACGCCCATCTTGTCATGCCTGCTTGTCTTTAGAACAGTGGTGGCCAATTCCTCAGCCTGCAAACATACAGTGTCCTACATGGAGAGGCGGATTGAGCCCCAGGTTTATGAACCTGGCCGAGGAAGGTAGGGACGCTGCTTCCATGCCTGGTTTCCAATTTCCCTAATGCCGGAGCCTGAGTGTAACTGGGACAGAGCATACAGCCTCGTCCCCCGAGGCTGTTTCAGGACCAGCTTAGGGCCAGGGACCTGTATCCTGGACAGGAGTCAGCACATTATCCGCCACCCACAGGGCTTTATTCTTCCAGACCCAGTTCCTCTTTCTGTCCTGTTTTGTTTGGGGCCTGTGATTACTTCTTAATCACATGAATGAAAATGTTTTATGAAGGCAAACTGAGGATTTGTAAAGGGATCCCGCATGTCTCCTGCTACTGAAGTTACAGGGAGCTCTCCGGAGGGGCCCTGGGTCCCAGGTCTTGTTTGCCAACACCTGGAGACCTGGAATACGTGGACTGGAGTCACCGTACAGAATCAGGCTGCAATGGCCACATTTCTATCACCTTCGAGAAGGCTACCAAGTGGCACATTGATGAACTTCTTGGCATGAAAACCAGGGGCTATTTCTAACGAAATCATAAGATTTTGTCATTTTTTTTTTTTTGAGACAGAGTCTCACTCTGTTGCCCAGGCTAAAGTGCAGTGGCATGATCTAGGCTCACTGCCACCTCCGCCTCCCAGGTTCAAGCGATTCTCGTGACTCAGCATCCCGAGTAGCTGAGATTATAGGTGCACGCCACCATGCTCGGCCAATTTTTCTATTTTTAGTAGAGACGGGGTTTCACCATGTTTGTCACACTGGTCTTGAACTCCTGACCTCAGGTGATCCGCCTGCCTCGGCCTCCCAAAGTGCTGGCATTATAGGCGTGAGTCACCACGCCAGGCTGATTTCTTCAACTTTTTTTCCAGGAGTCTTAATGTGGGATCTTTGAGTGAGGGGCAGGCAGTGGAGAAAGAAGTATAAAAGAACAGTGTTTTCTAATTTTAACCTGTAATGTGTCCTCACTTGAAAGTAGCAGGCACCAAGAACCAGACTGCTATTTTATTCTCCTGGAGGAGCATTAAAAAGCAGTTCTCAAAAATGATGACATTCCATTTTATTTCTAGATTCTCAGATGCTAGGCCGACAAGGATAGTCACCAGGAGAGATGGTTTTCCTACATCCAAAATGAAACCTCTCCCAGGGGGAGGACCTCAGAGCACAGGCATTTGGGAGCAGGCTCTGAAAATGGAATGGCCTACAAATGCACTCTTTCCAGCCAGCTCTCTTTTAGGACTTCCGAAAAACCTACATCTACTTTTCACAAAGGCAGACCAGTTAACCTATGGAAATAAAGGGAGACGAGTCAGTCACGAAACAGCGACTTCTAGCAGTGTTTCATGAGTCAATGAATATTTTATATCACTGGTAATGTGCTTCCTAAGATTTAAATCTTAAAATAAACCCTTCCAGGCACTGCCTTTATATTTGAAGGGTTTGTGTCTGTAGGAACTAAACTGCATCTCAGCAAGCAGTAAAATACGGTTCTGATAGCAGGTCACAGACAGAGGCAAGGACAACTTGCAAAGAGATGCTTCCAGTGAACTTTGCAACCAAAGCACAGAAGTTCTGGAGTGCCTAGTCTTTTTCTTCTACCTAGGAACTCTTTAAAATACACCATTACTAGGCTGGGTGTGGTGGCTCACGCCTGTAATCTCAGCACTTTGGGAGGCCGAGGCGGGAGGATTGCTTGAGCCTAGGAGTTTGAGACCAGCCTTGGCAACATGGCAAGACCCCATCTCTACAAAAAATTTAAAAATTAGCCAGGTGTGGTGGCGTGTGCCTGTAGTTCCTGCTACTCAGGAGGCTGAGGCAGGGGGATCACTTGAGCCAGGAGGCGGTTAAATGAGCTATGATGGTACCAGTGCACTCCAGGTTGGGCAACAGAGACCCCGCTGCTAAAAAATAAAAAACAAACAAAAACCCCCAAAAACATTACTAAGATGTTTCTGGAACAGAGAAGTCACACTTGTGTTTTACCCTACAACTAGTTGACTAAGTTCTTATCTGCAATACATTAATAAGGCCTATTCAGAAACTAAGATTGCAAGTTGAATATTTTACTAATTTATGTTCTCCACCATTGTAGAAATAAATACATACTCATTGTAAAAAAAAAAAAAAATGAAAAGTATCAAGAAGCAAGAGCAAGTCACCCACACAAGGTTAATTACTGACGAATTATGCATACTGTCATAATTTTGCTTAGAACTCAGTAAAATTCCAGCTATGCAAGAGCCTGTTAGAAGCGGTCATTCCAGAATATTCCCAGCTACCTGAGAGGGTCACATTACATTTTAAGAGCAGAGACATTTCTCATTTCATTACAGTAAGGGACAGAAGCTGCCTATTTTACTTGTTTATTTTTTTCTTAAAGAGATGGGAGGGTCTTGCTATGTTGCCAGGCTGGTCTTGAACTAGAGACAGAGGCTGCATATTTTACTTGTTCATCTTTTTTTTTTTTTTTTTTTTTAAAGAGATGGGGGGTTTTGCTATGTTGCCCAGGCTGGTCTCGAACTCCTGGCCTCAAATACCTCTCCTGCCTCAGCCTCCCAAAGTACAGTGATTATAGGAGTAAGCCACTGCGCCCGATCCCCAGAGTCATTATTCACAGCCCCTCTGACTACTTCAGTGTCTCCGTCTGGCTGCTGCAGGGCTTGGCTGCTGCTGGGTCCTTTTCCTCTTCTGCTCACTAAGCCCCATTGACCCGACATTCTCCCCACCTGCTGGTCTCCTTCCTGTCCCAGCTCCTCCCTGCTGCTGCTTTCTCTGGTCAGAAAACTGCTTCCTGTGGCTTCTTCTCCTGGCCCCAGTTGGTGCCACCTGAGGGCAGCTGCCTCTGTCCTGCTTGATTCACCTTATTCTATACTCTCATTGCCCAGTGGGCTTTGCTTATCGCACCTAAAATTCAGTTATTTGTGCAATTACTTTTTCTTCTTCTTTTTTCTAATTTTTTTTTTTTTTTAATTTGACAGGGTCCCACTCTGTCACCCAGGCTGAAGTGCAGTGGCGTGATCTTGGCTCACTGCAGCCTTGATCTCCTGGGCTCAGGTGATCCACCCACCGCAGCCTCCTGAGCAGCTGGGACTACAGGCGAACGCCACCATGCCCAGCTAACTTTTGTATCTTTTGTAGAGACGGGGTTTTACCGTGTTGCCCAGGCTGGTCTTCAACCCCTGGGCTCAAGTAATTCAGGTAATTCAGCTACCTCAGCCTCCCAAAGTGCTGGGATTACAGGTGTGAGCCACTGCACCCGGTCGCAATTACTTTTTAATGCCCATATTCCCACCAGCCTCTATAGTCTGAGGGCAGGAACTGAGCTGGCTGTTGTATCCCTGGGGCTCAGCCTGGTTCTTGATGCCCTGGGGGTGTGGTGTGGGGCATGAGGGGTGCTGGGGTCTCAGGCATTGACCCGAGTAATACCCAGGAAGACAAGTCTGATAGTACTCGCGAAACTGACTAAGAAATAAGAAGCGATCTGGTGGCAAATGAAAAGAACAAACACCAAGGTATGAACTACCAAACCTACTCAGAGGTACATGAGGACCATGAGGGTTCAATGCTACTGTATTGCTAAATGCTTATTTGGTGTCTTTTTTTTTTAATTTTATTTATTTTTTAGACAGTCTTGCTCTGTCACCCAGGCTGGAGTGCAGTAGTACAATCTCGGCTCACTGCAACCTCCACCTCTTGGGTTCAACCGACTGTCCTGCCACAGCCTCCCAAGTAGCTGGGATTACAGGTGCCCACCACCACGCCCACCTAATGTCTTGTATTTTTTTAGTAGAGACGAGGTTTCACCATGTGGCCAGGCTAGTTGCAAAGTCGTGATCTCAGGTGATCTGCCTGCTTCGGCCTCCCAAAGTGCTGGGGTTACAGGCGTGAACCACCATGCCTGGCCTTTGTGTCTTTAATGTGAAGGAAATTATAGAAGGTGGAAGATGAAGAAGAGGGAGGAGCCAGAACACCAAGGGAGAAGTGGGGCGGGTGGGGATGGTGGGGGATAAGCTGGGGTGGAGGGAGATCCTACCCTGTGTGCTGGGCTTGGGGCGCCGGCGGGACGTCTGGTAAACCAAACACAGATCCCAGACACCAAGGGCCGGCCCCAGAGCCGAAGTCCTCAGATGCACATGTGCTGGTTTGGGCAACTCCGAATGCTAAGTGCTGTATAAATGTCCATGCAGGCATGTAAATCTTTATAGAATGACAACAAAGTAAAATGAGAGTTCAGACAGCTATTAAACTGCTACAACTCAATAAAAGATACATTCTGTTCTCCTGCAATTGACTTGTCTTAGTGCTCTGCAGTGCTCGCCCTCACTGGGAAGCTTCAACCTCGGGAGGGTGGTTCAGTGGGAACAGTAGGAGCCTGAGACCAAAAAAACACTCAGCATTTTGAAGAAATAATTTGATTCATTAATTTCTGCATTCATTTAGCAATATTTATGGAGTTTCTGCCACATGGCAGGCACTGGGGTGGATATAAAGGAAATAGGGACAAAACCGCACTGAACCAGTCTCTCGGCCAAACAGTTACCAAGGAATTATGATGAAGTGAATGGCAGGGTCCCCGGCCAGGGTGTGTGTGTGCATGGGAAGGGTCCCCTAAACCAGCTGGGGAGGCCAGGAAGACCTCTCTGTCAGGAAGTGGCGTCTCAACAGGTTAATCCAGAGGGGTCGGTGGCGATTAGCCAGGAAGAGTCTGGCCGCCCTGTAAGCACTTAGACTCATGCCACCGTGAACTGCAGACTGTAGGGCAGGAGTTTGGGTGAAGGCAAGTGGCTGGAATTGAGACATCCTAGAGGTTGGATGGCCAGAGTTGGTGACAAAATGCTCAGAACACAGGCCAGGCATGGTGCTCACGCCTGTAATCCCAGCACTTTTGGAGGCTGAGGGGGGCGGATCATCTGAGGTCAGGAGTTCGAGACCAGCCCGGCCAACATGGTGAAAACTCATCTCTACTAAAAATACAAAAATTAGCCAGGTGTGGTGGCGCACGCCTGTAATCCCAGCTACTTGGGAGGCTGAGGCACGAGAATCGCTTGAACCCAGAAGGCAGAGGTTGCAGTGTGCGGAGATCACACCATTGCACTTGAGCCCAGGTGATAGAGCAAGACCCCATCTCAAGAAAAACAAAAAGCTCAGAACATGAGCAGTAAGGTGGGAGGTGATGCTACCCGCCAAAAGAAGGCAGGCAGTAAGAAGACGGCTTCTGCCGGACACATCAGGTGGGTGCCCACCAGCCATCCCAGTGGGAAAGTCCAGGCGGCAGTCAGATATGCAAGCTGGCACTCAGGAGTGAGACCTGGACCAGGGACAAAGCTCTGAGAGTCACCAGTGCAACCCTTGGTGAACTCCGCTGCTGAGGACTCAGTGGGAGTGGCGGGAATTTGGGTCCATTGACTCCTTCAGTCATTCACTATGTCCCACCTGTTGTGTGCCAGGCACTGGGCAGAGAGCCACAATGCAAAGCCCTATCCTCATGGAGCTGTCACTCTAATGAGACCCAGAGATAAGCAACAAGGAAATGCACAAATAAATAAAACTTCAGGAAGGGGAAGCAGGTGGGAGCTGGTGCGGTCAGGTGCCTGTCACTCCTGGGCTGGGTGAGACTCTGGCTCCGCTGTTCCTGGGGCCAGCTTGGCGGCTCTCCCTGTGATCCAGGAGCAGGGCTGTGTGGCATATAGCTGGAATGCCTGTTGCATTATTCCCAAGGGCTTCCTCCCTTTTCCTGTGACAGTGTGAGTTGCTGTCTCTTGCAACTAGCAGAACTTACTGCACCCTACTAATGTTTCTGGATTCCACTGGATTAAGGCCTGAAGTATGCAGACAGTTAAGGCACCCCGACTCCCCTCGACTGAGTGACTGTCAGTAAATGCATCATCACTATTGACCGGGCCCTTCCTGTAAGCCTCAGCCACAGAATGATTGCATCTGAGCAATAATCAGACTTCAAAACACAGGGAGAGTGCTCCGAGCACCATTCCTGCTTTGCAAGTAACTTGTTAGATGTGGCAGATCACAGCATTTGTAAGAAATACCTGGGAAGCGGTGGGTGAAAGGGATCTATGTGGAATGTAGATGTATTCTGATTGACTTTTAGTATTACAGAAAACATCAAACATTCTTTGCTCCCACCATCCATCAATTTAAACTGCAAACTTCAATTCTCTGGCCAGAAATAAAAATTGTGAAGAATATTACCAATATAGGAAAATGCTTATGGTAATAATAAGAATCATAATATTAAGTGAGAAAGGCAGAATATGAATATATACCCATGCTATGATCAAAATTCTATAAAATTTGTACATGTACATGGACAAGGTTGGCTCAGGTAAAGAGGAAACGTTGATGAGAAAAACGGTCTTTTTTCTATGGGAAATTAACACAGAACGTAACTGCAGAGAAAGAAACCTAGCAATGTTTTAAAGTGACTGCCCAGTTGGAAAATTTCACTAGGGAAAAATTGAGGTACAAATTTGACTTTTTGAAAAGAGATTATAGGTTATTTAGAAAACAGCAGCTAGGCTGGGCATGGTGGCTCACGCCTGTAATCCTAGCGCTTTGGGAGGCTGAGGCAGGCGGATCACCTGAGGTCAGGAGTTTGAGACCAGCCTGGCCAACATGGCGAAACCCCGTCTCTACTAAAGTACAAAAATTAGCTGGGTGTCGTGATGGGTGCCTGTAATCACAGCTATGTGGGAGGCTGAGGCAGGAGAATTGCTTGAACCTGGGAGGCGAAGGTTGCAGTGAGCCAAGATCACGTCACTGCACTCCAGCCTCTTTGACAGAGTGCGACTCTGTCTCAGAAAAAAAAAAAAAAAAAAAAAAAAGAAAGAAAAGAGATTACATATTATTTAGAAAACAGCAGCTAAACAGTCTTTGGGTCTCTGGCAAAGATGAAGTAAGCCAGTCTTCTTCCGACTAAATCACCAACTGGACAAAGTTCTCAGCTGGAAAACACTCCCCTTCTGGGATCCTGCTCCCAGAAGTGGTAGCAAGAACTTCTTGGAATAGAATGGAGCAGAACCTTCCTGAGCCTGAGGAACCAACAAAAAGTCAAAGAATGAACTCTTTCGAAACACAAAATAAAATTTCTCAAAGCCCAGGTCATGCTTTTTCTGTAAATTCTTTATCCCTGCGTCAGTATGGACATGACATAGTCCAGAGAGAAAATTCTCAGTCACTACCTTATGCACAAGAAAATGCCAGTGATGCCCGCCAGGCTGCTGATGCCCGAGGGACAGTGCTCTTGAGGCAGGAAAATAGGGTCTGCAGGCAGGGAACCAAAGGCTGATTCACCCTGACTTCCTAGAACTAAATCGAAGGAAAAACCCCCACTTGCCACGCCTAAGTAACAAAAGGACCAGCGTCTACTTCCTTTGCAAACCTCCACCTTTTCTGCCCTGCAGATGGGAAATTGAAAGTACCTTTGATTAGTTGCTTTCTGCAACCAATCAGATGTTTGCAGAGAAGCGTAACTTTGTAACTTCAGCCTCTGATTGGTTGCAACCAACCAGACTGATTGCAGGGCCAAGTCTTCGTTCGCATAGAAGTACAACTTTGTAACTTCAATTTAGCCTCTGATTGGTTACTTTCCGCAACCAATCAAGATGTTTGCATAGGAGTGTGACCTTTATAACTTCACTTCAGCCTCTGGTTGGTTGCTTTCTGCAACTGATCAGACTGAATGAGGGCCACCACTTCATTTACATGGGGTGAACACCAATTGCCAATGGGAAACCTCAAGGGGATATTTAGACCCGAGAAGAATCTGTATCTGGGCCCTTGAGCGGCTGCTCAGCCCACTCTCACCCTGTGGAGTGTACTTTCATTTTCAGTAAATATCTGCTTTTGTTGCTTCATTCTTTCCTTGCTTTGTGCATTTTGTCCAATTCATTGCTCAAAACGCCAAGAACCTGGACACCCTCCAGTGGTAACACTCTGATCCATTTTACTGTGAAGGAGCCTCCTCGTGAAGCTCAGTCAGGTTCTTCAGGGAACTCCTAGTCAGATACAAACTCTCACAGAAAACCAAAAGGCTAGAATTTGGAACCAATAACTAGATAAGCTCCTAAGACAGCAAAAGTTTAGAACAAAGCAAACCATTCTCTACGATTAGGCTGTTCCCTGACCCTGTTCCATTTTACAGATGAGAACACTGAAGTCCAGAGAGGAAAAGGAATGTCATCCAGGGAAGGAGAATCTGGGTCTCCTCATTCCCTGTCCGAAGTGCTTTCTGCCATCCCGTGTTTGGTGTGACCTCTATTAATCCCAGCTCCAAGAGGGGACAGCAAAGCCCGTGGTAGACCTGAATCAGAACACAAGTACAGGTACAAAGGAGACCTGAGTCTGCCTCGCTCTGTTAATGTAGCTCTAATGATGTCAATGATATTCAGAGAATTGCTAACAAGGGCAAGGGCACAACTGTAATGGGTGGGGAGGGGAGGGTGGTGGTAATTCCAATTCTTTGCTTGGCAGAAAAAGGCATCAAGTGACTTTCCTAATTTTCTGATCAGCATCTCTCCAGGGCTGAGCTGGGCCCCACATAGTTATGTCCATCACCTTACTCCAGATTCTAAGGCAATCGAGGACCCACAAACAGGACCAGAGAGTTCAAGGCACTCTACCTGCCTTCTCACTTTTCCAGAATAAAGAATCGGAAGCCATCACCTCTTAGAATGCCTCACAAACATATTTAAATTTTAATTCTTCAATCCCTCTAAAAGAAGAAACAGGGCCAGGCGTGGTGGCTCCTGCATGTAACCTCACAGCACTTTAGGAGGCTGAGGTGGGAGGATAGCTTGAGCCCAGGAGTTCGAGACCAGCCTGGGCAATAAAGTGAGACCTCATCGCACTCATTGTACAAAAAATACAAAAATTAGCTGAATGTGGTGGCACGTACCTCCCAGCCACTTGGGAGGTTGAGGTGGGAGGATCGCTTGAGCCCGGGAGGTGCAGGTTGCAGTGAGCGGAGATTGTGCCACTGCACTCCAGCCTGGGCGACAGAGCGAGACCCTGTCTCAAAAATAAATAAATAAAATTAGAAAAAAAAAATAAAAGAAACAACTGATATACTTGGTTGTAGCTGCAAGGATTATCAGTTACCCTCTGCCCATAACCCTTAAGTGAAGGGCTTGTCCAGGGGCCACTGATCTTGGATGACCTGGCAGGGGAGCGGGACACTCCAGGTGTCTTAGTAGGGCCATTCCTAAAGTCTTAAAGGTGGCTTTGGGCAATATGAGGGACTTCCACACAGCATACACACATCAGGTCTGCATCTTCTCTGCAGTACGTGCAGGGTTTTATGCTGTAGCCCCAGAGATTTGGATCTCTGCTTTTACGAAGTCATCCCCTAGAGATTACGTGAGTACTTCAACAAGTGCATCCAATTTCCCTCCGTACCCAAAGTCTGGGTTGTGAAGAATTCATGTGTCCTGCACTCCCTGGTTTCTTGGGGGGAAGTTGCCACTGATGGTGTATTTATTTTCCTTAGGAAAGCCAAGAAGAATGAGCCAAAAACCCACCGACTCACCAGACACAACGCCCCCCACTGGTGGGCCATTACTGCCGGGGCTTACCTGGGACGTCAATCAATCTTTTGTAGACATTCAAGAAAGCTGCTTCAGCTTCCTTGCTTCTTTTACTCAGTGCATCAATCTGAAAGGGAAGGAAAGAAAGAAAAGAAAAACAAAGAGCTCAACATTTGTCAAGAGGTAATTTACAAAGCATTACACATCTAGTGAATTCCCGTAGCAAGGGAGATGCTTGACAACTGGGCTTCAGCCTCTTAGAGGAAATGCCTGCAAACACAAAAGGACCCTGTTCATGAAGGTAAACAAGGGAGGAGCAGAGATTTGGGAGTATGGAGCCATTCACTATACAGCAGGGAACACTGGGTGGGTCTTCCATAGAGAATGGTCTGGCGTGCCCTTCCTGGTCTTTTGTCTTCTCCAAATGCTGACTTAAGAGCTGGCCATGTGCTAGACACTGCTGGGGATCAGAGGTGGGTGGGAAGAGACAGTTCCTACCCCCAGAAGCTCAGGGTCTAGGAGGGAAACAGGTATGTAATTAACAAGTAATTAAATCCCTGGGGACATGCAGAAGGGAACTTCAGGCAGTAAAGTTGTGACCTTAGAGCAGAGTCTTAAAAAGCATTTCACCCAGGTGGACGGGTAAGATGCTGCATGTAAACGGACGAACACATTCAAATCCCAGGAGCAAAGAATTTCATAAAATTCTCCTTTTTTTGAGACAGAGTCTTGCTCTGTCGCCCAGACTGGAGTGCAGTAGCACGATCTCAGCTCACTGCAACCTCTGCCTCCCAGGTTCAAGCGATTCTTGCCCTCAGCCTCCCAAGTAGCTGGAATTACAGGTGCCTACCACCATGCCAGACTAATTTTTGTATTTTTAGTAGAGACGAGGTTTTATCATGTTGGCCAGGCTGGTCTCAAACTCCTGACCTCAGGTGATCTGCCCGCCTCAGCCTCCCAAAGTGCGGGGATTACAGGCGTGAGCCACTGCGTCTGGCCTATGTGTTCTGTTTTAAGACACTCATTTGCATGTCAGCTTGTGCTCTATTCCTGGAGTCCAGATTAAGAGTCCACCAACACGGCTACAACACACCATGGGGCATAGGGGACCCACGAGAGTCTGCCAGGTGGGAACGCGGATACATATGCAGGAGCTGTGGGTGACGCAGCTGGACAATCAAGTGGGGTGAGATTTTGAGGGGCACAAGGGTGCATGGTGCAGGGAGACCCTCATCACCTGAGCAGCGGTCAGGGTGGAAAGAGCACAGGAGGGGGCAGGGAGGAAGAGAACCCTCGGACGTCACTGCTTTCATCCGAGTGAGATGCGCTGGGCAGTGGTTGTGGGTGTCGAGGAGGAGGAGAGGGCGGCTGGAGAGATCAGCGACACACACAGTTGACGTGAGGCCCAGAAGAACCAGGTGAATTGAGGACGGTCCCGGGGATTCCAGATTAGGCAACTGGCAAGGTTTTGCGATGGTGGCCAGGATTGGTTTTGTGAACTGACTAACTGAGCCAGTTTCCTCTAGTGTAGACGTCTGTTCATCAACTATGCTGGACGCATATGCAAAGAGCCTGCCATGGTTGGACTGACTTGTTAGAATATTTAGCTTACCTACACACTTGCTGAGACAACAGATCGCACTTTACAGCCGAAACACGCAAGACTGCACATGTACCAATGTCATACTGGCTCAGGCAAAGGACAGGAAATTATATATTCCGTCTGTCCCCTCCTAGAACTATGCTGTCTCCGATGTTATTACAGAGGCAAAGGATGCGGTTTAATTACAGGGCCTCTCACCTGAGCCACCGGGCAGTTTGTTAAGGGCTGAGAGAGGTCTCCTGATTAAGGATGTGGGGCGCTCAGAACTGGGGGACGATGGCTAGTGGGAGCTGGGCCTAGAAAATCGAACACATAGCAGCCTAGCGCAATGCAAGCATTTCCAACTTCTAACAAGCTGTGCACCAAGATTCCAATTTGAAGTCAATTGTTTGGAACTCAGACACATTTCCACCCCCTCAACCCGATAAGATAAGGCTGTGATTCTGGGCCAGGTGTGGTGGCTCACGCCTGTAATCATAGCACTTTGGGAGCCAGAGACAGGAGGATGGCTTGAGCCCGGGAGTTCAAGACCAGCCTGGGCAAAATAATGAGCTATCTACAAATTAAAATTTAAAAATAAAAATTTTACAAAAAACAAAAAAATTAGCTGGGCGGGGTGGCAATGCACCTGTAATACCAGCTACTTGGGAGGCTGAGGTGGGAGGACTGCCTGAGCCTAGCAGTTCGAGGCTGCAGTGAGCTGTGTTCGTACAACTGCACTCCAGCCTGGGCAACACAGCGAGACCATGTCTCAAATTAAACAACAACAACAACAACAAAAAACAAGGTTGTGAATTTGGTGTTGAGTAGAATCTCAGAACAATATGCAAGGACTTTTTTTTGAGATGGAGGCTCGCTCTGTTGCCCAGGCTGGAGTGCAGTGGCGCAGTCTCAGCTCACTGCAGCCTCCACCTCCCGGGTTCAAACAATTCTCCTGCCTCAGCTTCCCAAGTAGCTGAGACTACAGGAGTGTGCTACCATGCCCAGCTAATTTTTTTTTGTATTTTTAGTGGAGACGGGGTTTCGTCATGTTGGCCAGGCTGGTCTTGAACTCCTGACCTCAGGGGTCAGGCGAGATTACAGGCATGAGCCACCATGCCTTGCCTACAAGGACTATTAATATGACAAGACCATGCCTTGTTTTTAAAATAACCCCCTCCCCCATTATTAGCAACTCATGCTCATTGTGTGATCAGAAAAATATCAAAAATATAGAAAAAAAATTTAAAAGTATAATTGAAATCCTCCACTCACCGGCAGGAGTCAGACTATCAGGTCTTTATTTCTATTTTTTTTTCCTAATTATATAAAAAAAAAATAGAGTTGTGGTCAGGTGCGGTGGCTCACACCTGTAATCCCAGCACTTTGGGAGGCCGAGGTGGGCAGATCATGAGGTCAAGAGTTTAAGACCAGCCTGGTCAAGATGATGAAACCCCATCTCTACTAAAAATATAAAAATTAGCCGGGCATGGTGGCGTGCACCTGTAATCTCAGCTACTCAGGAGGCTGAGGCAGGAGAATTGCTTCATTTGTACTCCGGAGGTGGAGGATGCAGTGAGCTGAGATCACACCACTGTACTCCAGCCTGGCAACAGAGCAAGACTCCGTCTCAAAAAAAAAAAAAAAAAAAAAAGTTACATGAAATGCAGACACACAGGCAAACAAGAGACAGATGTATTATACATTAAGAGTGGTCTCAGACTGGGGGTGGGTGGGAAGGAGGGGCTGGTGGATGCCAACTGAAGGGTGTGGGATTTCCTTTTGGGGTGATGAAAACATTTTACAATTGTCTGTGGTGACAGCTGTGCAACTTTGTGAATATCCTAAAAGTCAATGAACTCCAGACTTTAAATGGGTGAATTATATGGTATGTGAATTATATCTCAATCAAGCTGCTTAAAACGCGTGTGTGTATGTACGTACTTGAAATCAGCCTATACGTAAGATAGTGTGTTGTGTTTTCTTTCCCTGTCGTATCATGTATCTTTCTCAGTATCTATTACAAATTTTGGGAACTGTCTAAATGGCACTGTTTCAACTGTACCTAAGCCCACATATTATAGATGTCTAGAGTAAGCAACGGATTTGGAGTTGCTTCTCCAGATGAATTGGAACGCAACCTGGGGCTCTTCTAAGAGAGGCAGGTGGGTAGCAGAGTCTGTCCAGGAAGCTGGGCAGACGCCCTGGCTGCTGTCCGTACCGCTTGATGGCCACACAGAGGCTTCTCTTTCTGGCTTAGGATCTGCCTAGGGAGGGCCCCTCACTTCCGAGGTATTCCGACTCAGGGTACCGGGTGGCTGCGTCTCCTGGAGGCAAGGGCTGGGATCTGGAAGGATCCTGAACTCTGTCCTCCTGTCTCCTGTTTGGGTTATTCCCCAGGATGTGGGGTTTGGTAATTTGCACGGCACACTTCGGGGCTATAATGGGTTGAATTGTGTCTCTTGAAAGATGATGAAGTCCTGACCCCCAATACCTGTGAAGGTGACCTTATTTGGAGCTAGGGTCTCTGCAGGTGATCAAGGTAAGGCAAGGTCATTAGCCTGGGCCCTCGTCCAGTTGGATCCAATAAGGAGGAGAAACCTGGACACAGAAACAGACATGTAGACAGGTAGGATGTCACAGAGCGATGAAGGAGAGACTGGGCTGATGATCTACAAAGAAGAAGATGACCAGGAAACCACCAGAAGCTGGGACAGGGACACAGTAGATTCTCCCCTACAGCCAGCAGAAGGAACCAGCCCCGTGGACATCGGGGTTTTAAAACCACTCCACTGAGCCGGGCGTGGTGGCTGACACATGTAATCCCAGCACTTTGGGAGGCCAAGGCAGGTGGATCACAAGGTCAGGAGATGCAGACCAGCCTGGTCAACATGGTGAAACCCTGTCTCTACTAAAAATACAAAAATTAGCTGGGCATGGTGGCAGGCGCCTGTAATGCCAGCTACTCAGGAGGCTGAGACAGGAGAATTGCTTGAACCCAGGAGGCGGAGGTTGCAGTGAGCCGAGATCACGCCACTGCACTCCAGCCTGGCGACAGAGCGAGACTCCATCTCAGAACAAAACAAAAAAAAAACCACTCCACGTGTATCCATGTCATTTTATCTAAACCGGCATAAAAACCAAAAACCCCAGTGTTCCTCCACTCATCAGAGCTGTATCACAGGGACCAAGACTCTCAGTCCTCTCCCCGTGCCCTCTTCCACTAACACAGGGAAATTCCAGCCCAGTCCTGAGGAACACGGTCAGGCCGATGAGTTTAATGAATTCAGTATGCAAATGGACCATGAGGTTTCTTAAAAGAGATGACTTAAAAGATCCTTTTCTAAATGATAAAGTCCCCTCCGCTCCGCAGACAAGAATGGGCCTCAAGGCTGGGCGCAGTGGCTCAGGCCTGTAATCCCAACAATTTAGGAAATGGAGGCAGGAGTTCAAGACCAGCCTGGGCAGCAGAGTGAGACCCTATCTCTACCAAAAATAAAAATTAGCTGGGCATGGTGGCATGCACCTGTAATCCCAGCACTTTGGGAAACTGAGGTGGGAGGAGGGCTTGAGCCTAGGAATTCAAGACCAGCTTGGGCAGCATAGTGAGACCCTATCTCTACAAAAAAATACAAATTAGACAGGCACGGTGGTACACGCCTGTAGTCCCAGCTCCTCGGAGGCTGAGGTGGGAGGATCGCTTGGGCCCAGGGGTTCAAGGCTGGAGTGAGCTATGATTGAGCCACTGCACTCCAGCCTGGATGACCAAGTGAGACCCTGTCTTAAAAAAAAACAACCAGAATGACCCTGAAGTTGGAGTTTAGTCCATCCTCCCTCTGCAGCTCACCCAGTCTGTGGTAGGTTGTCCCTTTGTGTGACTTCCCTGCTGCAGCCAGTGACTTCCTAGTTCCGTGCTTTGCTTACTTGGAACACCCTTCGCTAACCTCTCCGTCCACTCAAAACCTATCTATGCTGCAAGACCCAATGCACACATCACTTCCTCCAGACCTCGAGCTGGGTTCCTGGGCTGTTCTGAGTCTAGAGGGAGGGAGGGAGCCTGGGCTTTGACTGCCAGCCCCACCTCCTCTGCACGAGGAGGGGACAGCAGCAGCCTCCAGGGCCTGGACGAGTCACTGACCTACCCTGGCAAGGGCCCCAGTACCAGACACAACACAGTGACTCTGCCACACAGAACAGCTTCCCCCCAGGTGTCCACATGGCTACCAGCCAGGAAGAGCATCCGTGGGAGGGAGGGAGGAAGGGACAGTGTCCTGCTCACCTTCATGCCCCCCACACACCCGCCTGACTCCCTGCAGGGAGCTCAGCCCATCCACTGCATGCCTTGGAGGTACAAGCCAAGGCTTGGTAACACAGCTCCCTCTGAGAAGGGGAGGGATCTGTGAATGAGCAAACGTCTAAGGTGAGGTCTTAAGGCAAGAATTGCTGAAGAGAGAATCCTAGGCTAGAATTCCAGCTACCTCGTGCCTGCCTGCACGTTAGCTTGAGGTAGGTACCGTGCCCTTAAAACCATTTAGAGCCGGCACCGTTGCTCATGCCTGTAATCCCAGCACTTTGGGAGGCCAAGGTGGGAGAGTCGCTTGAGCCCAGGAGTTCAAGACCAACCTGGGCAACACAGCAAAACTCCGTTTCACACACACTCTCACACAGACACAAAACTATTTGGAAGAAGCTAAACCAGGACGGATCTAGAGACGGTTAGACACTGGCCTGCAGCCTTGGGTAAAACCTGTCCTGCTCTGAGGGATCAGCCTCTTTTTCAGGCTCACCTCCTGCCATGCCTCACACTCCTGCCACACCCAGTCACTCCCAGTTCCCAGAACACATGAGCAATTTCCCCTCCGCCTGGAAGGCGCCTCCCAGGAATGCTACCCTGATCTGCAGGCTCAGAGCAGCTCCATCTCCCAGCCGCGGCCCCTCCCACCACCACCTGGGGCTGTCCTGGAGTTCTAGGATGACAGATAAGGCTGCCTGACTCAGGGATACTGAATTCCTGGAAAACTAAGCTGTAGCATCAACTGTTTTTCCTCCCGACCACGGGCACGCAGTGGGTGTTTAATATGCTTTTAATATCTTCCGCAATGGCCAACTGCATGGTCTGCAGATGTGACCCAAGGGTTCAGGAATCCAGGTTTAAATATTTATGAAAATGCTCAATATGTAAAGGGTTCTTGACAAGGCACGGTGGCTCACGCCTGTAATCCCAGCACTTTGGGAGGCCAAGGTGGGTGGATCACTTGAGGTCAGGAGTTCGAGACCAGCCTGGCCAACATGGTGAAACCTCGTCTCTCTTGACTAAAACTATAAAAATTAGCTGGGTGTGGTGGCAGGCGCCTGTAATTCCAGCTACTTGGGAGGCTGAGGCAGGAGAATGGCGTGAACTCGGGAGGCCGCGCTTGCAGTGAGCCAAGATCGTGCCATTGCACTTCAGCCTGGGCGACAGAGTGAGACTCCGTCTCAAAAAAAAAAAAAAAAAAAAAAAGAAAAGGAAATACTTAATATGTAAAGAGTTCTCTGTGTAGTAAGCATCTGTTTTGTGTGCTGTGAGATGATGACAGCCACTTGGCTGGCAGTAGCTCCTGGGAGGTGTCTTTCTCCACTGTACACACCCAACAGCGCTCTCCAGCTGTCTTCCTGCAGTGACCCGCACATCTGCACTAATGGCCGCTACTGGATTCCACGGTTATGTTTTCAGCAACATCACTTTCATAAGGCTGAGTTTTTTTTTTTTTAATGTAGTGTTACATTTATTTATTTATTTAGAGACGGAATCTCGCTCTGTCACCCAGGCTGGAGTGCAATGGTGCGATCTTGGCTCACTGCAACCTCCCCGCCCAGGTTCAAGAGATTCTTCTGTATCAGCTTCCCGAGTAGCTGGGATTACAGGTGCCTGCCACCATGCCCAGCTAATTTTCGTATTTTTAATAGAGACGGGGTTTCTCCATGTTGGCCAGGCTGGTCTTGAACTCCCGACCTCAGGTGATCCGCCCGCCTCGGCCTCCCAAAGTGCTGGGATTACAGGCATGAGCCACCGCACCCGGCTAAGTGTTACATTTAAAGACAAATGTGTAGTGCAGTGGCTCACGCCTATAATCCCAGCACTTTGGGAGGCCAAGGTGGGAGGATCGTTTGAGTGCAGGAGTTCGAGATCAACCTGGGCAGTGTAGCAAGATCCTGTCTCTACAAAAAATAAAAAATTGGCTGGGTGGGTGTGGTGGTGTATGCCTGTGGTCCCACCTCTTTGGGAGGATCCCTTGAGCTCAGGAGGTCAAGGCTCCAATGAGCTATGATTGCACCACTGCACTCCAGCCTGGGTGACAGTGAGACCCTGTCTCAAATAAAATAAGAGAAAGACAAATGTCTATAGGAAGGTATTTTAATCTAGCTCTCAATCAGTATCCGCTTATGATAGTATAAAAACTCAGTCTAGGTTTAGAAAACAAGTTTCATAGAAATCCACCAGATCTCTGAGATATGGAAGGGGTGAGAAAGTGCCCAACCATGTGAGTGCCAGCACGGCTGTGCTGTGGGTTCCCGGAGTCACATGGAATATGCTGCTGCCGCTCCCAACTACCATCTAGGCTCCCTGGAGGAGGCGTCACACATCGCTGCCCACTGCCACGTGACTTGTGGTGTAACAGCAACTTCCCCCTGGGTGCTTTCCCTCCTCAGTGATGTCAGGCATAGCCACACGAAATGCTTTGGCCAATGGTATGTAAGTGATGGTGTCTTATCTGAGCATTAAGATTTAAGAGCCAGTGTGCTCCCTCCCTCTGCTGCAAGGACCTTATAGGACCTACTTCCTCCACTGAGATCCTAGAATGAGGACCACCCACGGGGCTGGGGCACAGTCACAGCCAGCCCTAGTCAACATGACACATGAACAAGAAATGATCTTTGGTTGCCACAGGCCACTGAGATTTGTAGCAGTTTGTTTGTTACTGCAGCATAATCTAGTAAAAGCTGATGGTTACAGATCTCACGAGTTGGCCATATCTCTAAGAGAGTAACATACAGTGCCGGGCACAGTGGCTCACTCCTGAGCTCAAGTGATCTACCCGCCTCAGCCTTCCGAAGTGCTGGGATTACAGGCATGAGCCACTGTGACCGGCCAAGAAGTGCTGTGTATTTTGAAATAAAAAAGGCTCATCTCTCCACTGCACCACAGGGGCCTGGCCATGCCCATGTGGTAGGCAAGTCCACGCCACACACAGCCAAGGGCCTGGGCATGCTGTTGGCACATGAGGGTTTGATTTCCAGCTCCAACATAAAACAGGTGCTCTGCCTGAACCATTGAATTAACCTCTCTGGGCCTCAGTTTTTTCATCTGCAAAGTGGGGAGATACATCTTGGTTGCTGTCAAGATCAAAGCCGTGGCAGCCCTTGGAAAACAGTGAAGGAACCGCCGTCTCACCAGCTTCATTTCTCAGACGCAGAAACCCACCAAGTTACTTGGACCCTGGCTCCTGGCCCCTCCTAGGGATATGATAACATCCAGCATTGCGCACTGGGGCTGGGGGCCACATGGTCAATGGAAAGAGTGTGTGGTTTGATCAAAAGACAGACTTGGGTTTGAATCCTAGTTCCAGCACACACTGGCTGGGTGACCGGGAGGCAGGTTACTTAAATGCTGAAGTCTTTGGCTGGGCACAGTGACTCACGCCTGTAAATCCCAGCACTTTGGGAGGCCAAAGCAGATGGATCACCTGAGGTCAGGAGTTCGAGACCAGCCTGGCCAACATGGTGAAACCTGTCTCTATTGAAAATACAAAAATTAGCCAGGCATGGTGGTGGACACCTGTAATCCCAGCTACTGGGGAGGCTGGGGCAGGAGAATCACTGGAACCCTGGAGGCGGAGGTTGCAGTGAGCTGAGATCATGCCACTGCACTCTAGCCTGGGCTAGAGTGAGACACAGTGAGAGTCTGTCTCCAAAAAAAAAAAAAAAAAAAAAAGGCCAGGCGCGGTGGTTCACACCTGTAATCGCAGTGCTTTTGGAGGCTGAGGTGGGCAGATCACAAGGTCAGGAATTCAAGACCAGCCTGGCCAACATGGTGAAACCCCATCTCTACTAAAAATACAAAAAATCAGCCAGGTGTGGTGGCAGGCACCTGTAATCCCAGCTATTTGGGAGGCTGAGGCAGGAGAATTGCTTGAACCCAGAAGGTGGAGGTTGCAGTGACCCAAGACCATGCCACTGCACTCCAGGACTGGGCAGCAAAGTGTGTGTGTGTGTGTGTGTGTGTGTGTGTGTGTGTTTATTTGTGTGTGTGTATATATATATATGTATATATGTGTGTGTGTATATATATACTGAAGCCTTGATCTCTTCGTCCATTAAGTGAGGGTAGTAACTCCCTCCTTGTTGAGCTGTTGTGATTATAAATGTGGGAACCTCCTACATTAAGTATCTGACACCATCTGGATAGAAACCGGGTCAACAGCACTAACCTTCGCTAATAAATCCAAAGTCAGCACCTTTCTTTCCACCACACCATAGGTTATTCCCCGTCGTGATCAAATCAAGCAGGAAGCCAAGATGTGGAAAGTCCTGGAGGACCAGGACCCTAAGCAACATTTTTTTTTTTTGAGACAGAGTCTCGCTCTGTCTCCCAGGCTGGAGTGCAGTGGTGTGATCTCGGCTCACTGCAAGCTCCGCCTCCCAGGTTCACACCATTCTCCCGCCTGAGCCTCCCAAGTAGCTAGGACTACAGGCGCCCACTACCACGCCCAGCTACTTTTTTTGTATTTTTTTAGTAAAGACAGGGTTTCACCATGTTAGCCAGGATGGTCTCGATCCCCTGACCTCATGATCCGCCCACCTCGGCCTCCCAAAGTGCTGGGATTACAGGCGTGAGCCACTGCGCCTGGCCCCTAAGCAACATTTAAGACCACAGTGAAGACGGCATATTCAAGAACAATCCACTAGCCTCTATGCCCTGGGAGTTTACAAGCTAATGATTTAGAAATAAACACAGGCCATTAAAAGAATTTTCAAATCGATGAGCTCTGTCGGACTATAGGACAATAAAAATCAACAAAACTGCAGGGATATGATAGGGTAGTTTTGTCTCACTCGAAGTCTGGCTGTAGAATGTTTTCAAGAGCAAAGCATGGTTTGAAGGGCCACATTAAACACTAGAAGTCAGCTAAGACTGAGTCGGATGCTGTCCAAAACAGACACGTACGCAGGCCAAATCTTGAGGGTTTTAAATTTTTTTTTTTTTTTTTTTTTGAGATGAAGTCTCACTCTGTCACTCAGGCTGGAGTGAGGTGGCACGATCTCAGCTCACTGCAACCTCCACCTCCCGGGTTCAAGTGATTCTCCTGCCTTAGCCTCCCGAGTAGCTGGGACTACAGGCACCTGCCACCACGCCCAGCTAATTTTTGTATTTTTAGTAGATGGGGTTTCACCACGTTGGCCAGGCTGGTCTCGAACTCCTGACCTCAAGTGATCCACCCGCCTTGGCCTCCCAAAGTGCTGGGATTACAGGTGTGAGCCACTGTACCCGGTCCCACTTAGTAAAGTTTCTAAGAGGAAAACTAGAGAGGCCCCGAAGAAGCCGCTGGCTTGGAGAAAGGGTGTGGGATCCATAGAGGAGATTTGTGGCAGGGGACAGCACAAGATTAAAAGCCAAGATGATAAAAACAGCAACAAGCATCTCTATTCTCCTTGAGTTTACAAAGCCCTTCCAAGTACATCTGCCATTCTGGCTGTCAACATCTATCTGAAAGGCTGTCTTGGGGAAGAAAGATTAGCTGTCTTCTCTCTCCCCACAGTGCAAAACCAGCATGAGCAGGTAAATGCTCCAGGACAGCAGATCACAGCTTAGACAACAGGGAAACCTGCCTGCAGCAGGCTCTTCAGAGGAAGGAGGTGCTGGCTGCTTGCTCACCCCCGCTTCACTTCTTCCTTCATTCTGTCAATAAAGTCATTTAAGGAGGCTAAGATGTGCTAGGCTATGTTCTATTCCAGCCTATGGGAGACACAGATTCCTACTGCTGCTCCCAAAAAGTTTAAGATGGGGTAATGCTCCCCTCTCCTACCTCCCTCGGGTAAATCCCGGTGGGGGAGTGGGGCAGGCTTCCTAGGGGATAAATGCCTACCTGAGATTTTCACATCACCATTGTTGTGAGTAGATAATATATGTGTACAATAAAAAAATTGTAGATGTATAAAAACATACACATTCAGCAAGACTTTCACAATGCAAGATCAATATACGGGTATACCTCAAAGATAATGCAGGTTTGGTTCCAGACCACCATAAGAAAGTAAAAACAGACCAGGTACGGTGGCTCACACTTGTAATCCTAGCACTTTGGGAGGCTGAGAAAGGCAGATCACCTGAGGTCAGGAGTTTGAGACCAGCCTGGCCACCATCGTGAAACCCTGTCTCTACTAAAAATACAAAAAAAAAAAAATTAGCCAGGTGTAGTGGCACATGCCTGCTAATTCCAGCTACTCGGGAGGCTGAGGCATGAGAATCGCTTGAACCCTGGAGGTGGAGGTTGCAGTGAGCCGAGATTGTGCCACTGTACTCCAGCCTGAGTGACGGAGACTGTCTCAAAAATAGAACAAAAAAGGCAAATATGACAAAAAGAGCAAATATTGCAATGAAGCAAGTCACATAAATTTTTTGATTTTCCAGTGAATATAAAAGTTATGTTTGTATCATAGTCTATTAAGTATGTAATAGCTCTATGTCTCAAAAATGTACATATCTTAATTAAAAAATGCTTTATTGCCAAAATATGCTAACGATTATCTGAGCTTTCAGGGAGTTGTAATCTTTTTGCTGGTGGAGAGTCTTGCCTTGGTGTTGGATGGCTGCTAGACTGATCAGGGTTGTGGTTACTGAAGCTTGGGGTGACTGTGGCAATTTGTTAAGGCAACAATGAAATTGGCTAGCTTGATTGACTCTTTCGTTAACACAAGATTTCTGTGTATCATGCATTGCTGTTTGATAGATTTTTACCCACAGTAGAACTTCTTAAAAAATAGGAGTCAATCCTCTCAAACCCAGTCACTGCTTTATCAACTCAGTTTATGGAATATTCTAAATCCTTTGTTGTCATTTCAACAATATTCACAGCATCTTCACCAAGAGTAGTTTCCATCTCAAGAAACCACTTTCTTTGCTCATCATAAGAAGCAACCCCTCATCCATTCAAGTTTGATCATGAGGTTGCAGCAATTCAGTCACATCTTCAGGCTCCATTTCTAATTCTAGTTCTCTTGCTATTTCCCCCGCATCTGCAGTTCCTTCCTCCACTGAAGCCTTGAACCCCTCAAAGTCATCCATGAGGGTTGGAATCCATTTCTTCCAAACTCCTGTTCATGTTGCTATTTCAACCCCCTCCCATGAATCACAAATGTTCTTCATGGAATCTAAAATGGTGACTCCTTTCCAGAAGGAAAGGATTTCTATTTAATTTGCCTAGATCTATCAGAGGAATCACCATCTATGGCAGCTATAGCCTTACAAAATGTATTTCTTAAAAAATAAGACTTGAGTGTCAGAATTACTCCCTGATCCATGTGCTGTAGAATGCAGGTTGTGTTAGCAGGCATGGAAACAACATTCATCTTGTACATCTCCACCAGAGCTCTTGTTGACCAGGTGCACTGTCAATGAGCAGTCATATTTTGAAAAGAACCTTTCGGCTAGGCGCGGTGGCTCATGCCTGTAATCCCAGCACTTTGGGAGGCTGCGGCGGGCGGATCACGAGGTCAGGAGATCGAGACCATCCTGGCTAACACAGTGAAACTCCATCTCTAATAAAAATACAAAAAATTAGCCAGGCGTGGTAGCACACACCTGTAATCCCAGCTACTCGGGAGGCTGAGGCAGGAGAATCACTTGAACCCAGGAGGCAGAGGTTGCAGTGAGCCGAGATCGCACCACTAGACTCCAGCCTGGGTGACAGAGCGAGACTCTGTCTCAAAAAAAAAAAACCAGAAAACAAAAAACAAAAAACAAAAAATCTTTTTATCAGCCGAGTGTGGTGGCTCATGCCTGTAATCCCAGTACTTTGGGAGGCTGAGGCAGGCGGATCACGAGGTCAGGAGTTCAAGACTGGCCTGGCCAACATAGTGAAACCCCATCTCTTCTAAAAATACAAAAAGTAGCCGAGCATGGTGGTGGGAGCCTGTAATCCCAGCTACTCAGGAGGCTAAGGCAGAAGAATCACTTGAATTTGGGAAGCAGAGGTTGCAGTGTGCTGAAGTCATGCCATTGCACTTCAGCCTGGGTGACAAGAGCAAGACTGTCTCAGAAAAGAAAAGAACCTTTTTTTATTCTGGGCAGTAGGTCTCAACAGTGTGCTTAAAATATTCAGTAAAACATGCTATAAACAGATGCTGTGATCTAGGCTTTATGATTCCATTTCTAGTGCACAGGCAGAGTAGGTGTAGCTTAATTCTGAAGGCCCTAGGATTTTTCCGAATGGTAAATGAGCAATGGCTTCAACTTCAAGTCACCAGCTGCATTATCCCCTAACGAGAGTCGGCCTGCATTTGGAAGCTTTAAAGACAAGACACTGACTTCTCTTTACCTATGCAAGTCCTAGATTATATCTTCTTCCAAGAGAAGGTTATTTTACCTACATTGAAAATCTGTTGTGTAGCGCCATCATCTTCGTTGATTATCTTAGCTAGATCTCCTGGATAACTTGCTGCAGCTTCCACCAAAGCATTTGCTGCTTTACTTTGCACTTTTGTATTATGGAGATAAATTCTTTCCTTAAACATCATGAATCAACCTCCGCTAGCTTCCAACTTTTATTCGGTAGCTTCCCCACCTCTGTCAGCCTTCATAGAATTGAAGAGTCAGGGCTTTGGCTTGAGACAATTAAGACCCAATTAAGAGAATTAGACTTTGGCTTAAGAGAATGTTGTGGCTGGTTTGATCGTCTATGCAGATCACCAAAATTTTCTCCCTATCAGAAATAAGGCTTTCTTATCATTCATGTGTTCACTGGAGCAGCACTTTTCATATCCTTGATGAACTTTTCCTTTGCACTAATGACTGGGCTAACTGGTGCAAGAAGTCCAGCTTTTAACCTACCTCAGCTTTCAACACGCCTTTCTCACTGAGCTTAATCATTTCTAGCTTTTGACTTAAAGTGAAAGACATGTGACTGTTCCTTTCACTTAATAGGCCATTGCAGGATTATTAATTTGCCTAATTTCAATATTGTTGTGTCTCAAGAAATAGGGAAACCCAAAGACAGGAAGAGATGGGAAACAGCTGGTTGGTGGAGTAGTCAGAACACACACAATATTTATCAATTAAGTCTGCCATCTTATATGGGGCACAGTTTGTGGTGTCCCCAAACAATTATGATAGTAATATCAAAGCTCCCTGACTGCAGATCACCATATCAGATATAATAATAGTGAATAATTGGAAATATTGTGGGAATTACCAAAGTGTGACAAAGAGAAAGGAAGTGAGCACCTGCAGTTGGAAAAATAATGCTGACACACTTGTTTGACTCAGGGTTGCTACAGACTTCCATTTTTGAAGAAACACACTATCTTCAAAGCATAAAAAAGTGGAGCTCAATGCAACAAAGTATCCCTGTAAAAAAACATTTGTCTTTCTACATGTTTGCAATAAATGATCTGAAAGTGAAAGTAAAAAAAAAAAATCCATTTATAATAGCATCACAAAAAGTATAAAATACTTACGAATAAATTTGGCAAAAGAAATACAAAACTTGTGCTCTAAAAACCACAAAACACTGCTGAAAGACACTAAACTAAATGGAAAGATGGCCAATGCTTATGGATTGGAAGACTTAATATTTTTAAGATGGCAATAGTCACGAAGTTGATTTACACATTCAAGGTAATGCCTATCAAAATTCCAGCTGGCTTTTTTTTTTTTGGAGACAGGGTCTCACTCTGTCACTCTGGTTGGAGTGCACTGTCACAACCTCAGCTCACTGCAACCTCCAATTCCCAGGCTGAAGTGATCCTCCTGCCACAGCCTCCGGAGTAACTGAGACTACAGGAACGCGCCACCATGCTTGGCTAATCTTTAACTTTTTTCTTGTAGAGATGAGATCTCATTATATTGTCCAGGCTGGTCTTGAATTATTAGGTTCAAGTGATCCTCCCGTCTTGGCCTCCCAAAGTGTTAGAATCACAGACAAGAGCCCCTGTGCCTAGACCCAGCTGGCTTCTTTGCAGAAATTGACAAGTTGATTCTAAGATTCATATGAAAATGCAATGACCCCAAATAACCAAAATAATTTTGAAAAAGGAAACAAGGTTGGAGGAGTCACACTTCCCAATTTCAATACTAAATACAAAACTACATTGACCTGAACTGGTAGGGGCATAAGGATAAACACACAGATCAATACAGCCCAGAAAGGAACCCTCATATTATGATCAACTGATTTTTGACAAGAGTGACATGACAATTCAAGGGTAAAAGAACAGTGTTTCAACAAATGTTGCTGGGACGACCAGATATCCACATGCAAAAGAGCAAAGTTTGATCCCTACCTCACACCATATGCAAAAATTAACTCAAAATAAATCAAAGACCAAAATATATGAGCTAAAACTATAAAACCTCTTAAAAGAAAACACAGGTGTAAACCTTTATGACCTTGGATTAGGCAATGGTTTCTTAGGTATGATGCCAAAAGCACAAATACCAGAAGAAAAATCGACAAATTGGATTTCATCAAATATAAAACTTCTGCGCTTCTAAAGACGCTACCAAGAAACTGAAAAGAGAGGCTGGGTGCAGTGGCTTACACCTGTAATCCCAGCACTTTGGGAGGCTGAGGCAGGTGGATCACCTGAGGTCAGGAGTTCGGGACCAGCCTGGCCAACATGGCGAAACTCTGTTTCTACTAAAAATACAAAAATTAGCTGGGCATGGTGGCACACACAACTGTGATCCCAGCTACTCAGGAGTCTGAGGCAGGAGAATGGCTCAAACCTGGGAGGCACAGGTTGCAGTGAGCCGAGATCGTGACACTGCAGCCACCCTGGGCAACAGGGTGAGACTCTGTCTCAAAAAAAAAAAAAAAAAAAAAAGTGAGAAGACAACCCACAGAATGGAAGTTTTGAAAAGATACTCCAGAATATATAAGCCCTCTTACAACTCATTAAATAAAAAAACAATTAGCCAGGCATAGAAAGACAAACATCTCATATTCTGACATATTTGTGGGATATAAACATAAAAACAATTTTTAACTCTTGGACATAGAAAGTAGAAGGATGGTTACCAGAGGCTGGGAGGGGTAGTGGGGCTGGAAAGGTGGTATGGTTAATGGGTACCAAAAAAGCCAGGAGGAATGAATTAAGACCTATTATTTGATAGCACGACAGGGTGATTACAGTCAATAACTTAATTGTACATTTAAAAGCAATTAAAGAAGTATAATCGGATTATTTGTAACACAAAGGATAAATGCTTCAGGTGATGGATACTCCATTTCCATATGAGATTATTACACGTAGCATGCCTGTATCAAAACATCTCATGTGCTCCACCCCATAAATATATATATACATCCCCACAAAAATTAAAAATATTTAATAAAAGTAACTGAATTAGAATATGGGCAAAGGATATGAATAGATGTTTCTCCAAAGATACAAATGGCCAATAGGCACATGAAAAGATGCTCAATGCCAATACTCATTAGGGAAATGCAAATCAAAACCACAATGAGATACCACAACATCCACTGGGATGACTAGCATCAAAAAGACATATAATGGGGCCGGCTGCGGTGGCTCACGCCTATAATCCCAGCACTTTAGGAGGCCGAGGCGGGCAGATCACCTGAGGTCAGGAGTTCGAGACCAGCCTGGCCAACATGGTGAAACCCTGTCTCCACTAAAAATACAAAAAAATTAGCTGGGCATGGTGGCACGTGCCTGTAATCCCAGCTACTCAGGAGGCCGAGGCAGGAGAATCGCTTGAACCTGCGAGGCAGAGGTTGCACTGAGCCGAGATCACACTACCGCATTCCAGCCTGGGCAAGAGAGCGAGACCCTGTCTCCCAAAAAAAAGATGATACTAAGTGTTAGAAAGGATGTCGAGAAACTGAACTGGAACCCTCCTACATTGCTGACAGAAATGTAAAATTACACAGCCACCTTGGAAAACAGTTTGGCCATTCCTCAAAATGTTAAAAATAGAGTTACCCTATTACTCAGCAATTCTACTCCTAGGTAGGCAAGAAAGACAAAAGTGTTTACCTGCACAAAAACTTATGTATATGGATGTTCATAGAAGCATTATTCATAATAGCCAAAAAGTGGGGAAACAAAACTCCAAATGGCCATCAGCTGATAATTGGATAAATAAAACATGGGACATCCATACAATGGAATATTATTCAGCCATAAAAAGAATGAAAGCAAGTACTGGTATATGCTACAGCATAGATGAATATCGAAACCATGGTTAAGTAAAAGAAGCCGGGAACAAAAAACTAATATATTATTTGATCTCATTGATATGAAATGTTAAGAATGGCCAAATCTACAGAGACATGGGGGGAATGGCCAAATCTACAGAAGGGGGATTCATGGTTGCCAAGGGTTGGGGTTGGGATAAATGAGGAGTGACCACTAATGGGTATTACGTTTCTTTCTTTCTTTTTAGATGGAGTCTCACTCTGTTACCCAGGCTGGAGTGCAGTGGTGCAATCTCGGCTTACTGCAACCTCTGCCTCCCAGGTTCAAGTGATTCTCCTGCCTCAGTCTCCTGAGTAGCTGGGATTACAGGCGCCCACCACCACGCTTGGCTAATTTTTTTGTACTTCGTTTTTTTAGTAGAGACGGGGTTTCGCCATGTTGGCCAGGCTGTTCTCAAACTCCTGACCTCAAGTGACCTGCCTGACTTGGCCTCCCAAAGTGCTGGGATTACAGATGTGAGCCACCGCGCCCGGCCAGTATGAGGTTTCTTTTTGAGCTGACGAAAATGTTCTGGAATTAGGGTGATGGCTGCATGACTTGGTGAATACACTAAAAGTCATTTAATTGTAAAAAGAAAAGCAAAGCGAAAACAAAGTTGACAGTGAAAAGTAGGTCTTCCTCCCATCCACATCCACCTGTCATCCAGCTGCCTGGTCTGGAGGTAAAGATAGTCTTGGGCATCCTCCCAGAGGTATTTATGCATTTACAAGCACCTATAGACATGCACTGTGTTCCTTTTTTTTTTTTTTTGAGACAGAGTCTCGCTCTGTCACCCAGGCTGGAGTGCAGAGGCACGATCTTGGCTCACTGCAACCTCTGCCTCCCAGGTTCAAACGATTCTGCTGCCTCTGATTTTCCTACCCTAAGTAGCTGGGACTACAGTTGCGCACCATCATGCCTGGCTAATTTTCTGTATTTTGGTAAAGACGGGCTTTCAACATGTTGGCCAGGCTGGTCTCAAACTCCTGAGCTCAGGTGATACGCCCGCGTCAGTCTCTCAAAGTGTTGGGATTACAGGCATGAGCCACTGCGCCCGGCCCTATTTTTTTTTTTTTCAAACACAAATGATAGTCTATTAGATGCTGCTCTACATCCTGTGTTTTGCAAACTTAGGGCAAGTTTTAAAGAAGACAAAGATCATCTTTATTCGTGGTGGGAGGCAGAAGGCTTCAGTGGGGAGAGGAGGGCTATTCAAAGACACAGAGACGTGTTCAAACAAAGTGGCCTGCTCAGAGAAGGGCAGGGACCTGCCGTGCCTTGGAGCAGAGGAGGTGACTGGGGATACGTGAGGTGAGGAGGCAGGCAGGGGCCAGCCTGTGGAGGGAGGTGCAAGGGACCACGCCCGGGGTGGGGGCAGCTTATGCTGAAGGGGAATCCCTGAGGATGTCAATCAGGGTGGGAAATGAAGCGATCACTCAGGACAGGATGGCAACTGGTGGTAGACAGACCAGACCAGGAAAGAGAGGGAGAAAGCCAACTGCTGGGAAGGAGGGAGCTGATTCCAGCGAGGTTAGGGAAATAGAATTCACAGGGTCTTAGCAGGGAGTGGTGGCATGTGCCCATAGTCCCAGCTACTCGAGAGGTTGAGGCGGGAGGATCACTTGAGCCCGGGAATTTGAGGCTGCAGTGAGCTATGATCACACAAATGCACTCCAGCCTGGGCAGCAGAGCGAGAGCCCAACACAACAGTAAATAATAATAATAATAATAATAATAATAAAAAGAATTCACAGGGTCTAATACTGAACATAGCTTCTCCCAGAGTTCTGGCCAGGGCAACTAGGGGCTGGTTACCTCTCCCGAAATGGGGCATACGCAGGTGCCTGTGTTTACATGGGAAATGAAGATTATTAGTTAGCGAGGTACCCACAGTGGGAGCCCCAGGGAGGCCTGGCGTTGGATGACGGGCCCAGGCCAGAGGCAAAAATTTGGAACCACCAGCCCCAAACGGCCCAGATGAGGTTACTCTGGAGTGTGGATGGGACAGAGATACAGGGAAAGCCCCAGAAGGTTAAATCCTGGGGACTACGGCTATTGAAGAAGTTAAAGGACCTAGAGGATCCTATAATCAATAACTAGCTACCAGCTCCCATCCAGCACTGCTTTTATGCCATCATCTTTAAACATGTGCATATAACGTCGCTGCTCTGCGAGAGAGATTTCCTGTTATATGGATGGGACAGAGAAGCGGACATGAGATATTCAAGGTCACGCTGGCAAATGATGATGTCAGGATTCAAATCCAGATCTGACTCCAAGATCAGTGATTTGTCAGTTTGGTTTTCTCCGCTCCTTTAAGCAGGAACCCAGGAGAAAATTCAGGAGACGGTGTGAAAAGGGAAGCAGTGTCTACACCCCGGGAGTCTGCTCCTATCAGGGGGGTGTTCTGGTCCACAGTGGCAGCTCCTCAGTAGGGACGGCAGGAATGCTCCCAGCCAGATTCCTGAGCCCTCCTCGTGCCTGCGCTGGGACAAGACTGTTCCTAGAGCGGCAGCCCTTATCTGCTGATGTGTGCTCTGTGGGGATGCCTGGTCCCACATCTCAGGGCCAGACTTGCTCTCCTAAGTCCCCAAACATCAAGGGGCTCCCTGAAAAGCAAAGCTTTTTCCCAGGGCAGGCCTGCGGTCATTCCTCCCACAGCCCTAGGAACCAGTTTCTCTCCCTTCCTATGTACCCATGGATCATTTCATGGGTTTCCGTTTTTCTTTTTTTGTTTTTGTTTTTTTTGGTAGAGATGGGATCTCACTATGTTGCCCCAGCTGGACTCAAACTCCTGGGCTCAAGTGATCCTCCTGCCTCGGCCTCTCCATCACACCTGGGATTACAGGTGTGAGCCACCGCATCCAACTGGTTTCTCTTTTCTTGTTATGCTGGAAGACAGTGTAATCTCACAGGTTCCCCCTCTTCTCCTACTTCTAAATCAATTATAAGACACTCTTCAGGCTTTACAGAATAAGCATGGGCTTCGGAGTTCGACATCAGAGTCCAAGTTTCAGCTCAAGGCTGACAAGCTCCAAGGAAGTTACTTGATCTCTCTGGGCCCATTTACTCCTCTCCCCTCCGGGCTGAGCTGCTGTGCAGATGAAATGGCAGAACGGAACGAAGCTTCTGGCACGCAGCTGTTGCTGAAGGGATGCTCTTCTCAGCCTCCTTCATCTGCCCAAAGGGCTGCGCTGAGTCTGCTGTATTTCAGAGGAAATTTCTCCGAGTGAGTCTCTATTTCTTACTATCAGTGAACCATGGCAGGCCTTTCCCAGCTCCTGCCCCCAGTACTGTGTCCCCCTAGGTCCTTGTAGGTGGTCCAAGAAAAGAGGCAGGGGACAAGGCCAAAGAACAGCAGCAAAGCAGGGGAGGCCTATTCCATCCCCCAGCGAGGAAGGATCTCGGTGACCGCTGGCCCACCTGGCTGGACTTAGAAGGCTCAGGAAGTTTATACTTAGAGGGGAACAGATGAAACAGACATGGAGCTCATGTTTGTTTGTTTGTTTTTTTGAGATAGAGTCTCGCTCTGTCACCCAGGCTGAAACAGTCAACATTAACGATTTTATGTCAAATTCCCTTTATTTATTTATTTTTGAGATGGAGTCTCGCTCTGTTGCCCAGGCTGGAGTGCAGTGGCGCAATCTCAGTTCATGGCAACCTCTGCCTCCCAGGTTCAAGTGATTCCCCTGCCTCAGCCTCTCGAGTAGCTGGGATGACAGGCGTGTGCCACCATGCATAGCTAATTTTTGTATTTTTAGTAGAGACGGGGTTTCACCATGCTGGCCAGGCTGGTCTCAAACTCCTGACCTCAGGTAATCCACCCGCCTTGGCCTCCCAAATTGCTGGGATTACAGGCATGAGCCATTGTGCCCAGCTGATTTTTTTTTGAAAATTTGATTAATAGTGGTCATGTGCCCTTACGTGTGTGTGAAAGAGTGGAATGAATATTAGACCGAGTTCAAACACCTGGGTTCTAACACTACCACGCCTTCCAACCGAGTGACCCTGTTCGGTCTATTTCTGACCTCACAGGGCTGTGTCCATGAGGCTTTTCTGTGCAGGTGGCTGGACAAGTGTGTGACCCCATCAGGTGGGGGACACTCATTGGAGGTGGTGGGAATACAGTGGCACGAGGGTGGCATTTGCCCGGGCATAACAAGTTTCAAGGGAGCCAAAGATTTCAGGACAGGACCAGGAGAGGGTGGAGGGGAGGAGAGGCTGGAGCCTGGAGCTGGGAGTCCCTGCCTTGCCCCTTGGACTGTCTGCTACCCCTCCTGTTGGTAACTCAGAATGATGATGATGCCCCCAGCACAGGGTGGTGTCGAAGGGTGAGCGACATCATGGAAATGGTGCTTTGTAGACGTAAAATGCTGTGCAAAATATTATTAGCAAAGGGAGTTGTGACACAACTGGAAAAAGACTGGGGGAGGGACGAGACATGGAATACTCCACATCCAGCAACAAACTCCTCAGGGCTCTCAGCTGTTATCAAACTGCATCCTATGCTCCCTCCTCAGAACCACACACAGGAACGTGGGCTTCCTTTGGCCATGTGGTCCTTGGTGTCAGTTTCATTTAAAGAACGACTGCATTAAATTGATGGAACTTTAGTAAAACCTAATTAACATCCATATTGAGTTTTTCCAAGGGAAGGGAGATCTGCAGAAAATAAAATACCCTAGAAATTTAAATTCCACGATAGTCAAATAAATACTGTATGACTGAGCATTACAAGTTGGATGATTTTACTCCAGGAGACGAAAATGAGTAAGAGTCAATCTATTCTTACAGACACATACTGCTTTCTAATCATCCATCCATCCATCCATCCCTCCCTCCCTCCCTACCTCTAGACTAATCATCCATCCATCCCTCTATCCAGTTATCCATCCATCCATCTCTCCCTCCCTCCTTCCCTCCCTCCCTCCATCTCTCCCTTCATCCATCCATAGCTCTATCCTATCACCCATCCATCTATCCCTTTATCCAATCATCCAGCCATCCATCCCTCTATCCAATCATCTATCCATCCATCCTTCTATCCAATCATCCATCCATCTATCCCCTATTCACCCTCCCTCCATGCAATCAACCATCTATCCATTCCCATTTATCTAACAAATCATCCATCCACCCACACACCCACCATCCACCCATTCATCCACCAATCCATCCACCCATCCACCATCACTTAACAGAGCGCCAAGCACTGTGCCACATGGGGATACAGATCTTGCTAAACTGTTAAGCTTCATGAAGGCAACGGCTACATTCATTCACCTACCACCACTAACCAGGGTCTAGTTCTGGTCTAGCCTGGCATACATGCTCCACAAATATTTAATGAATCAATGAATGAACAGACCTTCCCTGAGAAGCTCTTGGTCTGGAAGGGGACAGGGTTACAGCCCTGTCATGAGCAAGGTAGGGGAGCATCCTGGGGGTGGGAACACTAGATGAGCAACAAGATCGCTTTGGCGACTCTCCCAGTGTGGCCTCCCTGACAAAGAATGCACTTCGCAAGCTGTCAAGAACAGAAGTGAGCTGGGTGTGGTGGCTCATGCCTGTAATCCCAACACTTTGGGAGGCCTTTGTGGGAGGACTGCTTGAGGCCAGGAGTTCAAGACCGTCTTGGGCAACGTAGCAAGCCCTCATCTCTTCAAAAAAAAAATGCAAAAATTAGCTGGGTGTAGTGGTGTGTACCTGTAGTCCCAGCCACTCAGGAGGCTGAGGCTGGAGGGCTGCTTGAGCCCAGGAGGTCCAGGCTGCAGTGAGCTGTGATCGTGCAACTGCACTCCAGCCTGGGTGACAGAGTGAGACTGTCTCAAAAAAAAAAAAAAAAAAAAAAAAAAATCCAAACCAAACCAAAACAGAACAGGAGTGAAATGGGGGCTGGGCACAGTGGCTTACGCCTGTAATCCCAGCAGTTAGGGAGACTGAGGCAGGTGGATCACTTGAAGTGAGGAGTTCGAGACCAGCCTGGCTAACGTGACGAAACCCTGTCTCTACTAAACATATAAAAATTAGCCAGGTGTGGTGGTGCGTGCCTGTAATCCCAGCTACTTCAGAGGCTGAGGCAGGAGAATCACTTGAACCTGGGAGGCGGAGGTGGCAGTGAGCTGCAATCGCATCCCTACACTCCAGCCTGGGTGACAAAGCAAGAGTCCATCTCCAAAAACGGGAAGTGAATTGGGTAAGTCCTGGGGTTTCCCGGGGTGCCAGCTCTGTCCCGACTCCCATAGGGGCTGACATTGGTCTATCACAAGGGACCTCAATTTCCTTACCTGCAACCCACTGGTCTCTTCAGCCTCAGGTTTTGAGTCAACTTTGCCACAATATCATTTTCCTAAGTCATTCTGGGGTTCTTAGAGCTTCCTCTTGTGCATTTCAACTCAGTTCAGCTCAATTCAACAAACATTTCCCAGGCACCTACTACATCCCAGGCACTGGGAGATTCAGAAACCCCATGCACCCTTCCTTGGCAACCTGAACCCCAAGGCCAGAGCCCCATGTTCAGGAGCCATGTACGCAGCTGGGTCCCTGGAGCGGGTCCCCTGGCGGAGATGCCAAATGACAGCTGGGAAGGCCCACTCTGCCCGAGTTCGAGCTGTAAACATCCAAGAAATCTACCAGCAGTTACCGAGAGGATGTTAAAAATAATTATCCACTGAAAATATTAGATTTGCTCTGGATTGTTCATTACATACAATGGTTTAATAGGACTTTTATTGAATAGCTGCAGAGCTCTGGGCCGAAATCAATTTGCCCTCCACGTGGAATTTTGATGTCTGCTGTTGACTTGTACAACATGGAGCAATTTGTAATCGCTCCAGCTTGCCGTTGTTTTCAAAGCTCCTGCTATATCACAAGCATTTATTTCTGACCACAAAATTACATTTATTCAACAGAAAGCAGCTCCGGGTCTTTAAGAGGTTAACTTCTGGAGTGCTTGGCTGCGCTCCAGCCCACATCGGAGGGGGCGCGCGGGCGCAGTGGCACCCGGCAGTGGCGGCAGCGCCGGGCGGGCGGCCGTGATTAATAGACTGCTGAGAGCGCCCCTTTCCACAGGCGCACGGCTCCTGCCCCGGCTTCCATAGATCATGGACTTAGCCTCAACATATCTGACTGAAATTGAATTTGGCTTCTCTCTCAACTGTTCATTTCCTATGTTATGCAAGGTTAGATCCCTTTCTGCATGAGCAGAACCAAACCAGCTGCAGCTTTGGAGGAGAAAATGTGCTTTCAATTATGCAGCTGGCCTGGATGTTGAGCCGCAGTCCGACGGGTCCCTAATTGAGCCATCATGGCGCGAACTTACAGGGAGACACTGTGTGTGTCAGGCTTGCGGGTTTTGCCATAAGATAATGACAGTACAGCAGCCACATCACCACAGTGACCACCACGGCTAACACCACTGTCACCTCCACCACTGCAGAAGGCCCAAGAGCCTGCGGACAGACATACTGGCTGAGAAGTCAGTTCCCCAGCAAAGGTCCAGGGCAGCAGGCTGTGTTAGGGTCCCTGGGAAGCCTCCCTGTATCTTCCAGCCAGAACGCATCATCCTGTCCCCAGAGTGCCTGGTCTGCTCCACAGTCGCCTGTCTGGCCACAAACCCAAAGAAGACCCTGACAACCCCTCCCTACTCCCAGCAGGGCACTGACCTATTTTGCTTGTGGGCGTCTAGGAACCAAAGTAGATGCTCGCACATCACACTCAATAAGTACTCATTAACAAGGAGAAGGCGAGAAGCAGGGGGAAATTCAGCTAAGAATGTTTTATGTAACCACTTCCATAAGGCAAAGAATAGATAAAGCATCTAAGACAAGATACGGGCCCTCAAAGCATGTACAATCTTAAGAGCAGGCTGGAAAGAGGGGAAAAGTTAATGCAATAACAAGAAAACAGGCACCCTGTTTAGAAAATGGGCTAAGGTGGCCGGGCGCAGTGGCTCACACCTGTAATCCCGGCACTTTGGGAGGCCAAGGCAGGCAGATCACCTGAGGTCAGGAGTTCGAGACCAGCCTGGACAACATAGTGAAACCCCATCTCTACTAAAAATACAAAAATTTGCTGGGTGTGGTGGCACACACCTGTAACCCCAGCTACTTGGGAGGCTGAGGCAGGAGAATCGCTGGAACCTAGGAGGTGGAGGTTGCAGTGAGCCAAGATGGCACCACTGCACTCCAGCCTCTCCAGCCTGGGCGACAGAGCAAGACTCTTTCCAAAAAAAACAAAAAAACGGAAAATGGGCTAAGGATCTCAAAAGAAAACACATAAGGCCTGGCGCAGTGGCTCACGTAATCCCAAAAACTTTGGGAGGCCAAGACAGGAGGATCACCTGAGGCCAGGAGTTCAAGGCTACAGTGAGCCATGATCGCACCACCGCACGCCAGTCTGCACAACAGAGTGAGACCCTGTCTCTCTCTAAAAAAAGACATGCAAACGGCTGACAGGTATATGAAAAGCTGCTCAACATCTTTAATCATCTGGAAAATTTGACTCAAAACCACGATGAGGTATCACCTGATACCTGTTAGAAGGGCTATTACCAAAAAGACACACGAGTGCTAGTGAGACATGGAGAAATGGGCATCTTTGTACACTGTTGGTGGGAATGTAAATTGGTACAGCCATTATGGGAAACAGTACGGAGGTTCCCCCCAAAATTAATACGATCCAGCAACACCACAAAGGGATTGAAATCAGTATTGTTAAGAGTTATCTGCACACTCATGTATACTGCGGCACTATTTACAATAGAAAGATATGGAAACAGACTAAGCATCCAACAACAAATACATGGGTAATAAACATGTGATTTTCTATACACACGGTCATCCCTTGGTACACGCAGGAGATTGGTGCTAGGACCCCCTGCGTGTACCAAAATCTGCACATACTCAAGGTCCCCCAGTCCTTGAAAAGGGTAAAAGTTTTACTTAAGCAAGAAAAGTAGGTTTTCTTTTCCAAGGTACAGCATGGTGACTATAGTTAATAATCTTGTAATCATATATATGACATTTGCTAAGGCAGTAGATCTCAAGTGTTCTCAACACACACACACACACACACACACACACACACACACACACACACACAGTGAGCTAATGGGTATGTTGTCAGATTGTGGAAATCACTTCGTAATGTATGCATGTATCAAAACATCACATTGGGCTGGGTGTGGTGGATCACGCCTGTAATCCCACCACTTTGGGAGAATGAGGTGGGAGGATCGCTTGAGGTCAGGAGTTCAAGACCAGCCTAGCCAACGTGGCAAAACCTCGTCTCTACAAAAAATAAAAAAATTAGCCAGGCGTGGTGGCACACGTCCACAGTCCCTGCTAATCAGGAGGCTGAGGCTTGAACCCAGGAGGTGGAGGTTGCAGTGAGCTGAGACTGTGCTGCTGGAGTTCAAGACCAGCCTGGGCAACGCAGCCAGACTTCGGCTTTACTAAAATCGAAAAAATATAAAATTAGCCTGGCCAGGAGCCTATAGTCCTAACTGCTTGGGAGGCTGAAGCAGGAAGATTGCTTGAGCCCGGGAGGTCAAGGCTGCAGTGAGCCCTGATTATGCCACTGCACTCCAGCCTGGGTGACAGAGGGAGATCCTGTCTCAAAAAATAAAAACCCCAAACCATCACATTATACACTATAAATATATACAACTTTTCTTTGTTAATGATACTTTAATAGAGCTGAGGATAAAAAAAGAGGGAAAAAGTTAGAAATAGGTTGAGATGGTCAGGAAAATGATCAAAGGAGATAGACTTTTCGGTTCAGCCCTAAAGGATGGAAATGAGTTTTATAGGTAGGGAACAGCAAAAGGGTCTTAACAATAACAGAGCCTTCAGGAAATCAAAAAGTATGTTCAGGTGACTCATAATACACAGGCCAGTTCGGCCAGAGTAGAAGTCCAGGACTTTGAAGCTGGAAAAATATTTCAAAGGCAAGTCATGGAGCTTCTAACATGCCAATCTAAGAAGACTGAGTGGGCAGAGAGAGTCACAGAACTTGTTACCAGGAGAAAGAGCTCTTTCAGGGAACCGAGCCCAGTGGTTCCTACAACTAGCAGTGCATGAGCATCAGAGGTGGGCTTTGAAAAATGACAGATTCTAAGGTTCCACCCCAGGCCTTCTACACCGGAATGTCAGGGTAGGAGCCTGGGGAGCTGTATTTCTGGAAACATGTGAGCAATTCTCATAGGGCCAGTGCAGCACTGGTCCAACCCAGCAGCAGCTTTGGGAGCCACTGATCTGGTCCAACCTTCTCTAATCCTATTTCACCCATGATGCTTAATGCAGTATTTAGGCAAGTACTGGTAAGATGGGGACAGAAACAGGTACAAAGACACATACACACACACACACACTCACACACTCACTCACACTCACACACACATCCTCCCTTCTACATTTTAGAAGCATAAGGCCTTGGTAAGCAAACTATAAGGGCAGAATGTCTTTAGGCTCAAAACCAAAAGGGAGAGATAGCGCCAAATCCTAACCACTAGGCGGATCACCTGAGCTAGGAGTTTGACACCAGCCTGGCCAACATGGCAAAATCCCGTCTCTACTAAAAATACAAAAAATTAGCCAGGCATAGTGGTGTGCACCTGTAGTCCCAGCTACTTGGGAGGCTGAGGCAGGAGAATCGCTTGAACCCGGGAGGTGGAGGTTGCAGTGAGCCGAGATCATCCACTGCACTCCAGCCTGGGTGACAGAACAAGACTCCATCTCAAAAAAAAAAAAAAAAAAAATCAAAAGGGAGATATAAATGAAGCCCTATTAGAGATGAGAAGAGGAAGAATCTGTTTCTGGCTGGGTATTTTGGGAAGACTTGGAGGATCTGGCATTTAGAAGGATGGATAAGGCAAGGGCATGGTGGCTCATGCTTGTAATCTCAGCATTTCGGGAGGCCAAGGCGGGTTGATCACTTGAGGCCAGGAGTTCAAGACCAGCCTGAACAACATGGTAAAACCCCATCTCTTCTAATAATACAAAATTAGCCGGACATGGTGGCGCACACCTGAAATCCCAGCTACTCAGGAGGCTAAGGCAGGAGAATCGCTTGAACCCAGGAAGCAGAGATTATGGTGAGCCACTGCACTCCAGCCTGGGTGACACAGAGAGACTCTATTTCAA
Source organism: Homo sapiens (assembly GCF_000001405.40). Classification (NCBI taxonomy): domain Eukaryota; kingdom Metazoa; phylum Chordata; class Mammalia; order Primates; family Hominidae; genus Homo; species Homo sapiens. The sequence continues at coordinate 102,041,281 of NC_000007.14, read as the reverse complement.
AAAAAAAAAAAAAAAAAAAAAAAAAGAATGGATAAGAGGTGACAATCTCCCTGGCAGGTGGTCGTCCAAGCAATTCTCCTGTTTCAACCTCCCAAGTAGCTGGTGCCACCACCATGCCTGGCTAATTTTTTTATTTTTGTTTTTTTTTTGTATTTTTAGTAGAGACAGGGTTTCACTATGTTGGCCAGGCTGGTCTTGAACTCCTGACCTTGTGATCCACCCGCCTCAGCCTCCCAAAGTGCTGGTATTACAGGCATGAGCCACTGTGCCCAGCCAGCTCATCCCATTTTTGAACAGATTTACATTGCTGGAGAATGTCCTTTTCGGTTCTGCTAGCGATAGTCAACCAAAGTACTGCTCCAGTGAGTCTCATGAGGTTTCAGAGCTACGGAGCTCCTTGGGGGAGGATCTGGGTAACCCACTCGTTTTACAGATGAGCAAAGTCGGGCAGAAAGAGGCCCCGAGACTCACCCAAGGTCACAGAGGTGGTGGGCGGCAGCGCCTGGACTGGCTCCCTGTGAAATGCTCTTTGGAGCGAACCACATGGACGCCCTGGCTTTATTTAGCAATGGCCTTTAGATCTGAATGCTTAAATATGTTACAGCTCAACAGATATGGGCTGCAAGATGGGCAGCAGACTCGTAGTCACTTTTAACTCATTCATAGACTGCTGTAGTTCACCCAACTTTATTTCCCCAATTATTTGATTAGAATCTGTCAAATCATCCTGCCGGTGCCCATGGGGAATTTGCTTTCTACTGTACGTCTTTGAAAGGGCCTAGTTCAAAGGGGAGACCAAAGGGTCCCTACAAAGAGACTTAAGGGTTCTGCCTACAAGGCCCTGGCATGACCCGGGCCCTACTAACTTCCTTGGTATTGCTCCCTGCCAGGCAAGCCCATCCCTGCAGAGCCCTGGCACTCACTGCCCCCATCTTCCTGCTGCTCTTTCCCAGCTCTGAGTGTGGCTGGTTCTCCTTGCTTCTTTCCTCTGATGTTCCGTCATCCTCCCTGGAGAGGCCTCCCTGGATGACTGAAGAAGTCACTACCACCTCTTCCCGCTCTACCCCAAGACCCAGTGTGTCTCCCTCGCAGTGCCTGGCGCCATCTAACATTGCCTTTTGTGTTTATCATCAGTTTCCCTTCATTAGAATAGCAGGATCCTAGTTGACTGTATTCAATGAGACATCTTTAGCAACTGTTTGGCCCATAGCTGGAAGCAGGAGGCTCCCGAAAAGGTTGCGTTGAATGAAGACCAGAGAGTAAAACCCAGCCTCCGAGAGCACGTCCTGCATGCAGCTCTGAACGTGGCCAGCGCGCTGCATGTAAGGGAGACATTCAGCACAAAGGGAAGTTTCAGATCATTCCTTGGTCCCTCCCTCAGGCCATGTCAGCAGGTGATACTGTGATGAAATTCACAGTTAACCTGGGCTCCACTCCTTCCAACGATGCAGATCGTGGTTGTAGCAAAGCGCATGGACACAGTTATGGATGTACACGAGACAATGCACCAAGCTCCAGAATTTGTCTAGGAGGGGCTGGTTAGAAGGGAAGGGGGCTTCAGGCAGGGTTTGCAGAGCACTGTATGCAAGATGAACATCAATCTTTTTTTTTTTTTTTTTTTGAAATAGAGACAGGGTCTCGCTCTGTTGCCCAGACTGGAGTGCAACAGTGTGATCATAGGTTACTGCAGCCTCAACCTCCTGGGCTCAAATGATCCTCCCAAATCAGCCTCCCAAGTAGCTGGGACTACAGGTGTATGATACCGCACTTGGCTAACGTTTGCATTTTTTTGTAGAGATGGAGTTTCACTACGTTGCCAAGGCTGGTCTGGAGCTCCCAGGCTCAAGTGAGCCGCCTGTCTCGGCCTCTCAAAGTGTCAGTCAAAGACTGGAAAGGTTGGCTGAGATCAGGGAGGGGCTGAAGGCACTGCTTCCTCCCCGCTCAAGCAGTATCAGAGCACACCAACCTTAGCACTTCTGGGATGCCAGACGGCCCCAGGATCGAGGCCAGTCCTGCCATTATGACCTGTGTGACTTGGAATCCTCTCTCGGGTTTAGTCCTTTTATCTGTAAGATGAGGACGATGCTTCCATCCACCCATCCAATAAACACTTATTTAGTGCTCGTGAAGGAGAGGCCCTGGGTATACAGAGCTCGTAACTTTCAGCAAATAAATCCATATGCTTTTCTTTATTAATCTTTTGTTACAACAAAGTTTTATCATATTCTTTTTCCTGTTGATGGCCGGCTGGGTTGTTTTCATATGTTAACTATTTTCAAAATTTCTGAACTGGTTTTCCAGGGCAAATAAGTTTATTTATCTATTTAATTTTCTTTTAAAATAGGGTCTGGCTCTGTCTCCTAGGCTGGGGTGCAGTGTTGCTATCAAAGCCTCCAACTCCCAGGCTCAAGTGATCCTCCTGCCTCAGCCTCCTGAGTAGCTGGGACTACAGGCATGTGCCACCATGCTTGGGTAACTTTTTAAATTTTTTTGTCAAGATGGAGGTCTCACTATGTTGCTCAGCTGGTCTCAAACTTCTGGGCTCAAGCGCCACTCCCACCTCTGCCTGCCAAAGTACTAGGATGACAGGCATGAGCCACCGCACCCGCCATGCTTGTTTCTTTAGCGTATATATTTAGGAGTGAAACTGCCGCGTCAAGGTACAGGTGAGTCTTTATCACCAGATGCCAAATTGGCTTTCAAAAAGTTTAAATCAACTTATGCTCCTAACTTGACTTTTTAATTTTAGCCAACTTGGTCAGGAGGAATAACTTGCAGATGAGTTATTTTAATCTGCATATCCCTGGTTATTATGCAACCTAGACATCTTTTCATATAGCTACTGACCATTCCAATGTTCTGACAATTATGCTCATGACTTGTACTCATTTCCTTACTGGGTTTCTCCCCCCATTGACATGCGAGCATTTTGAATATCTTGTGAACATTGTTAATTACAGGTGTGACAACTACCTCTTCCAGATTTGTAAATCATGGCCAAGGTTACCCCACATACAACGGTGGGATGCACAGCCCTAGACAGTATGCTTCACATTCTGGATGTCTGAATCTATCACGGTAAACACTGAGGTAAGTATGAATCTTTATTATGGCAAGTTTCCAACAGGTGATGTGAAAAGTATTGAGAACGGCAAACCTTTTTTCTAGTTCACATGAACATACCATGGAGCTAGCAGTGTACTGGCCTTATCTTTCTGCTTTTTTTTTTTTTGAGACAGAGTCTCACTCTGTCGCCCAGGCTGGACTGCAATGCTTTCAGCTCACTGCAGCCTCCACCTCCCAGGTTCAAGCAACTCTCGTGCCTCAGTCTCCCGAGTAGCTGAGACTACAGGCATGTGCCACCATGCCCAGCTAAGTTTTGTATTTTCAGCAGAGATAGGGTTTCACCATGTTGCCCAGACTGGTCTCAAACTCCTGACATCAAGTGATCCGCCTGCCTCAGCCTCCCAAAGTGCTGAGATTACAGGCATGAGCCACCACACCCGGCCATGTTTCCACTTTCTTTAGGGTATCTTTCCATGAAAAAAGCTCCTATTTAAAAATTTTAAGGTAGTTTACTGCAACAATCTCTTTTATGGTTTTCTGTTTAAGAAATTCTACCCAGCCCAGGGCCGGGCGTGGTGGCTCACACCTGTAATCCCAGCATTTTGGGAAGCCGAGGTGGGTGGATCACATGAGGTTGGGAGTTCGAGACCAGCCTGACCAACACAGAGAAACCCTGTCTCTACTAAAAATACAAAATTAGCTGGGCGTGGTGGCGCATGCTTGTAATCCCAGCTACTCTGGAGGCTGAGGCAGGAGAATCACTTGAACCCGGGAGGCAGAGGTTGTGGTGAGCCAAGATCGTGCCATTGCATTCCAGCCTGGGCAACAAGAACAAAACTCCGTCTCAAAAAAAAAAAAAAAGAAAAGAAAAGAAAGAAATTCTACCCAGCCCAAAGTCATCATCTTTTATATTTTATTCTATAAAGTTTAAAGCTTTGATCTAAGACTCTCCTTGTAATTTGTGTTTCCACACGGTGTAAGGTAGGGCTCCAACTCTAGTTAATTGTTTGCCTGTCTGTTTGAGACAGGATCTTGCTCTGTCAGCCAGGCTGTAGTGCAGTGGCACGCGATCAACAGCTCACTGAAGTCTCCAACTTGTGGGCTCAAGCAATCATCCCACCTCAGCCTTCCAAGTGGCTGGGACTACAGGCGTGTGCCATCACACCCAGCTAATTTTTGTAAGTTTTTGTACAGACAGGGTTTCACCATGTTGCCCAGGTTAGTCTCTAACACGAGGGCTCAAGGGAACTGCTTGCTTCAGCCTCCCAAAGTGCTGGGATTACAGATAGCAGCCAGTGCACTCGGTCTCAACTTCGTTTAATCTATAAGGATTTGCCAATCGTCAGAGGACCATGAAAAGTCCCCCCTTTCCTCACTGATCCATACCATCTTTGCAATTTATTCAGCTTCTATATATATGCATAGGCCAGATTCCGGTGTTTTTTTTTTTTTTTGTTTGTTTGCTTGTTTTTTTGAGATGGAGTCTCACTCTGTGGGCCAGGCTGGACTGCAGTGGCACAATCTCGGCTCACTGCTACCTCTGCTTCCCGGGTTCAAGCAATTCTCCTGCCTCAGCCTTTCAAGTAGCTGGGACTACAGGAGCACGTGACCACACCAGGCTGATTTTTGTATTTTTAGTAGAGACGAAGTTTCACCATATTGGTCAGGCTGGTGTATGGAACTCCTGACCTCAAGTGATCCTCCTGCCTTGGCCTCCCAAAGTGCTGGGATTACGGGTAAGAGCCAACGCGCTCGGCCAGATTCTGATTTCTTTATTGTGTTCCTTTGGTTTATTTATCTCATTCTCTGCCAACTACTGCAGCTTTAATAATCTGGTAGGGCAATTCCTCTAACTTGGAGTGGTTCAGTATTATCTTCACTATTATTTACCATTTGTTCTTGCATATGTATAAAAATTCTGGAATCAGCTTTTCAAAAGTTTCATTAAGATTCTTGCTGGGGCCGGGCTCGGTGGCTCATGACTGTAATCCCAGCACTTTGGGAGGCAGAGGCAGTCTGATCGCCTGAGGTCAGGAGTTTGAGACCAGCCTGGCGAAACCGTCTTTACTAAAAACACAAAAATTAGCTGGGTGTGGTGGCAGGCGCCTGTAATCCCAGCTACTTGGGATTACACAAATGTAATATGTGAACCTGATTGGACCTCAGCTGCAGGGAGGGCCGTTACAAAAGAAATCTTAGGGATAACCAGAAAAATTTGATTTTAGATCAAATAGGAGATAACCTTGAATCCGGGAGGTGGAGGTTGCAGTGAGCTGAAATGGTGCCACTGTATTCCAGCCTGGGTGACAGAGCGAGACTCTGTCTCAAAACAAAAAAAATTTTGTTGGGATTTTTACTGGAACTACAATGACTGATTCTGTGATCAATCTGGAGAAAAGTGATCGCTTCAATAGTAGTGGAAATTTCTCTCCTTGTATACTTTCTCTCTCTCCATTTAACTCTCCTTTAATATCCTTCAATATAAATGTTACATCTTTCTCTAGAAAGATTTCCCTTGTATTGTTACATTCATTTCTAGCTATAGTTTTTTTTTTTTTTTTTTGGCTGGCTATCTCCAGTAGTATCCTTTTTAAAAATGACTTTTTAAGTTTGCTGCTGATACAGGGGTATATAATTACTTTTGTATATTGATTTTGTATCTAGTAACCTGGTTAAATAATTGAGGCTCACTTGAAAAATGACAGTTTGATTTCTTCTGTTGCAATACTTATACTGTAGGCTGAAAATATTATAGTCAAAAATGTATTTAATAAACTAACCTGGCAAACATCATAGCTTAGCTTAGCCTACTTTAAATATATTCAGAAGACTTACATTAGCTTATAGTTGGGGAAAATTATCCAAGACAAAGCCTATTTTATCATCAGGTATTCACCAGCTCATGTAATTTATTGAATACTGTACTGAAACTGACAAACGGCATGGTTGTATGGGTACTCAAAGTACAGTTTCTTTGCATCATCCTAAAGTTGCACCATCGTAAGTCAAGAGCTATCTGTACTTTATTTCTTTTTGTCTTCTCTGCTAGCTAAGATTTGCAGTACAGTGTTAATTAAAGTAGCAATAGTAGGTATTCTTGTCTTGTTCCTGGTTTTCTGGGAATTTTTTTTTTTTTTTTTTTTACCACCACTGGGTCTGATGATTAATGTATGTTTCTGATAAATACCTTTTACCACATTAAAGAAGTTTCCCTCTATTCCTAAGATGTTTCCCTCTATTCCTAGTTTGTTAGTAGGGTTTTTTGTTTGTTTGTTTGTTTTTGAGATGGAATCTTGATCTGTTGCCCAGGCTAGAGTGCGGTGGCGCGATCTCGGCTCACTGTAACCTCTGCCTCCTGGGTTCAAGTGATTCTCCTGCTTCAGCCTCCTGCATAGCTAGGTGTACAGGCCTGCACCCACCACACCCAGCTAATTTTTTGTTTTTGTATTTTTTTTTTTTTTTTTGAGACGGAGTCTCTCTCTGTCACCAGGCTGGAGTGCAGTGGCACGATCCCGGCTCACTGCAACCTCTGACTCACTGGTTCAAGTGATTCTCCTGCCTCAGCCTTCTGAGTAGCTAGGATTACGGGCATATGCCACCACGTCCAGCTAATTTTTGTATTTTTAGTAGAGCTGGGGTTTCACCATGTTGGCCAGGATGGTCTCGATCTCCTGAACTTGTGATCCGCCCACCTCGGCCTCCCAAAGTGCTGGGATTACAGGTGTGAGCCACAGTGCCCGGCCTGTTTTTGTATTTTTAGTAGAGACAGGGTTCCACCACATTGTCCAGGCTGGTCTCAAACTCCTGACCACCATGCCTAGCCTGTTGGTAGTTTTTAATCATGAATGGATTTAAATTTTATCAAAATCTTTTCATATAACTACTGAAATTGTTTCCTCCTTTAATCTGCTAATGACATGGATTTATGTTAATAAGTTTTGAACATTTTAAACAAAACAGCCTTCTTGGGATATACCAAGCTTGATGGACTTAATTTACTAATACCTTTGAAAAGACTTCTGTGTATTTATTCAATAATAAGACTGACTTTTTTTTTTTTTTTTTTTTTTGAGATGGAGTCTCGCTCTGTCACCTGGGCTGGAGTCCAGTGGCATGATCTCAGCTCACCGCAACCTCCGCCTGCTGGGTTTAAGCGATTCTCCTGCCTCAGCCTCCCAAGTAGCCGGGATTACAGGTGCCTGCCACCACTCCCGGCTAATTTTTATATTTTTAGTAGAGATGGGGTTGCACCATGTTGGCCAGGCTGGTCTCGATCTCCCAACCTCGAGTGATCTGCCTGCCTCAGCCTCCCAAAGTGCTGAGATTAGAGACGTAAGCCACCATGCGTGGCCAATAAGACTGACTTTTAATTTTCCTTTCTTGTACTGTTCTTGTCTTGTTTTGGTATCAAGGTTATATTAGCCTCATAAAAGGAGTTAAGAAGTGCTCGCTCTTTCTATTTTCTGAAGGAGTCTGCTAAGTATGAGAACTCTCTATTTCATGAATGATTGATAAAACTCTCTTGGAAACTGTCTAGACCTTATGGAAATATTTCAGTAATAGTTACAAAGCTATTCAAGTTGTCTGTTTCTTCTTTAATCAATTTTGGTAGTTACAGAATTTTGGAACTTTTTCGACTTCAGTATTTATTGGCAGAAAGTTGCTTATAACATTCCCTTTATCTTTTTAATCTCTGCAGCAGCTGCAATGTCATCCCCAATTTTATTCCTAACATTTTTTGTCTTGATGAGTACAGTGGTTTGTCAGTTGCAGTGGTATTTTCAAATAAATGACTTTTGCAATGTTTCTCTCCTGGCTCTTTGTTTTTTTCATTCATTTCTATTCTTATGTTTATTATTATATTTGTCATTTCTTTCATTCTATTTGAACTTATTCTGTTGTACATTTATTTGTTTGTTTATTTATTTAATTGAGATGGAGTCTTGCTAGGTTAGGCCAGGCTGGTCTCAAACTCCTGGCCTCAGATGATCCTCCTGGCTTGGCCTCCCAAAGTGCTGGGACTACAGGCGTGAGCCATCATACCAGCCTACTGTAATTTTATAAAGCCGATGCTTAGTTCATAGATTGTTTTTCATTTATTCTCTAATACGAGCACTCAAGTTATTTCTTAAGAGGATTTTCCTCCCTGAGGACACTTGTCCCCCACTACCAAGAGGTTCTCTGAGCCAGCCCCTCATCCCCTCAACCTTCCATAACACGCCCCTTCTCAGGGAGAGAAGCAAGGATTGGCCAGACTAGTGGAAAGACAGCATTTTCCTAGAGGGTATGTGCATTACTTTACTAAAGGGATTGTCTAAATTGTTGGGCTAGAATAAGCTTTAAATTGGACTTCATATTAAGGGTACACCTCCCCCACACCACCCATCAATTTGCTGGGCTTGTGAAACACCCAAAATTAGGTATCATAATCAATCAATCGATATCTAATTTCAGTGTGAGTTACATTTTATGATTTTGTTATAATAATTATAAGTAATCATTTCATTATCTGAAACTTTTATTTATTTATTTATTTATTTATTTAGACGGAGTCTCACTCTGTCACCCAGGCTAGAGTACAGTGGCTCTAGAGTGCTTGGCTCACTGCAACCTCTGCCTCCCGAGTTCAACTGATTCTCATGCCTCAGCCTCCCAGGTAGCTGTGATTACAGGCACATGCCATCATGCCCGCCTAATTTTTGTATGTTTAGTCTATTAGACGGGGTTTCATCATGTTGGCCAGGCTGGTCTCGAACTCTTGACCTCAGGTGATCCACCCGCCTCAGCCTCCCAAAGTGCTGGGATTATAGGCATGAGACTGAGACGGGGTCTCACTATATTGACCAGGCTGGTCTCGATCTCCTGGGCTCAAGCGATCCTCCTGCCTTGTCCTCCCAAACTGCTGGGATTCCACACATGATCACCTTTTTAATAGGAACACATCATAATGAAAGGATGGAAGTAAAATATTTTAAAAACCACTTCCAGGCCAGGCGTGGTGGCCCATGCCTGTAATCCCAGCCCTCTGGGAGGCTGAGGCGGGCGGATCACTGGAGCTCAGGAGTTCAAGACCAGCCTGGCCAACATGGTGAAACTCCCACCTCTACCAAAAAATACAAAAATTTAGGCAGGCATGGTGGCAAGAGCCTGTGGTCCTAGCTACTTGGGAGGCTGAGGTGGGCAAATCGCTTGAGCCAGGGAGGCAGAGGTTGCAGTGAGCCGAGATCATGCCACCCTGCTCTCCACCCTGGGTGATAGAGCCAGACCCCATCTCAAAAAAAAAAAAAAGTACAAATTATTTAATATAAATGTCACATTTTGGGAGGGATGATGCTGGGAGTGTCTAGAGATTTAATGTGCAAACAAGGACTATAGTAAATATAATTGCAATATGAGGGATTTCTGCTAAATGAGATCTTAGCTGCTCCTGCCACACACATGAAAAAGAGTAACTAAGGGAGACGATGCATATGTTAATTTGCTTCCCCGTATAACCATTTTACTGTCTGTATGTATCCCATAGCATCATGTTGTATACCTTAAGTATACATAATAAAATTTATTTATAAATTAGCGGAGGCTTGATAAATATTAATTAATGGTGCCAAAAAATTACCTTTCTTTTGTGGGTTCAAAATCTATGATAATTTTATGTATTTATTTATGATTAGCTTTCATATGGCCTTTAAAAAAAAATAGGCAAATGGAAGCTTAGCCTAGATGTTTCTTGGGTATTTCAAATTTAAGGTATCAGGAATCAAACCCATTATCCTACTGAGAATGTGGGCTAATCTACAAGATAATTTGCTAAGACTCTTCAAAAAAGCAAACAAACAAACAAACAAAAAAATCAGGCCAGGCGCGGTGGCTCATGCCTGTAATCCCAGCACTCACTCTGGGAGGCTGAGGCAGGCAGATCACTTGAGGTCAGGAGTTTGAGACCAGCCTGATCAACATGGTGAAATCCCATCTCTACTAAAAATACAAAAATTAGCTGGGCGAGGTGGTGCATGCCTGTAATCCCAGCTACTTGGGAGGCTGAGGCAGAAGAATTGCTTGAACCTGGGAGGTGGAGGTTGTGGTGAGCTGAGATTGTGCCACTTCATCCCAGCCTGGGGGACAGAGCAAGACCCTGTCTAGAAAAAATAAAAATAAAAAGAAATGAAGGTGATGGAGATGGAGAGGATGTCCTACATTAAAAGAGATAATGCAGGGGCCGGGTACAGTGGCTCATGTCTGTAATCAAGGCACTCTGGGAAGCCAAGGTGGGAGGATGGCTTGAGCCCGGGATGTCGATACAAGCCTGGGCAATGTATTGAAACCTCGTCTCTACTAAAAATAAAAATAAATTAGCCGGATGTGGTGGTGCACATGTATAGTCCCAGCTATCTGGCGGTGGGGGCAGGGGAGTGCTAAGGCAAGAAGATTGCTGAGCCCAGGAGGTGGAGGCTGCAGTGAACCATGATGGCACCACTGCACTGCAGCCTGGGTTACCGAGCGAGACCCTGTCTCAAAAAAAAAAAACACTTTTTAAAATAGAAAATTAGATAGACAGATTTCCAAATGTAATGTGTGAACCTGACTGGACCTCAGTTGCGAGGAGGGCCGTTATAAAAGACATCTTGGGGATAATTGGAAAAATTTGATTTTGGATCAAATATGAGATGACCTGGAATTACTGTGAATTTTCCCAGGTGTGATATTTGTGGTTATTGTGGTAATGTAGGAGAATGCTAATAATTCCTTAACTTCGGGAGCCTTCCACGTGTGTTTGAGGGACACAGTGCCTGCTTCTGCAACTTACTTCTGAATGTTCAGCAAAAGTGGTGGGCGGGGAGGGGAGGGGGGAGGTACATGGGGTGAAATGTTAGCAACTGTGGATCTGGGTAAAGAGCATATAGGTGGGCCGGGCGCAGTGGCTCACGCCTGTAATCCCAGCACTTTGGGAGGTCGAAGCGGGCGGATCACCTGAGGTCAGGAATGAGAGACCAGCCTGACCAGTATGATGAAACCCCGTCTCTACTAAAAATACAAAACTCAGCTGAGCGTGGTGGCACATGCCTGTAATCCCAGCTACTTGGGAGGCTGAGGCAGGAGAATTGCTTAAATCCAGGAGGCGGAGGTTGCAGCGAGCTGAGATTGTGCCATTGCACTCCAGCCTGGGCAACAAGAGTGAAAATCTGTCTCAAAAAAAAAAAAAAGCATACAGGTATTCACTGTACTAATCTTTCCATTTTTACACAGCTTTGAAATTTTTCAATAAGAAAGAAAAACAAGCAAACACCTAGAAAGCACACTGAACTCTTTGAGCGAGAGAACTAGGAAGCCAGTGGGTCTCCCAAAAGCCGCTGGACAGGTAACAGAACAGGTAAGATCAAATGTGGGTAGGTGTCAGGTAACAGCCTCACTCATCAACTACGGGCTTGGAGATGAAGTTCTGAGAAAAAGACTGTTCAAGTCCATCCAAGCCCTGGGATGCAGGTGTCCTGCTGGCCGGACCAAGCTACGTGCATGGGGGCTGAATGAGGCAGGAAGAAGATCATAAGAAGAGAGGGGTACTGTTCTGCCCTCGAAAATTTCCAGCCATCACCAACTGCTGTGTCTTCTTTCTACGCTGGTCCCTTTTGATGTCCTGAAATCGCCTCTCTGTCTTTGGCTACAATCGCCCTGGCCTCCTTCATTCACTCACTCCCTGCTCTCGCTCCCAGTTGATGAATTTCCCAAATGGAAGCCCGACAACTTGCTCTAGAGCTCTGGGACCAGGAACCCAGCCTTCCATATATAAGGCCCACATCACCTGTGTCCCAAGAGGAACCTACTGTATCTCACGGCCATATCTCTCCTGTATCTCACGGCCATATCTCTCCTGTCCCTTCCCCCATGTGTTCCCTGTGACTTAGCAGTTGCAAGAAAATAAAATCCCTGCCAGGCACAGTGGCTCACATCTGTAATCCCAGCACTTTGGGAGGTCAAAGCAGGTGGATCACCTGAGGTCAGGAGATCGAGACCAGCCTGGCCAACATGGTGAAACTGCATCTCTACTAAAAATAGAGAAATTAGCTGGGTGTGGTGGTGCACACCTGCAATCTCATTTGCTGGGGAGGCTGAGACAGGAGAATCACTTGAACCTGGGAGACGGAGGTTGCAGTGAGACTAGATTGCACCACTGGACTGTAGCCTGAGTGACAGGGCAAGACTCTGTCGCCAAAAAAAAAAAAAAAAAAAAATCCCTAAGACTGTACCAATATGGGCTCTTTCAGGGGCTTTGGAAATGTCTCGTTTCCTTTCCTTATCAGCCTGCTATGATTCCACTTTCTGTTTTTCCGTCGGGAGAAGCTAAAGAGGTGAGATTCAATAAATCCGCAAGAATAATATAATTTCTGGTTTTCTAAACATCACTGAATCTTCACACAAAGGGCTGGCAAAGAGTGTCACTCACGTGGAGCCCAGTCCCCTCTATGGCTGCTGTTCCCGCTAACAGGTAGCCAGGGCGGATGTCCCAGGTGACTTGCCACCCACGTGCCGTCTGCCAGATGGCTCCGTCCTTCTCTGGAAGGATCCGTTAGAAACCACTTCCTTCTACTGAGCCTAGGCTTGCTCCTCGTGGCTTCTGCTAGATGCTCTGTGTTTCAAGCCTGTGATCAAGTGGCCTCCCTGTGCCCCCGCCAGCCTCTCAGCAAAGCACCACACTTATGGCACACACTCATGGCAGTGGCAGCCCCAGACCAGCTCAGGGGGACAAGGCGACTTCCTAGAGGGGATGCATGGGCTCCTGAAGGCCGTAGCGCCAACAACCTGCCTGTTGCAACCACACACGGGGCACTTCTGCTGGCAATCCACCACAGCTCTGTGTATTCTGAGCATAGCTTCCTTTTCCAGGAGGGCTTTCACCAAGGACCCAATGGAAAATCACATCACAGAGCGCAAAATCTGCATGACGCTGGGTCGGAGCAGCCGGGAAGGCACCATCTGGGCAGCACCTTTTGCCCGGAGCATTTCTTTAATGTGAATAAAAAGACCAATTAGCCACGAAGGGTGGCTCAGGATAGAAAATGAATAGAAAAGCTTACCTCTCCTTGGAAACTCTTCAGCAGCGGCGCTACCTGCTTGCGCAAATCCTGGAGCAGGAGGCGGAGGTCAGGAAGCAGCCATTTGAGAAGGAGAAAGAAGGGAAACATTGGTTAAGGCCTCCTAAAAACAGCGTGGCAGTCAGTGCTAATTATCACTATCTAAAGCAAGCCTGGGACCTCACCCATTCCTGCACTCCTAAAACATCAATAACGCCAACTGGCGCTTCAGGATTTAAACTTATTTAAGAATACAACGAGGTGGTTCTTTGTTGTTCTTGTTGTTGAAGACAGAGTCTCATTCTGTTGACCAGGCTGGAGCACAGTGGCACAACCCTGGCTCACTGCAACCTCTGCCTCCTGGGCTAGAGTCATCCTCCCACCTCAGCCTACCAAGTAGCTGAGACTACAGGCGTACGCCACCATGCCTGGTTAATTTTTGTATTTTTTTGTAGAGACAGGGTTTCATCATGTCGTCCAGGCGAGGGTCAAACTCCTGGGCTTAAGAGATGTGCCCACCCTAGCATCCCAAAGTGCTGGGATTACAGGTGTGAGCCACCGCACCTGGCCTACAACGATGTTTTATTTCTACTAACTCCTGGTCACATATACCTCATTTTGAATGTGCTACAGACTAAAGCTTTTGCTGATGTCAGTCTAAGTGAGATAATCTGCTTAGAATAAAATAGACTAGAATGGGGGGTTTGCCTGGCTGTTTCTATCTGAAATGGACCTGGGCCACTGCACTGTATTTTAGCTGCCTCTTCTTTTTTTTTGAGATGGAGTCTCGCTCTGTCGCCTAATCTGGAGTGCAGTGGCAAGATCTCAGCTCACTGCAACCTCTGCCTTCTGGGTTTGAGTGATTCTCTCACCTCAGCCTCCCGAGTAAGTGGGACTACAGGCGCCCGGCTAATGTTTGTATTTGTAGTAGAGATGGGTTTTTGCCATGTTGGCCAAGGTGGTCTGGAACTCCTAATCTCAGGTGATCCGCCCACCTTCATCTCCCAAAGTGCTGGGATTACAGGCATGAGCCACCATGGCCGGCCCTAGCTGCCATTTTAATGCACTGTTAAGTCGGAGATACAGCCTGTTTTGAATCCACATCTGACAGAGTCACAATAAATTTTATCCCATGCCACCAGTGCCCATTTCGAAACACCAGGACATCCCATAGGTGCATGCTTATGATCTTGTTCAGAGCATTTTATTTAAAATGAAGTAACTGAGAAAGTGCTTCAAAAACTTTGAAAAGACTCGACTAAGATAATATCTTATTTACTGAAAGTTTAGGCATTGAAACTATGTTTTTTTTTTTTTTTTTTTTTTTTTTAAAGACGGAGTCTCACTGTTGCCTAGGCTGGAGTGCAGTGGCGAGATCTCGGCTTACTGCAACCTACACCTCCCAGGTTCAAGTGATTCTCCTGCCTCAACCTCCTGAGTAGCTGGGACTACAGGTGCCCACCACCATGCCTGGCTAATTTTTGTATTTTTAGTAGAGACGGGGTTTCACCATGTTGGCTAGGCTGTTCTCAAACTCCTGACCGTAGGTGATCCGCCCACCTCAGCCTCCCAAAGTGCTGGGATTACAGGCATGAGCCACCGGGCTAGGCCTACATTTTAGTTGATGAAGCCTTCTGAGAATCTGAGGAAAGCTACTGACCTTGCCATTAGAAATAAAACTCTGCAAATTATTTTATCAGAGGCTTCCTAAGTAAGACCTATCAAGATCCCAGATGAAAAAGTCTTCTTATTCAACACATACAGCCATATGTGCTTATTTATATTTAAATATAACTTAAAGTTAAATAAATTTGGAAAATTCAGTTTCTTAGTTACCCTAGCCACAGTTCAAGGATTCGGTAGCCACCCGTTGCTGGTGGCTACTGCTTCCAACAATGCAGACACAGAATTTTTCCATCATTGCAGAGGGACCTACAGGACAGGCCTGTACAGCAAGCTTTTGTTTTTTTGAGACAGGGTCTTGCTCTGTCATCCAGGTTAGAGTGTAGTGGTGTGATCATAGCTCACTGCAGCCTCAACTTCCTGGGTTCAAGCGATCCTCCCACCTCAGCCTCCCAAGTAGCTGGGACTACAGGCGCACACCATCATGCCTTGCTAATTTTCTTATTTTTTTGTAGAGATAAGGGTCTTGCTATGTTGCCCAGGCTGGTCTTGAATTCCTGGACTCAAGCGATCTGCCTGTCTTGATCTCCCACAGTGCTAGGATTACAGGTGTGAACCACTGCACCTGGCCACTGTACCACAAGTTTTTTGACAAATATCATCACAGCCCACGTTATTTTGTATTGTGATCCTGTAGAAACATTTGGTCAAGAAGCATTATAATTTCCCTTTTAACTATATACTGTTCCAAAGGATGCATTTCTAAACGTGATACCATTATTTCCTTGGAGAAGTCAATCCTGTTACTTCCTCAACTAGATGATTTTCTATTTTTTTACACCAGGCTCCAGGACAAAAAATAATCAGATTCTTTACCAATCTTTTTTTTTTCCCACCTAAGACGGGGTCTGGCTCTGTCACCCAGGCTGGAGTACAGTGGCATGATCTCGGCTCACTGTAACCTCCACCTCCCGGGTTCAAGGGATCCTCTCACCTCAACTTCCCATGTAGCTGGGACCACAGGCATGCGCCACCACACCCGGCTAGTTTTTGTATTTTTCGTAGAGACAGGATTTCACTATGTTGCCCAGGCTGGTCTTGAACTCCCAGGTTCAAGCGATATGCCTGCCTTGGTCTCCTGAAGTGCTGTGGATTACAGGCGTGAGCCACCATGCCTGGCCACCAATCTCTTTTTATATAAATAAGGCTATCTGTGGTCAGCACCAATAATAGTCCGCCAGAGATAACCACGTCCTCATAGCTGGCGCCTGTGAATGTGTTAGATTGCAATGGTAAAAGGGGCTTTTGCAGATGGGATTATGTCAGGGATCATGAGTCAGGAGATGACCCTGGATTATCCAGGTGGGCCCAGTGTAATCCCAGTGCTCCTAGTAAGAGACAGGCAGGAGGCTCAGAGTCAGAGGAGATCTGAGGACCGACGCAGAGGTCGGAATGCTATAGGAATGCCGGCAGCGCGAGAGGCTGGAAACTGCCAGGAAACTGATTCTCCCCCAGAGCTTCTAATAGGAACACAACTCTGGCTGACACCTTGATTCCAGCCTGGGGAATCCATCCCACTTTGGACTCCTGAACTCGAGCACTGTCACATGATAAATTTCTGTTGTTTTAAGCCACTCGGCGCATGGCAGGTTGCGACAGCAGCAACAGGAAGCTAACACATCACCGCATTTCACCCACTGTGCTTTTCAGAAAGGTAGAGGACAACATATAACACAAAGGGTAACAAGGGAAAAGAGTGTGGAAGGCGTAAAGAATGATGGGGGAAGATTACTATGATCCCAGCAGGGTCCAGGGAAAACGACCATGGGGCCTGGCACACAGTGGGGACTCAAAAGACATGGAAAGGGTGCATGAGGGAATGAATGGAAGAATAGCTATGGCTGGGCACGCTGGCTCACACCTGTAATCCCAGCACTTTGGGAGGCTGAGGCAAGTGGATCACCTGAGGTCAGGAGTTTGAGACCAGCCTGGCCAGCATGACGAAACCCCATCTCTACTCAAAATATAAAAATAAGCTGGGCGTGGTGGTGCATGCCTGTAGTCCAGGTTACTCAGGAGGCTGAGGTGGGAGGATCGCTTAAACCGCGGAGGCAGAGGCTGCAGTGAGCTGAGACTGCACCAATGCCCTCTAGCCTGGGTGACAGAGTGAGACTCTGTCTCAAAGAAAAAACAAAAAAAGGCTTAACAAGGGCTCAGATTCAGAGGGGAAGGAGACAAGTCAGATGAGGTCATGGAATGAGAAAGCTGGTGTGGCTGAGAGATTTCAGACTGTAGCAGAGAAATGGAAGAGGGCAGAGCTGGATGGAGGAGAGCAGGGGGCTGGGGCGCAGGGGCAAGGCCAGGCCCTGAATGGCAGTGTGCCTTAGCAGGCATGCTCCTGGGTTACCCCCAACCCTGCCAACCTGGCACAGGGCCAGCCTCACGCAAACACCAGCTCTGAGAAGTACAGGAGATGATACAATTATTTCTATATTCTGTTACAGCATTCCAGAAAGGCAGAAGGGCTATGCCTTTTATCATGTCCTTAAATAAAGCAAACTCCTCTCACCCTATCCATGTATTTTTTTCCCTTTTGAGCATATTCATGTCTCCTAACAGACCTACAAAAATAACCTTTTTGATATTAAAGCTACGTGTGTTTGTACACACACTCACGCACGCACACATATTTAAAGACAGTTGAAGAGGGAAAAACCACTACATACTCACACGTATCATACACAAACTGATATATATGTACTTCAAGCTGCCAGCCAAAAATCACTCATTCTAATTTCATCTTTGGCAGTTTGAGAAATTCCCGATCCAATTCTGCTGCCTGCAAATATTATTCAGTTTTGTACTAAACTAAGAAGAAAGATACAAAGATGTTCAATTCTGGCCAGGCACGGCGGCTCACGCCTATAGTCCCAGCACATTGGGAGGCTCCCCACCTCAACCCGGGTGGTTGAGGCTGCAAGTGAGCCAAGATCATGCCATTACACTCCAGCCTGGGTAACAGAGAGAGACTCTGTCTCAAAAAAGATGCTCAATTCTGACCCACAGAATTCTCCATCGTCGGTTAGCAAGGACATGATACGATTTACTGTCTTTCTAGAACACAGCACTCTTTGCTGTCTGGACAGCACCAGAAAATGCAGACTCTGCCACTTACTGGTCCTCATGCACACCCGCACAATCCTTCTTTGTGGTCATAAACTGGAAAAAGTGGGGTTCAGGCTGGCCAAAACCACAGTGGAACAAATGATAAGGAGGCAGTGAACACGTTTAAAAACTTTTTTGCGGGGAGGGGGATGGAGTCTCGCTCTGTCACCCAGGCTGGAGTGCAGTGACGTGACCTCGGCTCACTGCAACCTCCACCCCCCAGGTTCAAGCGATTCTCCTGCTTCAGCCTCCCAAGTAGCTGAGACTATAGGTGCGAGCCACCCCGCCCTGCTAATTTTTGTACTTTTAGTAGAGACAAGTTTTCACCATGTTGGCCAGGCTGGTCTCGAACTCCTGACCTCAAGTAATCTGCCCACCTCGGCCTCCCAAAGTGCTGGGATTACAGGCTTGAGCCACTGCACCCGGCCATGTTTTAAAACTTAATTACTTCAAGTTACACGTTACACACTTAATTCAGTTATATACTTAATTCAGGTTTGTCAGTGATGTTTTCACCTTGTTTCCATCCCATCCCATCTATTGGGCAAAAAGCAACAAACATCTTAATGCACAGAAAGTGATGTTCTTGAGATAATTCCAATCATATGCCTTTTGGCAAAAGCCAAAATAGCTCATGTCAACCTCCTCTCCTTTGAGTACACAGCAAATAAATGATGTTTACACAGAGAGGTTTCTATGTGGAAGGATTTCCATTCTTTTCTTTTTCTTTTCTTTTTTTTTTTTTTTGAGACAGTGTCTCGCTCTTCCAGGCTGGAGTGCAGTGGCTCAATCATAGCTCACTGCAGTCGTGACCTCCCGGGCACGAGCAATCCTCCCATCTCAGCACCCCGAGCAGCTGGAACTAGAGGCATGCGCCACCATGTCCGGCAAATTTTTGCATTTTTTGTAGAGACGGGGTTTCGCCATGTTGCCCAGGCTGATTTCAAACTCCTAGGCTCAAGTGATCCACCCACATCAGCCTCCCAGAGTGCTGGGATTACAGGCGTGTGCTACTGTGTCTGGCCGTATTTCCATTATTCTCGAAACTGCTGATTCACAACTCAGTTTTTAGGTCAGAGAACTGAACAGCAAAATGCTATTAAGGAATTTTCTAGGTAATGCCAATTGCTGGAGGAAACCATTCTGATGTAAAAGCAAAATAGAGACAAAATCGTCATGCAGTGTTCAATTGCACCTGTAACGTACGAGCGGGAGTCGTAACACACACACTCCCGAGCCCTCTCTGGAAGGCTCTGCTCCATCTTAGGGCCTCGTGCTCCCAATTCCCATGAGCTCTCTTCCACTCCCCATATCCCAGAGTCGCGTGCCAGGGACCCAGAGCTGGTGACACGCTGAGCTGCTGCATGGAGGTTCACCTCTGTCTGCAGGAGCGAGAGGCTCACTGGAATCAGCACAAACACAATGCACACATAGAAGGAGGCTGTGAATTACAAACACATCTCCAAAGTCATCAAGTCATTTCTGTTTTTAAAATATCTGGGCCGGGTGTGGTGGCTCACACCTGTATTCCCAGCACTTCGAGAGGCTGAAGCGGGCAGATCACCTGAGGTCAGGAGTTGGAGACCAGTCTGACCAACATGGAGAAACCCCATCTCTACTAACAAAAAATACGAAATTAGGTGGGCATGGTGGTGCATGCCTATAATCCCAGCTACTCAGAAGGCTGAGGCAGGAGAATCGCTTCAACCCAGGAAACTCCATCCAAAAAAAAAAAAAAAAAAAAAAGAGAAAAAAAAGTATCTGGTAGCTCACAACTGTAATCCCAGCACTTTGGGAGGCCAAGGCAGGAGGATTGCTTGAGCCCAGGCATTCGGGACCAGCTTGGGCAACGTGGTGAAATCCCGTCTCTAGAAAAAAATACAAAAATTAGTGAGTATGGTGGTGCAGGCTTGTAGTCCTATCTATTTTGGAGGCTGAGGTGGAGGATGGCTTGAGCCTAGGAGTTTGGGATGGCAGTGAGCTATGACTGTGCCACTGTAATCCAGCCTGGGTGACAGAGCAAGACCCTGTCTCCAAATGGGGGAAAAAAAAATCTGATAATCCAGGTTTTTCTGGATGTCTTTTTCATCCTACAGTAACTTGGATACTTTTCTGGGAAATAACCCTGACTGCATTTAAGAGGTACAACATCTCTTGGTGGTACCCCATCCTGTACAGTGACAGTTCAGGGGTGGGACCCTTTCTCCTTCGGAGACAATGTAGTCTTTCCAAGAGCACTAGGGCAGGGTGGGGGTAGTGAGGGGCTGAACTGGGTCACTTCTGAAAGACTTGATTCTGACTCTCACAAGGTTGTTGCCAATGGTGCTAGAGGTGGGGACCCTTAGGGACCTGGCCCTGTGGCTTGGCCTGTTGTCACCTTCTGTTCCAGATCTCCCTCATCTGGGGTAATTCTCCGCTCTTGCCTCTCCCCTCTCCTCTGGTCTTAGCTCACTTTGTAATTTCTTTTTTTTTTTTTTTTCCAAACCGAGTTTTGCTCTTGTCACCCAGGCTGGAGTGCAGTGGCGCGAT
Organism: Homo sapiens; assembly: GCF_000001405.40. Classification (NCBI taxonomy): domain Eukaryota; kingdom Metazoa; phylum Chordata; class Mammalia; order Primates; family Hominidae; genus Homo; species Homo sapiens. Next base: position 102,020,831 of record NC_000007.14, on the reverse strand, counting down.
CTCAGCTCACTGCAACCTCTGCCTCCTGGGTTCAAGCAATTCTCCTGCCTCAGCTTCCCAAGTAGCTGGGATTACAGGCGCCCGCCACCATGCCCAGCTAATTTTTGTATTTTTAGTAGAGACGGGGTTTCACCATGTTGGCCAGGCTGGTCTTGAACTCCTGACCTCAAGGGATCCACCTGCCTTGGCCTCCTAAAGTGTTGGGATTACAGGCGTGAGCCACCACGCCTGACCCCAATGTCTTTTTATAAGGTCCTGGTAGCAGCAATGAGAGAACAGTAATTACTAATGAAAGAAAAAATGTTCTTAGTATTTATTTTCCTGGATGTCACGTTAGATAGCTGTTAAGTTTCCCTTATCAATGTATACAAGAGCTCAGACCAGGTATGGAGTCTTTAAAAACAAGACAATATATATTATATGATATGTGGACTGTAGACCTCAACTTAAAATCCAGTTCAGTGAAAAATGATGTTTCTTTTGTTCCAGGATACTGAAACCGTCACTTCCCATCTCATCTGAAGATGAACCATATAACCATCAACACGGCATCGTTCCTTTGGTTACTTTTATAGATGAACACATATTCCTTCCAGTCCTTGTGATAGAAAAGGGTAATTTTAAATGGCATTGAAACTCAAGTATTAAATAAAAAATATCTTTCTATACAACAGCAGACAGTAAGTATGTCCTGGCAATTTCTCAAAGATTTTAGTTCACAGGTTTGAGAAAAATTCCATTAGCTTTAATTATTTATCAGCAGTCAATTTAGATTACTGTTCTTGACCTATTTTTACAGTGTATAGGCCACCCAGCAATGAAATAAATGAATAGTCTTTTTCTACAATGGCTGATTTTCTGAAATAAAAGAAATCTGGTTTAAAGGAGGAATGAAACCCCAAACATGTAATTACCACAATATATAACCCGCCACGCTGCTTTTGTAGTCGGATAAAATGCACATCTTTGTGAGTTTTTTGGTTATTAAATAAGATTATCTTGAAAGGGATAAACTCACTCCTGCTATAATTTCTTCCCATTTAAATGTCTTTGTGCCATTTAAAACACGTTCCGTGTCCTGGCAGAGTCTCCAATGCTGATGCTGTGGCTTTTGCGTGGTACGTGGTACAACTCCACCACGGGAAGGGCTGGCTTTGGGGGACTGGTGGGATTGGGAACTGAGATGAGGGTGCAGGATTTCAACATAGGGTGCCTGCTGGTAAGCAGCGAGGGGTACCCTGAAGCTGCAGGTGGGGACCCCTGAGTTCCTGATCAAGAGGGGATCTGCAAGACTTGTCTGATGATGAGACCGGGCATGGTGGCTCATACCTGTAATCCCAGCACTTTGGGAGGCCAAGGCAGGTGGATCACATGAGGGCAGGAGTTCAAGACCAGCCTCGCCAACATGGTGAAACCCCAACTCTACTAAAAATAGAAAAATTAGCCAGGCGTGGTGGCATGTGCCTTTAATCCCAGCTACTCCAAAGGCCGAGGCAGAATTGCTTGAACCCGGGAGGCAGAGGCTGCAGTGAGCCGAGATTGTGCCACTGCACTCCAGCCTGGGCAACAGAATGAGACTATGTCTCAAAAAACAAACAAACAAAAAAAGACTTGTCTGATGTTGAAAAGTGGGGTGGGAGGGGGGCGCGGGGGCGGTTATCTAAGTGGCAATGCCTGAATGTGGACCGAGGAGGATAAAGGCTGAGGATGGTGCAAAGGACTAAGAAGAAGGGCAGATTCGAACTGCACAGAGGCCGTGATCTGGCAGCACGTGGCCACGGCTCAGGATTATGGTGGAGCCTGGATGCCAATGCCACTAAGCCAACGATCCTCAAAGCAGGGTCTGGGGACTCCCGGCTCCCCAGATCCTTTCATGGATCCACAAGGTCAAAACTATTCTTGTTACTTGCCTTTTCCTCGCCTTCTCCCGCAAGTGTACAGTGGAGTTTTCCAGATGCCTGCGATGTGTGATGATAGCCTCACTCTGACACCAGCGGCTCGTGTGTTTGTGTGTTCCTGTGCTTTGCAGACTCCTCAGCTTTCATGTCTAACACAGTCAATACTGAGAGATACAGCGCACGCACGCACGCACGCACTCAAGCTCTCCGGAGTCCTCAATTTTAAGAGACTGAAACTTTGAGAAATGGTTGCACTAAGGCTTCTTCTGGTCTCAGAGCTGAGAACTGCTCATTGTCAAGGGAAAGGCTGTTTGTCCACTCTGAGATCCTGTGTGTGGCCTCAGGGGCAGCTCAGACAGGACAGCCAGAGCCTCGTTGGCATCTGGGGATCAGACACCCCAGTGAGAGGGGCATGCAAGCGCCAGCTCCAGTACCCTGGGCTGGATCTTCCCTGCCTAGTCTCCAAAGCCATGTGTCCTGGGCTAGCCCACCTGGCACAGGAATTTCCTGCAGGACTGTCCTCATGGCCAGGGGATCAGTGGTAGGAAATGGGAGAAGCCAAATTCAGGCTCCATTGGTTAATTCTCTTAAATAAGTCTGATTTGACTCTAGGTCTGATTTCAAAATATTCTTCCAGGTCCCTTTCTGAATAACTGCTCATGTCGAAACCTCTGACTGGGCACAGTGGCTCACACCTGTAATCCCTGCACGTTGGGAGGCCCAGACAGGAGGATTGCTTGAGGCCAGGAGTTCAAGACCAGTCTAGGCAAGATAGGGACACTCCTGCTCTACAAAAAGTTTCTAAAAAAATTACCCAGGCATGGTGGCAAGTGCCTATAGTGCGAGCTACTCGGAAGGGTGAGGTGGGAGGATCACTTGAGCCCAGGAGGTTGAGGCTACAGTGAGCTATAATCATGCCACTGCACTCCAGCCTGGGTGACAGAGCAAGACTTCATCTCAAAAATAAACAAATCTCTAGTTACATTTCAGAACTTTGAAAATACATCTGTGATTTACTGATGTATCTATACATCAATTACATCAATAGATTTGGAACTTGTCAAAGAGAGGAACCACATGTTTTTCTGAGACAGAGTCTCGCTCTGTTGCCCAGGCTGGAGTGCAGTGGTGTGATCTTGGCTTACTGCAACCTCCGCCTCCCAGGCTCAAGCGATTCTCATGCCTCAGCCACCTGAGTAGCTGGGATTACAGGTGTGTGTCACCATACCTGGCTAATTTTTGTATTTTTTAGTAGAGATGGGGTTTCTCCATGTTGGCCAGGCTGATCTGAAACTCCTGACCTCAGGTGATCCACCCATCTCGGCCTACCGAAGCGCTGGGTTACAGGCGTGAGCCACCGCACTGGCCCACATATTGTATTTTAATTTATTCAAAAACCATTTGAGCATTAACTACGAGCAGTGAATGAGACAGTCACAGTCCCTGCCCTCAGGGAGCTTAGCGAGAATGGTGAGGTCTCAATTTCTAGGAGACATTTGAGGAGATGTACATTCCTCCGTTCTATTCCTGGGCCAAAGGATGGTGCTAGGTTCGGGGCAGACACAGTGAATACTTGTGGACTGAATGAATGAAGAGATGCTCTTCCCAGACTCATCACCAAGCTCACTTTTTTTTTTTTTTTTGAGATGGAGTCTCTCTGTGTCCCCCAGGCCGGAGTGCAGTGGTGCGATCTTGGCTCACTGCAACCTCCGCCTCCCAGGTTCAAGCAATTCTCCTGAGTAGCTGGGAGTATAGGCGCCCACTACCACGTCAGGCTAATTTTTGCATTTTTAGTAGAGACAAGGTTTCACCGTGTTGGCCAGGCTGGTCTCAAACTCCTGACCTCAGGTGATCTACCCACCTCGGCCTCCCAAAGTGATGGGATTACAGGCATGAGCCACCACACCCAGCCCAAGCTAACGTTTTATGGACACTGCTGCAAAGGGGACTCCTGTGCTAGACAGGGATGGACCCCAAAGGCACCATTTCACCCCAGGACTCTCTGAAACCAACCAGGACGTGTGACTCCGACTTTTGCCACTGTGTCATTTATTCCAGATCTTAGGCCCTGCTAATATTTAGACAAATGGGCTGTTTAAAATCAGAACGCAGATTAATCCTTCCTCTTAGTACTTTCAGGAGTCTATCCGTAAGAATAATCAGAGATGTAGGCAGAGATTTATGCACAAGAATGTTCAGCATGAGTTTAGAACAGAGAACAACTGGGAACAATGTGGATTCCGACACCAGGGGAGTACTTATGAGAGAATTCTACTAAAGCAATGCAATTGCATATTAGGTACTCAGTATAATTCTTTGTAAGGAACGAGGTCTCGCTCTGTCGTCCAGGCTGGAGTGCAGGGGTGTGGTCATGGCTCAGTGTAATCTGGAGTATCATTATTTTTTGGAGTACCATTATTTTTTGAAGAACAGCAAAGACTTGGAATGAGGCACGTGACTTCCATTTATGCGACAGATGTTTGTTGAGTGGCTATTTTGGGCCTTCCGGCCCTGTTTTAGGGGCTCCTTCAATCATGAGCAGAGACCACAGGCTGCTGTGCCTCCTGGGCCTCTGTTGTGTGGCAGGTGAGACATGAGTCAAATCACCACCAGCATGGATGACACTTATCTGTGGCCGGTGCTGCAGAAGGGCATGTGGAGCGAAGGGAGTTTAAGAGGCAAGCCTGGCCGGGCACAGGGGCATGTGCCTGTAATCCCAGCACTTTGGGAGGTTAAGGCGAGAGGACTGCTTTAGCTCTGGAGCTCAACACCAGCCTGGGCAACATAACCAGACCCCATCTCTACTAAAAATCAAAAAAATTAGCTGGGTGTGGTGGCATGAGCCTGTCGTCCCAGCTACTTGGGAGGCTAAGGGAGGATCGCTTGAGCCTAGGAGGTCGAGACCACCCCGGGCAACAGAGCAAGATCCCATCTCTACAAAAAAATTTTAAAAAGTAGCCACGTGTAGTGGCATGTGCCTGTAATCCCAGCTACTTGGGAGTGAGGTGGGAGGACTGCTTGAGCCTAGGAGGTCATGGCTGCAGTGAGTCGTGATCGCGCCACCACACTCCAGCCTGGTGACAGGGTGAGACCCTGCTTCCAAAAAAAGAAAAAGAAAAAAAGAGGCAGACCTGACCCTAGACAGGAGAGAAGGCTCCTTTGGGGAAGGAGCACGTGAACTCAGATCTGGACGATGCATAGCGGGTGGATGAGTGAAAGGAGCCACGAACTTTTATAAAGCTTGTTTACAGTCTGATCCCAACATGGTAACAATGAATCTCACACACATATAAGCATTTGGACACCACCACCAGGAAAGACATCAGTATGAAATGGGAGATGTTTCTAAGTGAACACAATTATGGTTTTTCTTTTTCCTTTGTCTTTAAATAAACTGTATCCTTTCGGCTGGATGCGGTGGCTCACACCTGTAACCCCAGCAATTTGGGAGGCTGAAGTGGGTAGATCACCTGAGGTCAGGAGTTCGAGACCAGCCTGGCCAACACAGTGAAACCCCGTCTCTACTTAAAATACAAAAATTAGCTGGGCATGGTGGTGTGTGCCTGTAGTCCAAGCTACTTGGGAGGCTGAGGCAGGAGAATTGCGTGAACCTGGGAGGCGGAGGTTGCAGTGAGCCGAGATCACGCCACTGCACTCCAGCCTGGGTGACAGAGTGAGACTCCATCCCAAAAATAAAATAAAATCAGATCTCAGGCACTCTCCTTTTGCAGTTCCAGTTTGATTTTGTTTCACCGCCTGGATGCCTGACTTCACGTTTATTCATCGCTTGTGTGCAACTAGTTTACCTAAAATTAAGCAGCTTGAAAAAGACATCCTTTTGTCTTAGGTTCATAATCAGCACATATTGTTTATTAATATTTACTAGCTTCACAGAGCTGCTCAGAGGAATAATTAATAATGAACGATGGGTAAATCTACTTGCAGACACAAAGCATGGTGGACACGGAGGCAGGGTCTTGGCAAGGCACCTGGTAACCCATGTGCAGCCAGAAAGACAGAGCTAAGCGGTAACCTCACAATTTTTAGATGCTTTTTTTCTTTTTTTTTTTTTTTTGGTGGTTGGGGGATACTACAGAGCCACTGGCATCAAAAATGCAGCCCATAATTTCTTAATTTCTAAATGGAATTATTTATACCATACAGATAGCAACCAAGCCTAAGCAACATGTAACTTAGGGGGCAACTTGGGAATTTAAACCTTTGAAACTAGATTTTATGTTTAAAGACGCTCAGAGACTTCCCAACGGATTATCCCAACCTAGCAGGCGAAGGAGAAACAAAAACTTCCAAGCAAAGAAAGGCTTCCTGGCCCTCCCCGACTTTAGCATCCCCGATGGCAGAGCAGCACGCGGCTAGGAAGCGGACCTAACGTCACTGCAGCCAAGAAAGTCCATTCAAGGGCACCAAAGAAGCAGCAACTTAGTTTCATCCAGTTTTATCCAGCAGGTCCCAGCCCTTGGAGACCCCAGAGGGCTCTGCAGAGCGTAGAGCGTATCTAAAAAGAAGTCTAATTTGTATTGATCTCTATGCCCAACTTTGCAATTCTCAGGATGTGTGCTGTTTTAAAATGAGCACATTTCACAGGAAATTCTGGGTGGGAAATGGTGGCTGTGTTGTGGGAGTGAGTGGTGGCCATACCGAGTACCCCTTATGTCTGTCTTTTGAGATACTATGAATGTAGCTTCTAAAAGGTGTGTCTAACAGCAACCCGCTTCGAAGGCCACAGAGGTCGGTCTCTTGTGAGCTTGCTGCCCAGGAGAGTTCCAGGGACCTGAACAGAGATAGACACAGTTTAGAAGCTGCTTGGACCTGAAGGATACACACGGCTCAGTACCTGTTTTGCAACCTGTCCCTGTATATGGAGCCACAAATTGCACCTTACTCAATAACAGATTAAAACAAAAAACAGGCTGGGCATGTTGATGCATGCCTATAATCCCAGCACTTTGGGAGGCTGAGGTGGGAGGATTGCTTGAGCCCAGGAGTTCGAGACCAGCTTGGGCAACATGGCGAGACCCTGTCTCTACAAAAAATACAAAAATTAGCGAGGCATGGTGGTGTGTGCCTATGGTCCCAGCTACTCGGGAGGCTGAGGTGGAAGGATGGCTTAGCCCAGAGAGGTCGAGGGTGCAGTGAGCCGTGACTGTGCCACTGCACTCCAGCCTGGGAGACAGAACAAGCCCTTTCTCAAAAAAATAACAAAATGAAATGAGAAGCGTTTGCATATGAGTCAATCAGTCAAGAAAGCAGAGAACCCTCTATTTCTGGAGTGACTAGCCACAGAAAATACGCTGTATATGTGAGCTTGGATCTATGGAAAATTGTTGATGCTTAGAGAATTATTATGTGTTTGGTCAATAACTGCCTTTTGAATACTTTTGGAATTCCTCTAAGCAAGCTTTCTCAGGCCTGTTCCCAAATAGTGACTTTCATGCGGTCCTGGAATTTTCTTCTGAATACACAACATGGCTTCTTTGTAATGAAACAATTTAGGAAAGAAATACAGTTGAAGACATTCTATATCTCTTGGCTGGAGCTGCTGGCCCTGGTAGATGAATCATAGAAGTCCATAAATGTCGAGCAAATTTGCACAGACTTTTCTTTTACTACCATATATGGCAAATATAGATCTATTTATCTCCATCTTGACATTAGCTTCGGCGATTTTTGTACCTTATTGTCTTTCTTACAAATTTCTCTTGATCTACGTCTCAGCCACACAAGACAGCATGTCCAAAGACAGTAACGTCATTCATAACCCTGGGATGGTGCTTTTTTTTTTTTTTTGGTATGACGGCAGAATGGCAGAATGTTTAAACTAGTAAGTATTTGAGGTAGATCAAAGTACCTAGCTATTTACATTCTTGCTACATCTTAGCGAACACCACAGGGCCGTAAGGATTACCGCAAGAATTTAACCTGAACAAGTTTTCTCCCCCAAGGAATTAGGTGTTTCTTATCACACATTTGGGAATCAGCTGAAAAACCGTGGTTGGTGCTGACTGCTTTTGATATATTCCTTAAAGAGATGAATACTGAAAATATTTTCAGGATTCTAAAAGCTGACTTGCTGGGAAATTCCATGACCGGCTAAGATGATTTAAGAATTCTCTGGGGGAATGCTTGCTTCATTCATTCATTGATTCATTCCTTCATTAAATTTGTACTGAGAGACAGAGATACAAAGACGGACAACCCCCTCCCCCCGCCCCCACTCTCCAGGACACAGAGTGGACACGGGAATGTATACCTTCTGGAAGCAGCCAGGGCCATCTCTTCATGACCCTGGGCAGTACCTTCAAAGAGTCCAGTCAGAGAGGACGCTGGGAAAAGTAGAGTGACTAGTCTATCTTCTGCTTTCATTATCATATTCCCCCATGTGACAAGTACAAAATCTTCAGCTACAACCTTTAAAAGCTACTGAAGGCCAGGCACAGTGGCTCACGCTTATAATCCTAGCACTTTGGGAGGCCAAGCCAGGTGCATGACTTGAGGTCATGAGTTCGAGACCAGCCTGGCCTACATGGTGAAACCCCGTTTCTACTAAAAATACAAAAATTAGCCAGGCATGGTGGCACGCACCTATAGTCCCAGCTACTTGGGAGGCTGAGACATGAGAATTGCTTCAACCCGGGAGGCGGAGGTTGCAGTGAGCCGAGATCGCACCACTGTACTCCAGCCTGGGCAACAGAGTGAGACCCCATCTCTTAAAGAAAAATTCTAAATAAATAAAATACATTTTTTTAAAAAAGCAAATCCTGTGAAATCAACAATATGGCAGACTATGTTTAAAACCTAATTGGGTGAAATTATTTTAGAATACCCTTTCAAAGAGTCCTTTCTGTAGTCCAAAATTATCTGAAATAAATAAATAAATTCAAGCGTCAACCAGCATGGCCAACATGGTGAAACCCCGTCTCTACTAAAAATACAAAAATTAGCCAGGTGTGGTGATGGGCGCCTGTAATCCTAGCTACTTGGGAGGCTGAGGTTGGAGAATCACTTGAACCCAGGGACCAGCGATCACACCATTGCACTCCAGCCTGGGTGACAAGACCGAAATTCCGTCTCAAAATAAAAAAATAAATTCAAGTGTCTAAGTAAGATAATAAAAATCCTCTCACCCTGCTGCCGAAAATGAGAGGGGTGTACCTCCGTGTCCTGCCCTGGTTAGGTACCGACTCCACCGGGTAGTTCTCCCACCCACAGGGAGTTCACCAAAAAAGGCAGAAGGCCAGGCGCGGTGGCTCATGTCTGTAATCTCAGCACTTTGGGAGGCCAAGGTGGGCAGGTCACCTGAGGTCAGGAGTTCAAGACCAGCCTGGCCAACACGGTGAAACCCGTCTCTACTAAAAACACAAAATTAGCTGGGCATGGTGGCGCACACCTGTAATCCCAGCTACTTGGGAGGCTGAGGCAGGAGAATCACTTGAACCTGGGAGGAAAAATAAATAAATAAGCAAGCAAGCAAGCAGAAGAGACCATGTTTGTCTCCAAAATCCCATCACCAGCGTATGAGAATAGCAAAACTGAAGAGAAACGCATTGGTGGTCTCGGGGAAGGGGCTGTAGGGGCTGAGCAGCTCCTGCCAGGCAGAGGATCACAAAATCCAAACGTGTCCTCCGAACGCCCACTGCGCTCTCAGTGCTGGGCTTGGCCACAATTTGGTGTGAATGCTTCAAGACTCACACCAAATCCTTGGCATGAATACACCATACAATGATATATCCAGAGACGGCTTACTCGAACAAAGAGACCGTCAATAACAATATAATTTTACTTTTTTTTTTTATTTTTCTGAGATGGAGTTTTGCTCTTGTTGCCCAGGCTGGAGTGCAATGGCATGATCTTGGCTCACTGCAACCTCCGCCTCCCAGGTTCAAGTGATTCTCCTGCTTCAGCCTCCTGAGTAGCTGGGATTACAGGCATGTGCCACCATGCCTGGCTAATTTTTTGTATTTTTAGTAGAGATGGGGGTTTCTCCATGTTGGTCAGGCTGGTCTCACACTCTCGACCTCAGGTGATCCGCCCACCTCGGCCTCCCAATGTGCTGGGACTACAGGCATGAGCCACCACGCCTGGCCAATATAATTTTACTTTTATAAAATGATATCCATGCTTTCAGCTTAGACACAAAGCACAACCGGCATCTTTTAGCGTGGTCCTCACGCCCGCCGGCAGAACTCCTTCACTGAGTTTCCTCAATGTCTTTTAGACACCTCTTCATCCTATAAATGTGCCACACATGCATGTGACATGTCCCTATGCACACACATATTTACTTAAATACGCACACACACATACAAACGAGTAACAGACAATGTCATCTCTACTTCCTTCCCTTTCCCGGAAGCTACAGGTATGTACATCACATGTATGTTGCCTGATATGAAAGAGAGGCCCAATCACGAATTCCATGATACAGATTTAAGAGATGCTATGCATGGTTCACTTGGTGAATCTCCCTTTCTTATGTAAGCACATATCCAAGTCAGTTTTTTTTTTTTTTTTTTTTTGAGACAGAGTCTTCTTGTTCTGTTGCCCAGGCTGGAGTACAGTGGCGTGATCTCAGCTCACTGCAACCTCCACCTCTGGGTTCAAGTGATTCTCCTGCTTCAGCCTCCTGAGTAGCTGGGGCTACAGGCACTCACCACCATGCCTGGCTAATTTTTGTATTATTTAGTAGAGACGGGGTTTCACCATGTTGGCCAGGCTGGTCTCGAACTCCTGACCTCAGGTGATCTGCCCACCCCCGCCTCCGAAGTGCTGGGATTACAGGCATGAGCCACCGCACCCAGCTGCACCCTTGCTGTTTCATATCATGGAATCTAGCACCGGCAGCAAGGGAGGCCGCCCACCTCACTCTTTCTTTTTTAAGAAGTCCGCAGTTCTGAGAGGTCAGAGCAACCTTTCTTTCATTTTCAAGCTCCCCATGTGTGCTGGAGAGGCTGTCTTTATAGGTTTTAACATGTACCAACCAGGGATTAAGCTAAGTGAGGCACGCCAGTCACGAAGGCTCACTGAAATTATGCCTGCTAATCTTTTAAATGGCAAGAACGTTAGGCAGCACAAAAGGAATGTTAGTAATTCCAAAGCTTTTACCCAACTGAGGAGGTTTAAATTTACAGGAACATGTACTAGAGATAAAGAAGTCCAAGGCCCTTGGCCAACCTGTCTGCCACGCTGGTGTGCAGAAGAACAGAAGATTCTGTAAGGAGAGAGAAGGGGTGGAGGCTGGAAGATGGGCAGAGGGCCAGGGTTTAAGACCTGGCGTGGGCCTGAACTCACCTGAATTATTTTACTTGTAGAAAGAGGCTACAGGTTGGGTGCAGTGGTTCATGCCTGGAATCTCAACACTTTGGGAGGCCAAGGCGGGAGGATCACTTGAGGTCAGGAGTTCGAGACCAGCCTGAGCAACATAGCAAGATCCCACCTCTAAAAGAGAAACTGGGTTCCCTGGTCTGGACTGAGCAATTTCTTTGGCCTTCTTAGAAATGAGCCGCTCTGCAGCCCCACGCAGCCTTTCTTCAGTGTGTACATTAGGGTGCTGTGCGGCCTAGGTGAGGGGTGTCACCTGGCCACATCCGTGGAGGGATCCTAACACCATCATTTGTGCGGTCAGCGTCATGACAGCCACTCCACTGTGCTTGCTTCTAGATGCTTCCAAACAGCCCTTCAGGTATGGAATCATCCCTGTCGTGTAAATAGGAAATCTGGAATTCCCAGAGGTTATACATTGCACCTGAGGCCATCTGGCTACAATCCAAACTCTGGGTGCGGCTGGCGCCAAAGCTACTACACCATGCTGCCTTCTAAGCTGCATTTCATCTGGAACCGCTGTGGCTGGCAGGCCGAGCCTCTGAACACTGCAATTCAGGTTAATCATGCAGACCTGCTGGAGCACGCGGGGCCGAGGGTTCCCTGTACCTCCCTTCTCTCCCCTGCTGTATGGATCTCTGACCTCACTACTGGCAGGCCTGAACTGCCATGAGTGATCAAGAACCTGAGAGGCCTCTGATCTGCTCCACCTACATCTGTGCCCACCAGGAAAAACAAAAATCCTGATAAAAGACCTGGGGTGCGCATCAGGATTCACCATGACTGTGCTGTGGTCTCGCCTCCTGAAAAGCTATTTTGTTCATCGTAAGTAGGCAGTTTGACAATTGCTCAATGTTCAGGCCCTACCCCATGTCCTGTCCTAGTCAAGGTCAGGGAAGGAAAGGTGCCTTGTCCCCAGGCATGTGGGCCCCCAGCAGAGCAGGACAGGCTGGGGACCTGGGGTTCTTAGGCTCTTTTGGTTGGGGGCTGAACACTGGTCATATCCCAATCTCTAGAGAGGGCAGAGGAGGACAGACACGCACTCTGCACCTCAGGGATTACACGAGGAGAATAAAGACACGCACACGACCGAAATACCAGGCAGGAAATGAAATGTGCCGAAAGACAGGCGCAGCTAGCCTACAACGGGGGCCCAAGGAATGAAAATCCCTCTTTGCTGGGCTGGGGGCACCTGAATTGGGTGATATTTGCCACAGAGGGGCGAGTAGAGGTGGGGGGGCTTTCTAGAAAGAGACAAGATACAAACAGAAGGAAAAAAGAGGAGATCCAGAGATACAAACAAGGTGAAGCTGATGGAGTAAGACATGGGAGAGGGGGCCAGCGGGGACAGGCTCCCAGATCACCGAAGCCCCTAGAAGAACCCAGACATGGCCTGAGAGGCGGGTGGACGGCCACCAACCATGCAAAAGGTAGTACGCAGAGACCAGACCAGGGTCTGCTTCAGGAAGGTGACTCCTGCTAAAGGACAGGCCAGAGGGGAAAGCCTGGAGATGGAAGATACCAGCTGGGAAATACAAGTTTGGACGAAGGTAACAGAACCAGAAGTGGTGCCTGTAATCCCAGCACTTTGGGAGGCCAAGGCAGGTAGATCACCTGAGGTCAGGAGTTCGAGACCAGCCTGACCAACATGGTGAAACCTTGCCTCTACTAAAAATACAAAAATTAGCCGGGTGTGGTGGCGGGTGCCTGTAGTCCCAGCTACTCAGGAGGCTGAGACAGTAGAATCGCTTGAACCCAGGAGGCGGAGGTTGCAGTGAGCCGAGATCGCACCACTGCACTCCAGCCTGGGTGACAAGAGTGAGACTCTATCTCAAAAAAAACAAAACAAAACAAAACAAAAAAAACACCAGAGGTGGGTGGTGGCGAGGGAGGGGGGAGGAGGAAGACAACGTTCCCCAGAATTAAAATAAACTGGACTTGGCAAGCAGACTGACGGGAACAGGAGAGAGTGGGGCTTTGTAGAAGTTTAGGGCCCAGGTGAGGGTGGCAGCCCCTGCCACAAGCCAGACAGGAGGGGTGCAGGCCAGGAACTGATCTGGTGGTGAAGATGATGAGAAATCCACGTGGGAAATACCCGGAGCTGGCAGGACTTCCACAGAGAACCCAGGCCCTGGCACCCAGGGGCGGAGGGTGGGAGGTGAGGAGGTTCTGTGGCCAGGGTGCTTGGAAATGTCCCCTTAACAGGAGAGGGGAAGAGAACAGAAAGGCTGCAACAACTAAAAACTATAAGGGGCAAAAGGCTGAGACCTGTGGAAGAGCCGAGGGCCTCAGTGAGTGAGTGGTCTGATCTGAGAATGAACTGAGGGGTTCAAAGTCAGAGAGGGCCATGGCTTAGGTACAGGAGGCCGAGGCTGCAGTGAGCCAGGATCGCGCCCCTGCACTCCAGCCTGCGCTACAGAGCGAGACCCTGTCTCAAAAATTCAATCAGTAACAAATGAAATACAAACAAAATAAAAATTCAGAGGGCCATCAGTGAAGACCTCGGGGCATCTAGGCTCCGTGCATGGGGTCTGTTCCTTGGATGAGGCCAGCAGCAAAGATGAGAGATCCATCCCAAGGCAGCTCGTGCAGAGCCACTGCCAAGCAGAGGAGGAGGCCCGCGCTGGCGAAATCTACAAGAAATACACTTTTGTGTGGGAAATCTAAGAAGCAAGGGCTTTCCGCTGCATCCCGGCCTGCACCGTGGTGGGCGGGGACGGCTTCTTGCTCCTCTCGCACGCCCAGCATGGAGCAGCCCCTTGCACCCTTGGCAGTGACGCCTGATGCATCCAGTGGTTTTATTCCACATCTGCCCGTCACAAACTGTTCTAGATGAAATCAGTTTCTGAAGATGACAGCCCAAACCCATTCACCAATAACCTTATTTTCCCTAAAAGAAAAATTCATTCTAGGGCCGGGCACGGTGGCTCACGCCTGTAATCCCAGCACTTTGGGAGGCTGAAGCGGGTGGATCGCCTGAGACCAGCCTGGCCAACATAGTGAAACTCCATCTCTACTAAAAATACAAAAATTAGCCAGGTGTGGTGGCGCGCTCCTGTAATCCCAGTTACTCGGGAGGCTGAGGCATGAGAATTGCTTGAACCCGGGAGGCGGAGGTTGCAGTGAGCCGATATCGTGCCATTTCACTCTAGCGTGGGTGATAGCGCGAGACTCTGTCTCAAAGAAAGAAAAGAAAAGAAAAGAAAAAAAATCCATTCTACCGAGATGAGATAAAAACTGGCATTCCAGAGTTGTCCTTCGAGGGAGCACTGAGGCGTGGTCAGCAGAGAGCCTGACGAGGCTTCCCTGTTCAAAGAGTAACTAGACCATCAGCCTGGCCATTAAAAGGCAGGTTTCCAACTGGAGGCTCCAAACTGAAAGAGACCGACTTCCGAGCCAGTGGACCCCGCGGGTCTTTTTCTCTTTACTCCCGGGTTAAAAGGAGGGAGGTTCTGAAGGGAAACCCCAGGCAGCTCTCTTTCTGAATGCCTGCAGCCCCACTGGGGTCCTGCTACTTCCTCCCTAGGGTCTGCACTGAGAATGACGGACTTCAACCTCGGCAGCCTTAGCCTTCCAAGCGCATCTTCCATCGGCTTCCAAAACAAACCAGTTTCTCTGGCCAACCTCATCCACGCGGCCGCTCGCTCCTCGTGACCTTTCTCTTTAGACCCTCTGGTTTTGGTAAAAGCAAAGGGTTTTAGGCTTTGTAGCCTGGGATGCTAATGAGCTGCTCTTACTTCATCGAAAGGGCCTAAGAGGAGCTACACTACTTGTGCCTCCAGAAGCAGGTTCCCAGAAGGATGTGATCTTTCCAGGTCTTTCCAGAGGCTGAGCTGCTGACTGTGTCCCTGAGAGCCCCAGCCTCAGCAGGTGGAGTAGACAGAGGAGGGGAACCCAGCATCAGTGGGGTGAAGCTTTGGGAATCACGCAGTCAGGAAAACTAGCCTCAAGAAGAAAGAGGCCAGGTGCAGTGGCTCACGTCTATAACCCCAGCCCTGTGGGAGGCTGAGGCAGGAGGATCACTTGAGGGCAGGAGTTTGAGACCAGCCTGGGAAAGATAGGGAGACTATCGTCTCTGCAAAAATAAAAAAATTAACCCGGGTGCAGTGGTGCACACCTGTGGTTCCAGCTACTTGGGAGGCTGAGGTGGGAGCATCGCTTGAGCCCAGGAGCTCGAGGCTGCAGTGGAGCTATGATCGTGCTACTGCACTCCAGCCTGGATGATGGAGCAAGACCCTGTCTCAACAAAACAAAACAAAACAAAACAAAAAACCAGGCCGGTCTCGAACTCCTGGCCTCAGGTAATGTGCCTGCCTCAGGGATTACAGGCGTGAGCCACCGCGCCCGGCCCAGTGGAGATTTTTTAATGCATCTCTAGAGTTTTCCCAGAATTCCTTTCCGACTCTATCGAGAGCCAAGTTCTCTGTGACACAGCAAAACCCCCGACTCCCAGGTACTTCTGGGTAGAAGCTGACAGAGCCTGAATGACGGGCAGGAGTGGGACCCAAACAGGGGGATGACCTGCAGTCCCCTGCCTGCAATAGCAGCAGATGCTCTCTCCCAGGGGTCAGCAAGCTGCGGCAAGCCGGCCAAAACCAGCCAGCTGCTGGGATTTTTATGGCCCATGAGCTAAGAATGGTTTTTACACTTTTAAATGGTTGCATTTAAAGTGGTTATATAAGTGCCTACATGATATCCTGATTTTGCCTCTTTCTCCGTCAAGACTAACATATGTAGCACCAGGCTCTTTTAGAGAAAGCGTGTGGACCCCTGATCAATTCCCTTGTTTCTTTGCCTCTCTACTTGCTGCACTGTGTACCTGTCCAGGTGTGTGGCCCTGTGAGGATGGCTGCTTCACATCCCAGGAATCAGACCACGTGGAAGGAACCAGGCTCGGTGGTCAGGACACCAGAGCCCAAGTCTTAGCCCCATCCCTCTCCAAGGCAGGCATAACTCCCAAGCCTCAGTTTCTCCACCTGGGAATGACTCTAGCTCAATGGTGGCTGTGAATATCAACTGAGATGTGAGATAGGAATATATTTCTTAGAAGCCCAGAACACTCTTGGAATGAAAGTTTATTGTGATTTACGAGTTATCAGCCAAATTTGTTTTCTTTATGTTGAAACCCAACATTCTTTCCCAGTCCACATAAATCAAGTATGTGGGAGGAGGGGGATTTGATCCACTGCCAAACAGATGAACTAAGCCATCCGACCCGTGCTCCCAGGCTCCAATTCCACCACCAGGTCAGGGCAACCTCTTCATTCTAGGTCACTTTCCTTTGTACCTGATTATACCTGGCTGGGCCAGAGGAGGAACAGCTGCCCCAATCTCAAGCTAAAAACCAGAGGTGTGTGGACCCGTAAGGAAGCCTGCTTGGCATCGCAAATCAAACCATGTGGTAACAGCCGGGCTCTGGGGCAGGATATCAAAGCCCTGTCTTTCAGCCCCATTGGGTGAGGATAGCTCACCTGGTCCACCTTGTGCTACTGGGAAAATCTTTCCCACTGCATCCAGGTGCAGGTAAAGGAAGACAAAAAAGTTAAGCTGTATTTTTTAGGAAATTCAGAACAACTAAACATCTTTATAAAATTTATACGTGTATACATATAGTTTGTAGAGACAGGGGTCTCACTATGTTGCCCAGGCTGGTTCTAAACCCCTGGCCTCAAGCAATCCTCCCACCTTAGTCTCCCAAAGTGGCGGGATTACAGGCTCAGCCTAGAACTAAACACCTTATAACATGAAGCAAACTGCGGACTATGAGTATTCAAGGAGATGGTGATATTTAATATCCTATGTTATTCTAAAACTGGGGTTGCAATGTAAGTTCCATGTAAGTGACATCTTGGCTGCCTTACTGGCTCATGAACATATCTCATTCAATCCCCATAGCAACCTACGAGGCTGCAAACACCCCATTCCAGGGATGAGAAATCAGAGGCTGAAACCACCTGGGGTGACCTGATGAAGTGGTGGGGCTGCACCAGAGCCCAGGCCCCTGACCCCGGGGAGAGCCCAAGTTCTATACATGGTACAGGAGCCCCTTCCTTCCTCCAGCTCAGACTCGAACGGAGATCCCCTTCAATTCCAAGCAGCCTTGCAATAAAGCAAACAATGAATGCAAGGCTGGCACTCCAGCCCTGCTCTGGTCACCTTCTGAGCAGCTAAGAAGTAACTTCCCTTTATTGTCATACTGTTTATTTACAAGAAAACAACGAACACAACTGACAACAGAACAGTGGAGCGGGGGGCGGGCGTGTGTGTGTGTGTGTGTGTGTGTGTGTGTGTGTGTGTGTTCGGCACCAGGTGCTGGGCTTAGTGGGGAGGGGCTGTGCCTGGCCAGAGACCCCCGCCCCTTGTGGGATCAAGGGGCCTCTCTAGAGAGTCCCTCTGGGCCGAGCTTGGTGGCTCACGCCTGTAATCCCAGCACTTTGGGAGGCCGAGGCGGGCAGATCACCTGAGGTCAGGAGTTTGAGACGAGCCTGGCCAACACGAAACCCTGTCTCTACTAAAAATACAAAAATTAGCTGGGTGTGGTGGCAAGCACCTGTAGTCCCAGCTACTCAGGAGGCAGAGGCAGGAGAATTGCTTGAACCCAGGAGGTGGAGGTTGCAGTGAGCCGAGATTGTGCCATTGCACTCCAGCCTGGGTGACAGAGCAAGACTCCATCAAAAAAAATAAATAAATAAAAATAAAAAGAGTCTCTCTGCAGACAGTAGCAGCAGCAAAGATTCCCCTTCCAAGGACTGGAAGGCTTCCACCCAAGGGGCAGGTCACAGCTTTTTCACACAGATACGGTGCTAGGGATGGAGGTGGCAGGGCGGCCCAGCACCACTCACAGATCTGCAGAGAGCACTCACTGCCGGGTGGCCTAGAATTCCGCTGCGATGCTCTGACATCAAAGGAGCCTGATCTGTAACTCCCAAGTGGGACCTTGCTTCAGACTCGATAGAACAGGGGAGCTGGACTCTTGGAAGACTGTGGTCCAACAGCAAGGCCCCCTTGTACCAATGCCAGGGCAGGGAGGGGACTGGCCACTCGGAACTCTCGCTAGTAAGTGCCATATGGGACCTGAGAGCCCCAATCTCTATACAAAGCCCCAGTGGGGCAAAACCTATGAGAAAATACAGGGTGAAAAGCACTATGGAGCAAAAAACTCACCCAAATCCCACAGCCATCCACGCAAGAAGGGAGTGACCAATCTCAGTTCCTCTCCCCTTGCCCAGAACTCAAGGTGATGTGCAAAAGTTGCAACCACACACACACACTATATATATTTATTTTTTCTTTCTGAGACAGGGTCTCACTCTGAGGCCCAGGCTGGAGTGCAGTGGTGCAAGCACAGCTCACTGCAACCTCCACCTCCTGGGCTGAAGAGATCCTCCTGCCTCAGCCTCTGGAGTAGCTGGGACTGCAGGCATGCACCACCATACTCAGCTTTTTAAAAAATATATATTTTTATAGAGATGGGGGTCTCGTTATGTTGCCCCGGCTGGTCTAGAACTCCTGAGCTCAAGCAACTCACCCATCTCAGCCTCTCAAAGTGCTGGGATTACAGGCACGAGCCACCGTGCCCAGCTTACTGTCTTGTTTTACATAGAACAGTTCTCTAAACACCTTTTTAGTCACAGTTGTAAATCAATCACATTTTTCCAACGCTATAGCTAAAGGATGAACACTGATGCCTCCAATTTCAGTACCTTTGCGGAAACATCTAATTAGCAACTAAGCACTTCTGAGCAGGGGCAAGCTCTTGCTGCTTCGAGCACACCTGTGATGAATGTGTCCAGAAGGAAGGAGTGAGTTTTGCTCAGCACACGCTTATCAAGAACCTGTTGTGTGTCCTGCATGTGCATGGCCAGGAGGAACATCCTGACCACCAGGTGCTGAAATTTTGCAAAAGAATAAGTGCAAATAATGGCAATACAGCATTAAAAACACCAAACGGGGCCGGGCGCGGTGGCTCACGCCTGTAATCCCAGCACTTTTGGGAGGCTGAGGCGGTGGATCACCTGAGGTCAGGAGTTCGAGACCAGCCTGGCCAACATGGTGAAACCCTGTCTCTACTAAATATACAAAAATTAGCTTGGTGTGATGGAGGGCACCTGCAGTCCCAGCTACTCGGGAGGCTGAGGCAGGATAATGGCTTGAACTTGGGAGGCGGAGGATGCAGTGAGCTGAGATCGTACCACTGCACTCCAGCCTGGGCAAGAGAGCAAGACTCTGTCTCAGAAAATAAACAAACAAACAAACAGGAGCTTTTCAGTTAAAAGACAAGGAACACAAAAATTCAACATTATTTTGGTTAAGAGAGGGAGGAAGTGTAAGTCAGCCTGGGCTAACTGGGGCTACTGGCAATCCCCAAGAATGCTCCTGGCAGGCCCTCCAGCCCATATCTAGAAGGCAGGCAGGTGGGCTTGGTTATTTTTAGAACACCTGGAGCAATCTAGGGTCTTTAACAAATGCAGGACACTAGTCAAAAGCAAATCTTGTTTAAAAATATCTTCCCCTATGGCCAGGCATGGTGACTCATGCCTGTAATCCCAATGCTTTGGGAGGCCAAGGTGGGATGATTACTTGAGGCCCATGAGTTCAAGACCAGCCTGGGCAACAAAGCGATACCCCACCTCTACAAAAATACAAATAAACAGTATTAGCCTGGCATGGTGATGCACACCCTATAGTCCCATCTACTCAGGGAGGGTGAGGTGGGAGGATCACCTGAGCCCAAGAGTTTGAGGTTGCAGTGAGCTATGATCGCACCACTGCACTCCAGCCTGGGTGACAAAGTGAGACCCTAGCTCTTACAAACAAAACAAAACAAAAACAAAACCTTCCCTTAAATACTAATACTCACCCAACCCACCAGCATTCCTGCACATAAAACCCAACCAAATGAACCCCTTGCTAAGGGAGCAACAGTTGTGTGAAGGCCAAAACCAGGTGAGGTACACATTAAGCAATTCTGCACAATGGGCTGCAGCTTCAACGTGCCCACGGGATCTGGCTATTTTTGGAGAAATCTAAAGCAGGACCAGAGTCATTGATTAAACAAGAATGTTTTCCAATGTCAATGGTCTTGAAATATACATTGCTCTGCAGGTATGAGATTGTTTAAAAATCTTTAGAACTCAAGATGCGATCTTCCTTCCACAAGAGGCGGATGAGAAAGAAGCCTGGGTCAGACGCATGCACTTGGGAAAACATTTGGAAGTGGTTTTGTGGACAAGTTGCCTGTGAGAGGCATCCAGAGTCCGATTGCTATTTTAGTGCTAGCGTCCAGAAGCAAGCTTAAGACACATGTGTCTCAATGCAGGGCAGCTGCTTTCCAAAAGAGCTAAACTAGGGTCTCTCTCTCTCTCTCTTTTTTTTTTTGAGATAGAGTTTTGCTCTTGTCACCCAGGCTGGAGTGCAATGGTGCGATCTTGGCTCACTACAACCTCCGCCGCCCGGATTCAAGGGATTCTCCTGCCTCAGCCTTCTGAGTAACTGGGATTACAGTTGCCTGCTACCACGCCTAGCTAATTTTTGTACTTTTATAGAGACGGGGTTTCGCCATGTTGGCCAGGCTGGTCTTGAGCTCCTGACCTCAGGTGATCCTCCTGCCTTGGCGTCCCAGAGTGCTGGGATTACAGGCATAAGCCACTGTGCCTTGCCACTAGGGTCTCTTTAGAACACACATGCACACACACACGCACACACACACGCACGCATGCCACTGATAAAACCAGGCCCTGGTTTGGGACAAAGGATTTCATTTTCTTCCTGAGCCCTCAAACTTCAAAACCTATATATTTTTAAATGAGATCCAATTCAGTACATTCATCCATAATCTTAAACCAAGCAGCCCAACTGTGTATGGGGCAGTGCAGACTGCCTTGGAAAGGTTTAATCTTGGAAGCAATTGGGCTGCAAGCGGCCCTGCTGCAGACGAGCCCGTCATCCTCTGTCAGGAGGTCTTTCCAGGCAATTTGTCACCAGCCTCAGCAGAGCAGAAGCAGCGCTCAGACACTCTAATCGTGGGGTGCTTCGAGGAGTGGTGGCAATCCTGCTTTCTAGATGTAGCCGACATCAATCAAAGAAAAGTCGTCTTAACCGAGCTGGTGTATTTGCCAGAGAACTGAGACTGCAAAGCAGCCTTTCAAAGCTCATGGTCAATCAAGTTCAAAGGGCTATGCTTAGGCACAGCCTGCAGGCTCAGCTCATATGAAAAGGCTGGTAGGAAAGATAAAAATCGGCCAGGCGCGGTGGCTCATGCCTGTAATCCCATCACTTTGGGAGGCTGAGGCAGGAGGATCACATGAGTCCAGGAATTTGAGACCAGCCTGGGCAACAAGCAAGACCCCATCTTAAAAAAAAAAAAAAAAAAAAAAAGGTAAAAAAAAGTTTGTAAAGGAAAGATAAAAATCCCTAGAGAGTGGAGGCGACAGCTGCTGCTTCTAGAAGCACAGCCCAGCCACAGCCATGCGGACTCCAGAGGTGGCCCCTCCTGCTGCAGTGATGAGACTGCCTCCCCTCCCCTCCTGCTTGCCTGGGGACAGGATCTGGTGGCACGATGGAGGCCAGCATTCCTGCCTGTCTGTCCTCTGCAAGCTAGGCTCCTGCCCGAGGAGGGAAATGCTGCAGAGGCACCCTACAGAGGTGTGGCCCGAGGGCGAAGAGGAAACTCCTGCTTCAAAGCCCAGCCGTGAACCTGGGGGCTCAGGGGCCTGTTTCTTGCTTGCCCTTGGCATAGCAGCTCCCTCAACTTAAGAAAGCGACGAAGAGAGAGCTGGACACTGACGTTTAGAGGGAGGAAGTGGCTTCCTGCCCAACACAGCACAGCATCCTCGCCAGGATCCTATACCCTGGCCAGAGCCTGGTCAGGCACTGGAGGCCGAGGCTGCTTTCTTGGTTCCAAAAAAACCAATTTTTTTCACCAGTGATGGGTCCACCTTCAGAAAGATTGAAATCAGGAAAGCCAAAAGTCTCTCTTTCTCTTCTTCCTCAAACGCTATCGCCCTGAGTGGGGTGTGGAAATACTACTTCTCCCCCAAACAGGTCGTGATGCTGGTGGACGAAGACGACAGATGCCCTGCCGGCTGTCCTGCTGAGAAGCGATGGCTGGGGGCACCGCCCGGGCTGGGAAAGATGCCCAGGGTCTTTGATGCGTATCCCTGCCCGACCCTTGGGCAGGACAGGAACTGGCTGTCTCATCTCTAAGTCTTGAAATCCACACTGTGCACACTCGGTAAATGTGCACCTACAGCTCAGACACAGTCCTGCAATCCGCACTGTGCACACCCAGTAAATGTGTGCCTGCAGCCCACGCACAGCCCTACAATCCGTGCTGCACACATCCAGTAAATGTGTTCCTGCAGCCGGGCACAGCCCTGCAATCCACACTGCACACATCTGGTAAATGGGAGCCTGCAGCCCGGGCACAGCCCTGCCATCTGTACTGTGAAGCCTACAGCAGCCTTTACCAAGGCTTATTATGGCACAGTACCCGGCTCTGTGCTAGGTCCTGGGCTGGGGCAGCAGGATACACAGTTCCACACTGCACTTTTGCTAAAGGTGCCCAATTTAAGATACAGGCACTGAGCTGAGTGACTGACAGTTGGGGAGTTCGTTCTCTGGTGGCACAGGAACCCCTGAGACTCAGGAATATGAGTCAGGCCAGCAAGGACTGCTCTGTGAGTGCCCACAGGGCCCAGCAGCACTGGGGTGGGGTCCAGGGTCAACCTCTTATCCAACAGTGAAAGCTCTCTGAGATAACATTGATGAGAAGAGAGGATCCCAAGAGCTGTGGCAAAGACCCTGTCCCAGACTCAGGCACAGTCCTGCAATCCGCACTGCACACACAGCTGCGCTCTGCCATCTGTACAATGGGCACAACATCGGCCTCACATGGCTGAGATGAGGCCACGGGACACAAGTAGGTATTAGTGTTTATAAATTGAAAAGTTAGCTGGGCCTGGTGGCTCATGCCTATAATCCCAGCACTTTGGGAGGCTGAGGCGGGAGGATCATTTGAGTTCAGAAGTTTGAGACCAGCCTGACCAACCTGGTGAAACCCCGTTTGTACTAAAAATACAAAAAGTAGCCAGGCGTGGTGGTGGGCACCTGTAATCCCAGCTATTCGGGAGGCTGGGGCAGGAGAATCTCTTGAACCCAAGAGGCGGAGGTTGCAGTGAGCCCAGATTGCACCACTGCGCTCCAACCTGGGTGACAGAGTGAGGCTCCGTCTCAGAGAAAACAAAACAAACAAACAAACAAACAAAAAAACAAACCAAAAGAAAAGTTATGGAAATGTCCATAGAGACGTGGAGCAGGCTCCGTGCACGCACTCATTACACCATCATGGGCACCCCAGGGAGGCCCACACTACCGCTTTCCCCACTCTGGGGACGGGGAGAACCTGATTTGTCTTCGGTCCACAGCTAGTGTGTGCAAGGGCCCAATTCAGGTCCAGATCGGCGTGCTGACAAGGACTGTGTTTGGGGCTGCTCCCCTGCAGACAGAGCCCCATGGGCAGGCCCTGATGGGCGGTCAGAGGACACAAGACAAGAGCCAGGTAAGCAGCTCTGAAGGCTGGGCCGGAGTGCACACGAGCGCAGGGGAGTGCACACGAGCGCAGGGGAGCGATTCCCAGAAGGGCTGCCCTGTGAGGAGACTGTGCCGGAATTTCCTAACAAAGGCCACTGTGGGCAGGAATACTGGAGGGGACACGAGATTTCCATGGGCAGACGCAGGGTGGAAGGGTATGTATGCGGCAGAGGAGCAAGAGAAAACAACCTGGAGCAGAGGAGAAAGAGAAGATAGCCTGGGGCTGTATTTGACAAAGTCACAAAATGAAAGGTCAATGAAGGGTAGGAGGAAGAGAGGAAGGAAGTAAGGGAGGGAAGGAAAAAGACGGAGGGAAGGAAACGAGGGAAGGATGGATGGAGGGAGGGAGGGAGGGAGGGAGAGAAATGAGGGAGGGAGGGAGGAAAGGAGTCAGGCATAATTAAGGTTTTGCATTTTAGATCATGAATTCATTTTCTCCCTTGGAAACCACTGTGCGCCTGCCTCTGCCTCAGTACCGCCACCCCCAGGTCTGCTCGGGGCCCCCTCCATGGTCACATGGGGCTTGGCAGAGACAAGCCAGAAAAACACAACGTGCTGTAACAGGGCTGCACAGCAGGGCCGGACCACCTGCAGGCGTGGGCTGCTGTCCACTTCCAAAGGTCAGCGGGTTGGGGGGTTCCAGGATAGCCAGCTGAGCTCAAGAGACGGGATCGGACTCTGGGGAGCCTTCTGTCCTGTGCCTGTGACCAGTACACACCTAGAGCAGAGGATGGTGACACAGGAAGTGTCCACAGCCACTCTCCTGCCATCCTCATGTGCATGCCTTCCTGGGTCTGTGGGGTAAGATGTTCTCTCTCCCAGAAGGTCAGATATCATCACCAAAATGGAACATAGGCAGATGGTCCTGCATCTCTCTCTCTTTTTTTTTTTTGGATGGAGTTTTGCTCTTTGTTGCCCAGGCTGGAGTGCAGTGGCGCGATCTCATCTCATGCAATCTCCGCCTCCTGGGTTCAAGCGATTCTCCTGCCTCAGCCTCCCGAGTAGCTGGGCTACAGGTGTGCACCACCATGCCCGGCTAATTTTTGTATTTTTAGGAGAGATGGAGTTTCTACATTTTACCCAGGCTGGTCTTGGACCCCTGACCTCAGGTGATCCACCCACCTCGGCCTCCCTAAGTGCTGGGAGGACTGTCGTGAGCCACCGCAGCCGGTCCTGCATCTTTTTGGTAAATATTAATAAGCGTTGGCAACCTTCCTGCAAGCTGCTTCCCACTCTGCTAAGTCCCCATACACACAACTCTCCACTCACCAGGGTGCTAAGCAGACGCCCCTATGGGACATGGGCCAGCCGATGTTTGGATGCTTCCAAACACCAACAACAGTTTTGGACGAGTAACTCTAATTCTTGACAACTATCGTCTAAAAGACATTTTATAATGGTCTGTGGGATTATTTGTTGCATTTGCTTCTCTATTTGGTGACCAGAATTTATTTCCCAAGTACATTGCTAAGTTCCCACCATGTTTACTGTAAATGGCCCTTGCCTTGCAGACATTTGATGAAGGTCATTGAATCCAAAGGCGTAAGATAGACCAGAATTTAAGCCATGCAGGGTGAGAGGGTACTGTTTTATAAGAAGGAGGGATAGAGACACATTCATTTTTTTAAATGACAGAAAGAACAGGATGCACCTGGCGTGCTTTGTGACTGGGAACAGTTTCTGTGGGTTTCTACTGAGAATGTTTTCTGGAGTCCACGTGGCAGGGATAAGTGAGCCATGGCGGCCTGGATGGGACTCTTAGGAGGGTATGAGGAGTGTTCCTAAGGCATCCAGGCAGAATGGCTGGAGTGAGGGGTGTGCCCAAGAGCCCGTCAGCAGCAGTTCCCCACAATCACCCCCAGCCAGGTTTCTGAGCTGCCATGTTTGTTTCTCTCTCTCTTTTAATTTTGAGACAGGGTCTTGTTCTGTTGCCCAGGCTGGATGCAATGGCAGGATCGCAGCTCACAGCACCTTCACTTCCCGGGATCAAATGATCCCCCCGTCTCGGCCTTCTAAATAACTGACACTAATGGCATGTGCCACCATGCCCGGCTAATTTTTTTTTTTTTTTTTTTTTGTAGAGATGAGATCTTGCTATGTTGCCCAGGCTGGTCTTGAACTCCTGGGCTCAAGTGGTCCTCCTGCTTCAGCCTTCCAAAGTGCTGGGATTACCGACATAAGCCACCGTGCCTGGCCTTAATGTTTCTCTTCTAGACACGTGAGATGACTGAGTTCTTGAATGCCCTCCAGAAATTAAACCAAGACCTTCTGGAACATTCTTGGGAGGAAGGTAACAAGCAGATTCCCGAAGGTGACAATGGAGGGAGTAGAAGCCTTCAGCCCAGGTCCAGAGGCACGGATCTGGGAAGGGAGCTCATATTTCCTTTTTTGTTGCTGTTGTTTGAGACGGAGTCTCGCTCTGTCACCCAGGCTAGAGTGCAATGGCACAATCTTGGCTCACTGCGGCCTCCACCTCCTGGGTTTAAGCGATTCTCCTGCCTCAGCCTCCCGAGTAGCTGGGATTACAGGCGTGTGCCACCACACCTGGCTAATTTTTGTATTTTTAATAGAGACGGGGTACCATGTTGCCCAGGTAGGTCTCAAACTCCTAACCTCAGGTGATCTGCCCACCTCGGCCTCCCAAACTGCTGGGGATTAGAGGCATGAGCTACTGCCCCTGGCCTCAAATCTTCTTAGTCTAGTTAAAGGTGTGCAAAGCTGGCCAAGAGATTCCAAAGAAATGAATGTCCAAGTAATGCCAGCCAAGGTCTAGGAGAGAAATAACGGTGGCAACTGCAGTATAATGGGGAGAGAATGACAGAAGCTGAGGTCCTCAGGAGATGAAATTGGCAAGACTTGGTAATGTGTGGATGAGGGGAGGGAGATGGAAGAAGGGCTCCCATGTGGCCACTCTTGGGCTTGGCTGGGGTGGCCCACTGGGCACTGTGGCCACTACCGGGGTTAGGGGGCTGGAAGCCTCAATGTGTGGAGACAGATGGGCTCTGGGAGTGCTACGTCTGCAGCATGAATGGCAGCCAGGCAGATGGATACAGAGCTGGACGGGTTTGGGGCTGGGAGGACAGAGAGAGTAACAGGAGCGCTGGGAATGGCCTAGGAGCACCATGAAGGGGAGAAGGGAGTCCAGGATGCCAGGGAAAAGCACAGAGGATGAAGGGGTGGCTCAAACAGCCTGAGAATGTCCCAGTCTGCACCGGGAGGGGCAGGCAGGGATGAGGGCTGACATTAGATGGAAGAGGCTGGGACAGAAGTCAGAGTTAGGGAGAGGAAAAGGCAGCCCTGTCCAACTTGCTCAGAGAGGCTAAGAAACCCGTGGGGGCCACATAGCTAGGCCGTGGAGGTGCTTTTGTTAATCTGCCATACATGTGTAGAGGAAGGACAAATATATGAATGAATGAAAAAATAGCAGTCGCGCAGAGTGCCAGGCACTTTGCTTTATTCCTGCATCAGCAGCTCCGACATACTATGAAATGAAAAGGTAAGTGCTCCCCTGGGAGGCCTGAGCCACCCCCAGAGGATCCTGCATACTCCCACCCCCCATCAGAGCAGCTGCAGCTCTCTCTGACTCCATTTCTCTGATGGTGCGGCTGCTGGAGGCCTGTGGCCATCTCCAGCACGCCTTGTTATCTTATTTATTTATTTATTTATTTATTTTTGAGACGGAGTCACACTCTGTCACCCAGGCTGGAGTGCAATGGTGCAACCTCGGCTCACTGCAACCTCTACCTCCCGGGTTCAAGCGATTCTCCTGCCTCAGCCTCACGAGTAACTAGGATTACTGGTACCCACCACACACCCGGCTAACTTTTGTATTTTTTAGTAGAGACGGGGTTTTGCCATGTTGGTCAGGCTGGTCTTGAACTCCTGACCTAAGGTGATCCTCCTGCTTTGGCCTCTCAAAGTGCTGGGATTACAGGCATGAACCACAACGCCTGGCCCAAGCCCTTCTTTTTATAAAGGCAAAGAGTGGACCCTCCCGCCCAGGCCACCTAGTCGGCCACCCAGAGCTAGGCATGACCAGCAGCAGAATGACCAGGGCCCCCTCGGGGTGGCCAGAGGCTCCCTAAGTCTGGAGACTGTGTCACAGACGTATTATTCCCTATTGCAAATGGAACTAGATTGTTGTCTAATAGCAGGTAATTACCATGAACAACAATAAAAAAACTCCAAATAATCCGGCGGGGCGGGGGTTGGAGGGGGGCGGCGGGGGCGGAAATCAAAGCTCTGGTGGCCTCACACCCCAAATTGCACCCCTGCTAACAGTATGGCACATCATCTTCCAGAAGCCACCACAATGGCCAGACTTCTGCTCACTGGTACCTGAGCTTCTCTAACCAAACTGAAATAAGATCTAAATCAGTATCACCCTCTGGGTAATACGGCTGATTGGGAAGGATGTTTTTCTTTATCTTACAAACATGTACTGACCCCTCCCCCACCCAACTTGCTGGGCATGGGGCACGTAGGGTGTGGCCCAGGACTTGGGAGCTCCATCACCCACGGGTGGGCATCTGTGGTGAGGTAACAGTCTCGTTAGCTGACACCTCCCTTCTATGCACACCAGTCTCCCCAATCAAAAAAGAAACAGAGTGGAGTTTAAGTTGGCCACTTTCAACCTTTTTTTGTAGTTTTAACTGCAGAAGGCCATTTTCAAATAAAATTTTACAGGGATGCACAATACTGCTGAGCAGGTAAAAACAGGGTCGCACTGGTTGAAGATGGGAGGGGGTGGGTTTTAGGTTGCCCCCCAACCCCGTCCCACTTTCCCCTGTGCTTTAAGGAGCTCAGTAGGAAAGCTCTGGCTAGAAGAAGTGCACCCCCCTCCAAGCCTCTTTCTACCCTGACTTTCTGTGACTGTAGCCACACTTACCTGATTATACAGTCCACAACTCTAAGATGTGACCTTGGCCACTTGGCCCATGTAAACAAAGTCTAGATTAACCTACTGATACATATTTTTGAAACGGAATCTCACTATGTTGCCCAAGTTGGTCTCGGACTCCTGGGCTCAAGAGATGCTCCTGCCTCCCCCAAGGAGCTGGGACTCCAGGCATGTGCCACCATGCCCTGCTAATTTTTTATTTTTTGTAGAGATGAGGTCTTGCTATGTTGCCCAGACTGGTCTTGAACTCCTGAACTCAAGTGATCCTCCAGCCTCCTGAGTGGCTGGGACTATAGGTGTGTGCATGGTGCCTGGCTACTAACTGATTTTTTTTTTTTTTTTTTTGAGATGAAGTCTCACTCTGTTCCCCAGGCTGAAGTGCAGTGGCGCGATCTCAGCTCACTGCAACCTCTGCCTCCCGGGTTCAAGTGATTCTCCTGCCTCAGCCTCCCGAGTAGCTGGGATTACAGGTGCACACCACCACGTCCAGCTAATTTTGGTATTTTTAGTAGAGACAGGGTTTGGCCATATTGGCCAGGTGGGTCTGGAACTCCTGACCTCAAGTGATCCACCCCCCTCGGTCACCCAAAGTGCTGTGATTACAGGCATGAGCCACCACACCCGGCCCCAACTGATATTTTTAAAAGAAGCAGACATCACAGAAATAAAAATCCAATACATAGGCTAGATGGCTATGAATTCTAGCGGAAGTTGGTCAACAAAACAGAGACATGACTTGAATCCCATAAAGATACACACACACATCTGCTACGCGCCCTGGCTTCTCTTGCCCACATTTTAGCTGGTGTCCCAGAACTCATCCGCTATGCTGCCCACGACGGTGGTGGTGTAGGGGGACCTACAAAGCTTCGTTTCAAACACTGCTTGTGTTTTGACAGCCTTTTTCTTTTTTACGGTATTTTTAAAGAAGTGAAACTAGAAGTACTGGATCTCATAAGCCACCCGGGGGAAGCGTTCCCCTTCTGAACCTGTGGGTGCGGGGCTAGGGACAGATGCTGCCTCAGTAGCAGCACCTAGCTGACCTGACAAGCCACCTGTATCTATGGGCGCTGGTTCAAATCCCAGGGGAGGTTTAAAAAGCGTTGATGAGACTCCGTAAAGATGCGGAAATACATATCTGAGAGGAAAAGAGCATTTCAAAACCCTCCTGTGGCTTTTATCCTATGGCACTTTACCCCCAGGGACCTGAGCGGCGCTGTGAGTTGCAGGTGCAAAGGGCTCAGAGCCAGGGGAGAATCACAGAAGACACAGAGCCCAGCAGTCCTCCCTGACCACGGAAGGGGATGTAGGAGAACCCTGGGCTCATGGCACTGACATTTAGCAGCCACTGTATGTTTTGGTCTTGTCTCAAGAGTGTTTTCCCCATTTATCCCATGTACTTTTTTGTTTTAAAGAGATGGGGTCTGGGCCAGGCGCGGTGACTCACACCTGTAATCCCAGCACTTTGGGAGGCCGAGGTGGGAGCGTCACTTGAAGTCAGGAGTTCACGATCAGCCTGGCCAACATGGTGAAACCCCATCTCTACTAAAAATACAGAAATTAGCCAGACATGGTGGTGGGCACTTGTAATCCCAGCTACTTGGGAGGCTGAGGCAGGAGAATCGCTTGAACCCAGGAGGCGGAGGTTGCAGTGAACCAAGATCTCACCACTGCACTCCAGCCTGGGTGAGATTCCATCTCAAAAAAACAAAACAAACAAACAAACAAACAAACAAACAAAAGAGATGGGGTCTGGCTCTGTTGCCCAGTCTGGAATGCAGTGGCACAATCATAGCTCACTACTGCCTTGAACTCCAGGGCTCAAGCAATCCTTTTGCCTCAGCTTCCCAAATAACTTCATCTACGGGGACTACCACGCCCAGCTAATTTAAACCTTTTTTTTTTCCTTAAGAGATGGGGTCTTACCATGTTGTCCAGGCTGGTCTCAAAATCCCGGGTTCAAGAGATCATCTTGCCTCTGCCTCTCAAGTAGCTGGAATTACAGGTGTGAGCCACTGCACCCGCCCATGCCTCTTATTTGCATGCAGATGCTATTCTGACATGAAACCTTTCACTCAAATATTTCTCTACAATGGAGTCTCTCCACAGTCGGGCCATGGCTCCACTGTGGTGAGGCTATCAATTCATTTAAAGTGGTTTCCCACAGCAAAAGCTGCACCTGCGTGCAAGCGATGCCCACACCGAGCGTGTACGGACAGACTTTGAGTGTCTTCTATCAGGCGGGTTCCTGCTCCAGGCCCACCTTGTCCATGAGGCTAACCCAGGGCTGACCTTAGCATGTGCCCACTCTTCTGTACACCCAGAATCCAAGGGGTGGGAAGGACGGGGGTAGGAGCAGGAAATAAGTGTGTGGCCCAGCTGGAGGAGATGGTGTTGGGGTCAGAACACCTGTACCACCTTCAAAATTCCCCCAAACTCCCTGCAAAAGCCCCGGTGAGAATCTCACCAGTCTCAGCTTCCATCCAATGACAGGGCTGAGCTCTCCACCTCCATGGTGTCTTCGAGCTCTTAAATGCCAGGGCCTTACATTAAAATTCACACCAGAGCACAGTGAAGCAACAGAACGCTCCACTCGGGTTTGAATTTGGGCTCCGGGACCTTCCATGGGGGCTTACAGACTTTCCTAACATTTCCCATCTGAGAAATCCAGGGATTATTAACCTACCCCAGCAGGATGCTAGAGGCTGAGATGAAATCACGGCTGGCCAGTGCGGCACGCCGAGCCTCGGCACACGGTCAGCCACGCCTGCTATTTCGATTGTTATCACTGGTCGGCGCAGACATCGTTCCAGGCGAGGTGCCATTGGGGACACGTGGAACCAGATACCACCTGAGGTCTCCGGTTCTGCAGCTGGGTGGAGGACGGAGGCCTGCATGCTACAGAGTCGGGCAGGATGAGGTGACGTCGGTGCTGGGGGAATAGGAAGGAAGGGGGCTGAGGGCTGGGAAGGTTCATGGAGGGGCAGGCCCCTGAGCCGAGCCTTGGAGGAGGAGCAGAATCTGATGGAATGAGGAAGCCTTGCTTCCAGTAGGAAATCTGAGTGTCCTTCCCCTACAAATATTATTATTATTATTATTATTTTTTTTTTGAGACAGGATCTCACCCTGTTTCCCAGGCTGGAATGGCACGATTATAGCTTACTGCAGCCTCAACCTCCAGGACTGAAGCAATCCTCCTGCCTTGGCCTTCCGAGTAGCTGGGACCACAGGTGCATGCCACCACACTTGGCTAAATTTTATTTTTTTGTAGAGATGGAATCTCATTATGCTGCCGAGGCTGGCTCAAACTCCTGGCCTCAAGCAATCCTCCTGTCTTGGCCTCCCAAAGTGCTGAGATAACAGGTATGAACCACCGCGCCCAGCCCCTGGTATCCCGACGCAGGACTCTGTCGCAAGGAACCTGGGAGGCCACATCAAGGTATGGAGGCCTCTTTCCAAATGCCTGGAAAGCTGGAAGATCCCTGAGGACAATGGTGACAGGAGAGGCGAGGACATACCCCAGAGAAGGCAGAGGTGGAAAGGCAGCCCAGGGCTGTGGAATCGGACCTGGAGGGAAAGGAGGAGCAGGGAGACACACAGGAGAGCCTGGGGACACAGATCTGTGGCAGGAGGTGAAGAGGAAGAGCTGGCGCAGAAGCACCCGAGAGGCCCACAGCCCATGAAGTGTTTTCAGGAGAGTTAAGACCCACCATGGAGTGGGCGCCACAGTTAAGCCTGGAGGTTTTGCAGCCAGGAGGGGTTCTGTCTGGGTTTCTTGCCTCCCACCCCAGCCTCCAAAGTGGGTTGACACCAGCTCTGAGCTGTCAGCTGCAGACACTTATCAGACACCGGGGCTGACTCACGGAGAACAGCTTCTTCTTCTTTTTTTTTTTGAAACAGATTCTCGCTCTGTTGCCCAGGCTGGAGTGCAGTGCGTGATCTCAGCTCACTGCAACCTCTGCCTCCCGGGTTCAAGTGATTCTCCTGCCTCAGTCTCCCAAGTAGCTGGGATTACAGGCATGCGCCACCACGCCCAGCTAATTTTTCTATTTTTAGTAGAGACGAGGTTTCCCCATGTTGGCCAGGCTGGTCTCGAACTCCTGACCTCAAGTGATCCACCTGCCTCGGCCTCCCAAAGTGCTGAGATTACAGGCATGAGCCAGCAGCCCAGCCTGAAAAAACGCTTCTTACACCAACAGAGTCAGCTTTCTCTGAACTTGGCTGTTTTTGTCAAGAGTTCGTTTAGACTTTCTTCTAGGATGAAAAATCATGTGTATTTGTTTTACATCTAAGTAAGGAGTAATATGGAGTCAGACCAATTCCATTCATTTGCCGTTTCCTGTAAGATCAGCACTCTGATGTCCCTGGTGCAGTCCTCCCTCGGATGACCAAGGGCCCTCAGGCACGTGCCCTGCGCCAGGACACCGCAGCGGCCGGGAAAGGCAATGTCCCCGCCCTTGCTTCTAATGTGGAAGACAGAAGATGGAGAACAGGCGGTGAGTCAGCAGGCTTATAAGGGACCCCGGGGGTATCCCCTGTCCCACGGAGTCACCGGGGTCAAGGTTCCCCCAATAGTCAACTCATCAAATGTCTTTTGAATAAAAAAGAAATTCAAAAACTTTGAAACATGACCCTAGTCTGAAACAGACTTCAAAGCAAGCAGTGCTCCAGGACTCACCATTTCTTCCGCTTGAACCTATGAGAAGCTGAGTCACTGTCGCCAACCCATTACCGTGGAAGTATCTGAGCCGTGAGTGAGCAGCGGTCCATATGCACCCCTTTCCCGTAGCTTGGGGAGTTCCACATTAGGACAAGAGGAGCGCCTCTGTTTACCGTCGTGGCTCACGCACGGACTTCTGTGCAAGCATTTGCCCCACACTCATTCATCGATGATGTGCTGGGCACTGTGTCGGGATGCGGGAGTGAATCGAAAGCAAACAGATGACTGCAACTCTACCCATGGGCTACCCATGCAGGTGCCTCATTCCAAGACGGACGAGGTCAGAGCTCCAGGTGGCAAGGCCTGAGCTGAGGCACAGGGAGGGAGGAAGCACGGTGGGACAGGGGTGGCAGGAGCAGACTGGGGCACAGGAGGAGCCCAGAGAGGTGGCCCTGGTGTTCCAGGGAGGTGAGCGAGGCAGGAGCACAGGCTAGGACCACATCCCCACGGCTTCCAGGGCAGGAGCTGGCTTGTCCTTCAGGCCACAGGGAGCCACTGAAGGACCCTGCAGCAGGGCCCTGACAGCATCAGCTCTGAGTTGGAGAAGGAACATTCTAGAGCTCTACAGTCTCACATTACAGAGGAGAAAGACTCTGCTCTGGTAGGGTCCGGAGTTGGGCCCTGGTCTCCTTATGCCAACTCAATGGTCCTTACGGTCCATTTCCTCTCGTCTCCAAACCACCACCAGTTAACACTTGGTTCTGTGCGAGAGCTGGAAGACAAGCCGAGGGAGGGCATGCCTCCAGGCAGCAGAGCCCACGGGAAAAGGGCTCAGAGCTCATCCCCATTCCTTTACAGAGGCTCTGTCACTCACCAACACAGCGATGGGCCTGGGGAGCCTGCAACCCTCATCCTCCTTGGGAAGATTAAGTAAAAGGACACAGTGCCGCCTGTAATAGGCATTCAGGAAGGGCTGCCAGCTCTCTCTTAAGTGAGTCATGAGACGAACAGGTTTCTTATTCAATTAACTGAGAGCTCATTTCTGTAACATTTTCTTTCCTTATGGAAAAGAGCCTTGTATTCTAAATAAATACATATCTTGAAAACAAGCTCTTGGGTCACAGCCCAAAAAAGGAAAAACACTAAATTCCACACTCCTCTTAGGGGAGACAGACCTACTGATCTCACCGATGAAATGTGACAAAAATATGAAGATCCGACCCCAGTGCCTCGTTACCAATTCCATCTCTTGTTGTTAACACTTGTGCAAAATTACACCTTAAAACCAGGACCGGTTTCTATCTGTAAGCGTTCCTGAATTGTCTGTGAGGGGCTCTTTACAGTGGTGTTAAATTTCACCAGCTTAACAACTCCAGGCTTCTGACAGACAGATCTGGGGCAGCCCAGGTCCCCGCAGTCAGAAGCGGCAGGTCTCAAAGGCCAACAAAACAGAGACACTCTGGAAGGGTTCCTGTTTCAGGTACCTTGCTGCCATTGAAGCTGCGTTCCTTTAAAACCTTCTGGAAAGTAAATTTCTGCAACCTTAATGCACTGCCTGTCTAAAGAACCCCTGTGGGAACTCCCTCTGAAAAACAAGGAAGCTTTTGTAACGTCAAGAATCACACCACATCAATCTGCTTTGTAATTTTCGTTACACCATTACCTGGCAGACACTGACACCATACCCGGCACTGGGCTCAGTGTTGTGTTAGAGGGATGGTTTTACTGAATCCTCAAAACAGGGTGGTGGCTTTTGCTCTTATGCACATTTTACAGATGAGGAAACTGAGATGTGGGAATTTGGGAAACTTCCCCCAAAGTGGCCCAGCCACCTGGCTCCGGAGTCCAAGCTCTTAACCTCTCCACTGCAGGGCAACTGCAAAAATCTGGCAACAAGTCTCCACGGCATTCTCCTGGTTGTTCTAGGAAGATGTGGAGTTTGCAGCACGGCATGGTGTCAAACAGCCACATGCACAGCAGTCCTGCAGGCACTACCTTGCAGCTGCCACCATGATCGTGGACAGAACGCTCCTCTTGGCCCCAGGTACTGACACCATGCCAGGCTAGCTACATTTCCCCAGTTTCCCTGAACCCCCAGGGCCTGTCTGTGTCTCCCCCACAGGGCAGGAAACCCCTTCCTCCAGAGGCTGATCTCCCCGCACGACCCCCCTCTCCCGTCTGCAGAGCAGCTCAGAACCAAAGGTGAAAGTATCTGAAAGCCAAGACTATAGCGTGTATACACATAGCAATTTGTTACTGTGAGAAACCATCTGTTTCTCGGTATTACAATCCTCAGAGGGCAAATTATAGCTAGCGTTCAACATAAAACATCAATTTAAACCATCAACTATTCATAATTTCAATTCTTTATTGGAAACCAAGGACATAAATGTCAGGGAATAAAGCAATATTTCTTTTATTAACTATTCCATTCATCTGGCTATTAAATAAAACCAGGGCCCCAATAAATGGCAGGAGTCCTTGCCTGAGAGCCACACCAAATAGCTCTATAATTCTCAGACGTTTTAAAACAACGAAAACTGCATTATTTGAAAAGTTAGAAACTTTAATATATAATAAAATTAAGATTAATGCGATCTTAATACCTTGCAAAACTGTTTGCCATGCCCTCGTATTCATATATTTCTTCTTGCGCGGTTTATTTTTAACAGTGCTCATTTTGTACTGAGAACGTGCTGTTTTTTACGACTGAGTTTTGCGAACGCCAGCCACCTCCAGCATTTTTCACTGACATCTAGTTTTCCCAGGCTGATGTTCCCTCCCGACTGCCCATCTGCGCTTGTGCCAGGAGGGATGCCATCATCCAAGCACAACCCAGGGTGTGGGTGGCCTTCAGAGCTCAGTCCTGCAGGACTTGCACCCAACAGCTCGCCTGAGAGTGCAGGGCAGGTTCTCACTGCAAGCACTTTTTTTTTTTTTTTTTTTTGCCGGAGAACAATCTGAGCGTTCAAAAATGAAATCTACGAAGCACGGAAGAGAATATTTACACCGTCCTTTGTGTACTAGGCTGTATATCGAGGTTTTTATCTACATTGTCCCACGACAATCTTACAGGGTGGGTACACTTTACAGATCATCAGGATGCAAGTTTGGAAAGGTGAGTCAGCCACTGGTCCCATCCATAGGAGGCACACCCATGTGTTCAACAATGAGGAAATAAAGAGAAATAAAACATGGGCCCATATTCAATGCCTGACAGTCTAATAGCCATGATGGACACTGACACACTTTGGACATCTGTCCCCTAACACACACACACACACACACACACACATATATATATGTGTGTGTGTATATATATATATATATATATATATATATATATATATATATTTTTTTTTTTTTGGGGGGGGACAGAGTCTTGCTCTGTCACCCAGGCTGGAGTGCAGTGGTGCAGTCTCAGCTCTGTCACCCAGGCTGTAGTGCAGTGGCACAATCTCAGCTCACTGTAACCTCTGCCTCCCGGGTTCAAGCGATTTTCCTGCCTCAGCCTCCTGAGTAACTGAGATTACAGGTACATGCCACCACACCCGGCTAGTGTCCCCTCCAAATTTCATGTTGAAATGTGATCCCCAGTGTTGGAGGTGGGGCCTGGTGGGAGGTGTTTGGGCCATGAGGGCAGATTGCTCATGAATGGCTTGGTGCCCACCTCCTGGTAATGAGTGAATTCTTGCTCTGAGTTCTTGTGAGATCTGGTTGTTTAAAAGAGTCTGGGACCTCCCCCTTCTCACTCTCTCTCTCCCCATGTGATATGTCAAGTCCTCTTTGCCTTCCATCATGACTGGAAGCTTCCTGAGGCCTCACCAGCAGCAGATGCTGGCGTCATGCTTCTTGTACAACCTGCAGAACCATGGGCCAAGTAAACCTCTTTTCTTCATAAATTACTCAGCCTCGGGTATTTCTTTATAGCAATGCAAATGAACTAACAGACTCACACATAATTGTTCACTGCAGTCAGTGGCCATGGGCCCAGGGCACCCCAGGGTGGGCACAGAGGAAAAAAACTGAACCACCTCATGCCACCGAGGGAGGAACCACTGGTGGGAGGATGGGAGGGGTGTTAGAGAAGTTTCCTGGGGCTGGAGACCACACCTGGGCTGAGGTTTATGCAAATAGCTGCTTTTGTCTTTCTTTTTCTAAGAGGTTGTCACCCAAAGAATAATTATTTTATGGAGACCAAATATAACAGCATTAAAGAAAGATCTTATATTCAAAACACGTATATGCCCATCCCACATCCCCAGCAGAACTTTTTCTTTTGGTCACACAGCCAATGACATAAACATCTCCGTCCTTCTGAACAGCACTGGTGATTTTACATTTTAGTGGCTGTATAATATTCCTTCCTGTTGAGGTGGGCCGTCAGGAACTGTTGGGTGAATGAATGAATGACTAGTGCTTTCCTTAGGCACAGGACGTGGACACTCACAAAGCGCTTAGACCCACACCTCTGTGGGTGTCCTGACACCACCCAGAAAGGGGATTGATTAAAACTGTCCCTGTTGGGGAAGGAGAACATCACACACCGGGGCTTGTCATGGGGTGGGGGGAGGGGGGAGGGATAGCATTAGGAGATATACCTAATGTAAATGACGAGTTAATGGGTGCAGCACACCAACATGGTACATATATACATATGTAACAAACCTGCACGTTGTGCACATGTATCCTAGAACTTAAAGTATAATAAAAAAAAAAAAGTCCCTGTTGGCTCACACCTGTAATCCCAGCACTTTGAGAGGCCGAGGCAGGCAGATCGTTTCAGGCCAGGAGTTCAAGACCAGCCTAACCAACATGGTGAAACCTCATCTCTGCTAAAAATACAAAAATTAGCCGGGCATGGTGGCCCGCATCTGTAATCCCAGCTACTCAGGAGGCTGAGGCATGAGAATCACCTAAGCCTGGGAGGCAGAGGTTGCAGTAAGCCAAGATCACAACACAGTACTCCAGCCTGGGCGACAGAGCAAGACTCCATCTCAAACAAAAAAGAAAAAAAGAAAAAAAAAAGAAATTTAAAAACTGTCCCTGTTTTGCAGGTGAGGAAATTCAGGAGACCCAGTGACTTGTCCTCCTGTCTCTTGCACTAATTCTAAAGCTGCTGCCCTAGCTCCTGGCCTTCCCTACCAGCTCATAACACCTTGGTGAGAAAAACGAGGCAGCAGGGCACACTCAACTTTTCTCACTTACAGTGGAAGATGTCAGCAGTCACAGCTATGGAGGAAGAGAAAGCTCTCAGGGGAAACTACTTTTTACTGCTATGTTATTGGTCAGGGCTGAGTCATACATTTCAGCCTGCAATGCAGGTAGAGGGAAACTCTAGCAATCAACAGGCAAGAAAATACCTGCCAAGATCGACTTGGACAACCTCATGGGTTTGGTTTTCTTTCTTCCCTTTTCTGCTTGCTTATTTTAGGCCATCTTGGTGAATACAGAAAGCAACAGTTAATTTTCCCTCCCACTTATGTGGCTGAGCGAAACCTCCCTGGTTTTATTAGAGTCAAGACTTGAAACCTGGCCAGGTGCGGTGGCTCACGCCTGTAATCCCAGCACTTTGGGAGGCCAAGGCGGCAGATCACTTGAGGTCAAGAGTTCAAAACCAGCCTGGCCAACATGGTGAAACCCCGTTTCTTCTAAAAATACAAACATTAGCTGGGCGTGGTGGTGCTTGCCTGTAATCCCAGCTACTCAGGAGACGGAGGCAGGAGAATCGCCTGAACCAGGGAGGCGGAGGTTGCAGAGCCGAGATCGCACTGCTGTACTCCAGCCTGGGCGACAGAGCGAGACTCCGTCTCAAAAAAAAAAAAAGACTTTAAACTTCAGAGCCTCTGACATTTGCATTCACGATTCAAACACCACTGGGGAATGCCTGGGATATCATTTTAATAAGCACATTATCTGTAAAAGAGAGTGGCTAAGACTCACATTGCCAGCCTGGGAATGGCTGGCCACTCTCTGTGGCCACCAATTGGCTATTCCACGTAGCCCAGGCCACACTGAGTGCCCTGAACTGAGATTTATCATTCACTCTACAAATAATTTCAGTACCTGCTACATGCCAGCCACTCTTTCATTCACAAAAAAGAAGACATGTTTTTGAATTCAGGCAACTTACATCCTCATGCGGCAAGACAAGTAAGAAACAAACACATACTATGTCAGGAGAGAGGAACTGTGGTAGAAAACGTCCTGCAAGGGAAAGTGAGGCGTGTGTATAGGTTGGGGGAGGAGGGGGCCGGGGACACAGTACTGGCTCAGGATTCACAAAACGGGGGGTATTCATGTCAGGACCTCTCCCTGTTCAGGAGCTATGCCAAAAGAGGCCTCTCCCTAGGTCATCTCCCTAGGCAAGCCTGATGTCCACAAATTCATTTTTCCATTTATTATTTTTGCAATTAATTGCAAAAACCACAATGACTTTTGCACCAAACTAAATATTGCCTGAAATTTCCAAAGACGCAGCATGTGACTCGGTAGCTAAAGGGGGAAAGAGCATCCCTAGAGTTAAGTTCCCAGGACATTGAACTCAAAGGCCAGATTCAGAGAGAGGAGTCAGGAAGCGCAGGTGCTGTGTTCGGGAGAAAGTCCCACGGGGTGTGGGGCACTGTGGCTTCCAGGTACATCCGTGCGGACGGCGGGCTGGTTCTCGGGGCCTTCAGGAGCCCTGTTCTTGGGCCGGGGGTCACAGAGTTAGGAGACGGCTGGCTGGCTGAACAGTTACAAGCTGGCCTAGAGCAGAAGAAGGTGGTTTATGTCACCGCACTCTCCCCTGAGTCAGAAGCGGGAGAGGTGTCTCCAGGGTCTGCCTGAGTGAGAACCAATCTGCCACCTACTTTGGATTGTGTCATTTTTCACTCAAGTGCCAGGTAGAGAACTGGTCAGATTCTTCAAAATGAAGATTTTTATTGTTTTAATTGGAAACAGGGTCTCCCTCTGTCGCCCAGGCTGGACTGCAGTGACACAATCACAGCTGACTGCAGCCTCGACCTCTCGGGTGGAGCAATCCTCCCACCTCAGCTTCCCCAGTAGCTGGGACCACAGGTGCATGCCACCATGCTCAGCTACTTTTTAAACATTTTTTTTGGAGAAACAGGGTCTTGCTATGTTGCCCAGGCTGGTCTCGAACTCCTGGGCTCAAGCAATCCTCCCACTTTGGCCTCCCAAAGTGCTGGGATTCCAGGTGTGAGCCCCCACACCCAGCCTGAAGGTTCTTCTTCTGTAAGATCCTGAGTAGTGGCATCACTGCCCTGGGGACCCTCTGTTGAGAATAATATTCATCACAACCTCCCTGGCCCAGAATGACACTGCAGGGCACTGCTCCCTAAGCCCGGTGCTGGCTGGGAGCCCTTCCAGAAACAGCTCAAGGGTAGGGCCCCGCTCTCCGCACTCTGTCACCCAGCCCTGGGCCTGTACTCATACTCACAGCGCTGGAAACAAAGTTCCTGAATAACAGACGAAGAAATAAAACACCCAGCCGGACACGGTGGCTCACGCCTGTAATCCCAGCACTTTGGGAGGCCAAGGCGGGTGGATCACCTAAGGTCAGGAGTTCGTGACCAGCCTGGCCTGTTAACATGGTAAAACCCTATCTCTATTAAAAATACAAAAATTAGCTGGGCATGGTGGTGGGCACCTGTAGTGCCAGCTACTCGGGAGGCTGAGGCATGAGAATTGCTTGAACTCAGGAGGTGGAGGTTGCAGTGAACCGACATTGTGCTACTACACTCCAGCCTGGATGACAGAGCAAGACTCCGTCTCAAAAAAAAAAGAAAAAAGAAAGAAAACACCTGAGCCCTGCCAAGGGGGAGCTGTCTTCCCCAAACCAACAAACCTCCTAAAGATAGCTGGGAGCCCATCCTACCAGCTCTGATTTGGGGCTGGTTTGTGAGTTACTGTTAGGAGTAAGTCCCTAGAAGTGATAAAAGATAAATCAACCCAACGTTTGATTTATAAGATATATCAGACTGATAACTAGTGACAATGTTAATCTAATTACAATTCAAAAATCTCATCACATCCATTTTCCATGCTATTTCATTAACTTGGGCTTTTGCCAACAATTCAACATTTTAAGCGTGACCGAATTCACGCTTCATTCCTTCGGTGTGGGTGATGACCTGCTCCAGGGTGAGGGTCTCAGAGCCCCTCTTCCACCCAGTGGCCCATATGCCGGCCCTAGGGAGCCCTTTTTCTAGCCCACAATCCTTTCCCAGCATCACAGTCTAGAGCACCTCCATCTCCTGGTACTCACCTCCTGGAAGGTTTTCTGAGTGGTCAACATGTTCCCGAGAGCCTACATCTGCACTGCTTGCCCAGGATTTCTGCTTCTTGCTCATTAAATGGACACTCTTGGCTTTAAAGGTAGGGCAGGCACCAGGCGGTTAACACCAGGCAGCGCCCCTCTGGCCCCAGTAATTTGTGACCACTGGTCATTATGCTTCCCACATAGAATCCAGCCAGCCCATCAACAGATGTTTACTGTGCACCTATGATACCCCGGGCTCTGTGCCTGGGGCTGGACGTACGCCGTGAAGTGGCCTGAAAGTGCTCTCATGGGAATGGCATTCTAGGAGGGAAAGGTAGACAGAGATGGAAATGACACACCAGGCAATGTGTGACAGGAAGAGCACAAGTAGCTGGAATTCCGGGTGAGCCAGGTGGAAGAAAGTGGAAGAAGCCACGGGGCGCAGAGGAGGAGGACAGAGGCTAGGCAGGTTCAAGGGTGAAGACCGGGGCTAGAGGGGCCGTGGCCCAGCCAGTGAGGGCGACGTGGGGTCACAGAATGTGGAAGGTTGGATGGAAAGACATCAGAGGGTCTAGCAGGGAGACGGAAAGATCTGAACTGCATTCGTTAGAAATAAAACTGAGGCCGCTGGGGAAAGAGAATGGACAGAAGGCAGCCAAGAACGGAAGTGGTGGTGGGGTGGCCATGACAGTGGCTTGGGCCAAGGTGACAGCGTGTAGCTGGGAGCCCAGGTGTATCCAGGAGGAAGGACGGGCTTGCTGGTGGACCAGGCATGTCGGGGGAGAGGAGGGGGAGCCCCAGGGCACACCTAGGTTTTAGCCTGAGCAG
The DNA here is from genome assembly GCF_000001405.40 of Homo sapiens. Taxonomy (NCBI): domain Eukaryota; kingdom Metazoa; phylum Chordata; class Mammalia; order Primates; family Hominidae; genus Homo; species Homo sapiens. The sequence goes on along the minus strand of NC_000007.14, from coordinate 101,978,352 downwards.
CCCCTGGGTGGTGACGCCATTTCCCGAGGTGACAGGGGGACTGGGATTGGTGGTGCAGGCGGTGTGTGTGGGAGGGGTCAACAGTTCTCTTTTGAAGCCATGTGAAGCCGGAGATGTCTTTCCAAGTAGAGATGTTGAATATTCAGTTGAATATTTGGGTTAATATAAATATAGACGCCATCCTTCTGTGGATGGTATTTTAAGCCACGAGAGTCGATGGGATCCCCTGAGGACAGGGTCTTGTAGATATCAAAGGGCAGGTCCCCGAGACTTATGTGCCCTCTAACCTCAGGTGCAGGGCGCGAGTGGGGACCCAGCAGAGTGATGGGCAAGGTGGGCCGAACCAGGAGAGCCTGTATCTCAGACAGGGGTCAGGGAAAAAAAAAACGTTTTAAGAAGGGGAAAGTGGTCTGCTCTCAAGAGCTCAGTCACATCTCATGCTTTACTTTTCAATAATTTTCACACATTCTGCTGACCCCCCATATATAACCATGCTTAAAAAGCAAGATTGCAGCTTGAAATTCCTAGTTCTTGGCTCCTGGAAGGAGGAATCTTTTTTATTTATTTATTATTATTATTTTTTGAGCAGAGTCTCACTCTGTCACCCAGGCTAGAGTGCAGTGGTGCAATCTCGACTCACTGCAGCCTCTGCCTCCTGGGTTCAAGCGATTCTCTCAAAGGAGAATCTTTTTATGTTATTTATTTATTTTGAGCCACGGTTTCACTCTGTTGCCCAGGCTGGAGTACAGTGGCACGATCATAGCTAACCTGCAGCCTCGATCTCTTGGGCTCAAACCATTCTCTTGCATCACCCTCCCAAATAGCTGGGACTACAGGTGTGCACCATCATGCCTGGCTAAAGTTTTGATTTTTTGGTAGAGATGGGGTCTTGCTACACTGTCCAGGCTGGGGAATCCTTTTATTTAAAAATAATGGTATTTCTTCAAAGAATAGCTTCAGCTTGGACCAAACCAATTTTCCAAGACTGAACAGAGACAAGGAGGAGTGGCAGCCAATGTAGGGAATATCTGGAGCTGGAAAAAGAGCAATGTTTTAAGTAAGGGCTGGAAGGAAGTTCCTTGTGGGTTGATACATCTTCGGGAGTGGAGAGATAAAAGCGGAAATGGAAATCAGGAAGGGTGCTGGGTGCAGTGGCTCACGCCTGTAATCCTAGCACTTTGGGAGGCCGAGGCGGGAGGATCACCTGAGGTCAGGAGTTCAAGACCAGCCTGGCCAACATGGTGAAGCCCCATCTCTACTAAATATACAAAAATTAGCCGGGTGTGGTGGTACACACCTGTAATCCCAGCTACTTGGGAGGCTGAGGCAGGAGAACTGCTTGAACCTGGGAGGTGGAGATTGCAGCAAGCTGAAATCATGCCACGACACTCCAGCCTGGGTAACAAGAACGAAACTACATCTCCAAAAAAAAAAAAAAAAAAAAAAAAAAAATCAGAAAGGGAAAAGACTATTCAAATTCTAGTTACAATATCAACTAAATGGAATAAAGTCAAATTTAAATCTCGGGAAGTTGGAGCTACTTTTGTTTCCCCTGAACTGTGACAGAGCAGGACAATTGTTCAAAGAGGCACATGGAGTTTTCACACCTCCAGTATAATGAGACGCACTGGATCCACCGATGTAAATTTAGAGTTTTTCAATATGTGCAATTATGCCACCATCCAAAATGCCAAAATGCTGCCACATTCACACTCGTCATCAGATCTTTAATGGCTGCCCAAAAAAGTTATGAGAAAGAGGAGAGTGGCTGATGGGAGAAACAGTCAATTACAGCTCTCTGGAAAGCCCTCAGGCTGCCACCTCTACAAGTTTTGGCTTTTAGGGGAAGTTCATTTCAAACTCCTGCCCCCGTCTGGGTTTTTCAATCAAAAATTCCTTATGCATATTTTTGGTTCACATTTCCCATCGCTCAAAAATGATTTTTAAAATTTTCTTTTATTCAGAATATTTAAAGGAATATTGCATTGGGAAAATGAGCTATCTGCCTGGGGGAAAAAACAGATCCCTTACACTACAATACCCTACACACAAAACTGTTGTCGATTCAAAAACCAAGTGAAACACTAGAAATCTACAATTACTATAAGAGAGTACAGAAATATAGTTTATGTTTACAAAATGAATGGTAGATTTGGGAAAAATTTCTACAACATGTAAGAGAGAAATAATTAATTCATACTGTGGTTTTTTGTTTGTTTTAGAGATGGGGTCTCTCTCTGTGCCCAGGTTGGAGTGCAGTGGTGTGATCTCGGCTCACTGCAATCTTCACCTCCCAGGTTCAAGTGATTCTCCCTGCCTCAGCCTCCCAAGTAGCTGGGATTACAGGCATCCATCACAACGCCTGGCTAATTTTAGTAGAGACGGGGTTTCACCATGTTGGCCAGGCTGGTCTGGAACTCCTGACCTCAGGTGATCCACCCACCTTGGCCTCCCAAAGTGCTGGGGTTACAGGCGTGAGCAGCTGTGCCCGGCCTTAATTCATGCTCTTTAAAAGTGAGTAAGATGACGACGAGGTAAAAGACCAACCAAAATAAACAAAGGATGTCAAAAGGTAATTTACACAGGAGATACCACTGGCTAACAAACACACGGAAAGACAGCCAACCTCACTGTTGATGGACGAGTTTTGAGTTTAAGGCAATATATATTTTTTGACCAGTGGAAAATTTATCACAATGCCATTATCCAGGGTTAGTGAGGTTTGGAGGAAGAGAACACTCCCATGCCTCACTGGTGAGGAGTGACAACTGAAACAGGCATTTTCTTTTTTCTTTTAGAGACGGGGTCTCGTTCTGTCACCCAGGTTGGAGTACATGACACAATCATAGCTCACTGCAGCCTCGAACTCCTGGGCTCAAGTGATCCTCCCACCTCAGCTTCCTGAGTAGCTGGGACTACAAGCACATGCCACCATGCCTAGCTGATTAAAAAAAAAAAAATTCATTTTTTGTAGAGATAAGGAGGTCTCACTATGTTGCCCAGGCTGGTCTCAAGCTCCTCCTGCCTTAGCCTCCCAAAGTGCTGAGATTACAGGCGTGAGCCTTTTCTTTTCTCTCTCTCTCTCTCTTTTTTTTTCCTTTTGAGACAGAGTCTTGCTCTGTTGCCCAGGCTGGAGTACAGTGGCACAATCGCGACTCACTGCAACCTCCATCTCTCGGGTTCAAGGGATTCTCCTGCCTCAGCCTCCTGAGCAGCTGAGATTACAGGCACCTCCCATCACGCCCGGCTAAGTTTTGTATTTTTAGTGGGGACGATGAGGTTTTGCCATGTTGGCCAGGCTGGTCTCGAACCCCTGACCTCAGTTGATCCACCCACCTCGGCCTCCCAAAGTGCTGGGATTAGAGGTATGAGCCACCACACCTGGCTGGTGTGGGCCATTTCTGATGCCAAATTGGCAAAGAACATGGACATCTTTCTGACCCAGCAAATCCCATTCCCAGACCTCCCTCTGCCCACATGCCATGACAGCCTCCTTCCCAAAAACACTCCTGAGATGCCTTCCTCGCTCTTGTCTTTTCCATGTGTTTATTATACATACAACGCACAAATAATTCCTACTATAAAATTTAAGAAAATAGAGATGACTAAGGAATGAATGAAAGCCCCTCACGCCAAGCTGCCCGCCCCCTTCCTCAGCTGATATCACCCCTGGCTGCGCTCTTCTCTGTGATACAAAAGGCACTTTTGGAGTGAATGATACTCTCTCCAGCTGAAAAGGCCAACCTGTAATATATCTACATCTATATTTAGATTATAGAATTAGATCCCAATTTAGCTGACTTTCATCTCATAGCCTGTGATGTTTCCCAGCGCTGCCTGAATTAGATTTCCTACTAGTTAGAATTTCCTGTAAGCTAGGATTAAAAGCTCTCGTTTCCTAGTTTCTCCTTTCTATCTTAATCATTATACAGCACTTCACATTTCATAAGAACTTTTGAAAATATTAACAGGTTATTTCGCTTCCTGATAATCTATGAAAGACACAGAGAGGATAAAACTAGAGTGTGTGGTTAAGATGAGAGTGTGCCACAGTAAGACTCCAGGATGGGGACATTTTCGGCTCTGTGGCCTCAGTCATGGTCAAGTCATTTGTTCTTTTTGGGTCTGATTCTTAATTTTTAAAATGAGAATTTGATACTTGGGAGGCTGAGGTGAGAGCATTACTTGAGCCCAGGGAGGTGGACGTTGCAGTGAGATTGTGCCACCGCACTCCAGCCTGGGTGACAGAGCCAGATTCTATCTCAAAAAAAAAAAAAAGAATCTGGGCCGGGCGCAGTGGTTCACGCCTGTAATCCTAACACTTTGGGAGGCTGAGGCGAGTGGATCACGAGGTCAGGAGTTCCAGACCAGCCTGGCCAACATAGTGAAACCCCGTCTCTACTAAAAATACAAAAAATTAGCCAGGCATGGTGGCGGACACCTGTAATCCCAGCTACTCGGGAGGCTGAGGTAGGAGAATCTCTTGAACCTGGGAGGTGGAGGTTGCCGTGAGCTGAGATCATGACACTGCACTCCAGCCCAGGCGACAGTGTGAGACTCCGTCTCAAAAAAAAAAAAAAAAGAAAAAGAAAAAGAAAAAGAATCTGGGGCAAGGTGGACAGTATAGAAAGTGCCTGTCCCATATGTTCTAATTGGGACATGTCACTTTCTTTCCCTCTTCTTTCAAAATTCACTCCAATTCAGGGGTCCAGGTGGGGGCTATTAAGGGTGCTGGTGGCATTTTCCATCTGGGTGCAGGGGACACGGGTGCATTCATTTGGCGCAAATTAATTGAATGCACGCAGTATGAAGTGTACATTTTTCTATATGCATAACTTTCCCTGTATGCATGACTTCAATTTAAATGGTCAAACCAAAAAGGTAAAACTTGCTCCCTCCAGTCTCCAATTCCCCTGTCAGCAGACTGTCCTGGCGTTGCACTGGCTTGCTGCGGAGGGCTGGGGGGCAGTGGTGGAAATGAGCCTCTCATTAAAAACACGTGCCTTCTGGGAGCCGTGATGAACGTGAGTGTGAGATGAGTCCAGCTGCGGTCAGAGCCATGGGATGTGGGTCACTGTGACCCAGTGGGTCACAGGTGCTGAGCAAGGAAGGGCTGGGAGGCTCAAGCAAAATCTACAAGAAAAATCTAAAGGGGCCCAGCCTCTGCCAGGAAAAGCAGGCCTGGCTCTGCTGAAACCCCAATCACGCTCTGATGGATACCGGTACCTGGGCAAGGATACCGTGGATGGACTTGATTCTTCTCTCCTGAAATGTACGAGAAGGTGCATGCGGGGATTTCGGCTGCCTGAAAAGCAACCCTCTAAAACCCGAGTGTCATTTTTAGAATCAAAAAGGAAGGAAGGCAGTGGCTGGCTGCACTGGTCAGTAACGAGATCTGGAGCTTTTCGCCTTAAGGTCACTGTTTAAAACTCTGCCCTGGGTCAGTGGTAACAGAAAGTCACGACTCCCTCACAGGCATCAGGGTGCAACTTTGAATGCCAAGAAGGGCTGTGTCTGTTGGTTACCACGCGGCGAGCTCCCGGGACACCTCCTGACACCTACTGACAGTGTCTCTTTCTCTAGGAGTGGCCTCTCTTCCCACCCACCATGGCGGCCTGGCCTGGAGGAGGAGGCATTGGGGCCGGAGTCCTTCCCCGACAGGGAGTCTCTCTCCACCTTGGCGGCTGAACTCCAGCACACGAATACACAGGAGGTGGTGAGGGCGCGTGAATACAGCAGAAAGGGCCACCAGCAGAGACAAAAAGGAGGAGCAAAGGGCAGATGTGTCCAGTGGTCAGGGCCCTCCCCAGGTCCTCCGTGCTCCTGGCCCTCTTCAAGGCTGTTTTCGATGCGGGATCCATGACACGCTTCTCTCTCCAACAGATCCCCGCAACCTAGCCAGGTCAGATGCCGTCCGAGGAGGCAAGAAAATTCTGATCGATCTCTTTGTCCCCGAACGGTATGTGTCTAAAAAGACTAAACCAACCAGATTTAAAAGAGGGACAGAGTTCATTCTCTGGTTCTAATGACCAGTACTTTACAAGCTACATTTACTCTGTATCTGAACTCAAAACATCAGTTGATCTGGCCCGGGCACGGTGGCTCACGCCTGTAATCCCAGCACTTTGGGAGGCGGAGGCAGGCGGATCACGATGTCAGGAGATCGAGACCATCCTGGCTAACACGGTGAAACCCCGTCTCTACTAAAAATACAAAAAATTAGCTGGGCGTGGTGGCAGGCGCCTGTAGTCCCAGCGTCTTGGGAGGCTGAGGCAGGAGAATGGCGTGAACCCGGGAGGCGGAGCTTGCAGTGAGCCAAGATAGCGCCACTGCAGTCCCACCTGGGCGAAAGAGCGAGACTCTGTCTCAAAATAAATAAATAAATAAAAATAAATCAGTATCTGAAATCACCCAACTCACAAATCCAGACAGAAGTTCCTCTACCTATAGAAAGAGGTGTATCCACTCCTAAAAATGGGCCTGTAATTCTCTTGTCTTCTTTTAGACCAATGTAATGCTGCTTCTATTAAGCTGTAAGATACCTGCCAGTGGCACTTGGTTGCCAGCAACTTGTAACCGGCAATGAAACCAAGTGACTTCTTTTTACGAGGATCTTTAGGGAGAATTTTTTTTGCCAACACCAGAGGAGCTGTGCTTTCCCTCAACACATGCTTTGTTTTGAGCTTGTGGACAGCGTAAGTCACATGACTTATCTGGTTGCCCTTTTTGCATTGGTTGCTGGGAAGCTCACAATCAAGTCTGTATCTCATCTTTACAAAGTACACAGGGCCTGGGGAACTTTGGATAGTTGTCTAATTCTGGTTCTAACTGCCTTTTCCTCTCACTTTATTTACAATTTATTTTTACAATAGAGATTGGGTCTCCCTATGTTGCCCAGGCTGACCTTGAACTCCTGGGCTCCAGTGATCCTCCTGCCTTGGTCTCCCAAAGTGCTGGGATTACAGGTGTGAGCCACCATGCCCAGCCTCCTCTCACTTTCTTTCCTCTTCGTTCCCACTCACTCCCAGTCTCATGCCTTGCTTGTCATACTGTGCTAACTGTAACTTTGCAAGCCATTGGAAATCATTCTTGGAAGTGAGCAGAACACAACCAGCCAGGAGGGCAGGAATGGCATAGTGTCAAGGGCATGGCTGTAGGGTCACACCGACCCAGACTCAATATGAGCTCAACCCTTGCTGGCAGCGCCATACTGGGCAGGCCAGTGACCTCTCTGAGCCTCAGTCTCCCCAGATGGAAAATGGGGAAAGTATCTTTTTCAGGACTGTTGTCAGGATTAAATTAGTAGATACATGTGAACGTGCTCAGCTCAGTGCCTTGTTCAAAGCAGGTGCCTAAGATAAGTCACTTCCCTTTCCTTCTGCTGCAGGCAAAACTGGCAGAGATCCCACCCAAAGTCCCCAGACAACCAGGATGCCTCTACACTCCAAGGAGGTCAGTTGATCCCAGGGTCAGTTCTGATTAGAAATGGGAAGGTTCAGCCGGGTGCAGGGGCTCACGCCTGTAATCCTAGCACTTTGGGAGGCTGAGGCAGGTGGGTCAGCTGAGGTCAGGAGTTCAAGGCCAGCCTGCCCCAAATGGTAAAACCCTGTCTCTACTAAAAAGACAAAAATCAGCCGGGTATGGTCGTACGCGCCTGTAATCCCAGCTACTCGAGGGGCTGAGGCAGGAGCAATGCCTGAACCTGGGAGGCCAAGGTTGCAGTGAGCCAAGATCGTACCACTGCACTCCAGCCTGGGCGACTGAATGGGACTCCTTTTCAAAAAAGAAAGAAAGAAAAGAAAGACATGGGAAGGTCTGGGATACTCAGCAGAGGCGTGGGGAGGTCATGTCCCACTCCTCGAGCTCAGGTTCTGCAATCCTGGGGTGTGTGCAAACCTCGGTGGGGTTTGGCCAGCCCCACATGAAGCCTGTATCAGACAGTTTGTCCTTTAGGAACTGCAGGTGGGAACAGCCCCCTCCAACGCACCCCCGGGCCAAGCTAAGGAAGGGTCAGGCGGCTCTGTCTCTAAAGCACCTGGGATGGAAGGACTCAAAGTCAAGGCCAGCCGTTTCTCTATGAAAGGTCTGTTGTGAATTTCCTACCGCAGGCTTCCTGGCCACCCATCACTCAGTGCCATTCTGGGCCACTCTCTGCAACTGTCAGTCAACGTTTGCTAAGAGAATAAAGCCTAATTTGAATTTTAACAAGCACAGCAATTAGAAAGGCCGATCTGCCACAGAGAGCATCTTATCACACATTTGAAACCCAAATACAAATATTTCAGATTATGCCCTGGGAGGGAATATCCATTTTCATTTATGACATGTAAACTACAAGAGTAACTTTTTTTTTTTTTTTTTTTTTTTTTTGGTGCTAACTCCGGCAAGAAGACAAGGATGGTTTCAGAATTGAAAAAGGAAGGAGAAAGGGGACCGTGGAATCCTGATACGCGTTGGGGCAAGAGTCAAGGGCAGAGAAAGTTACTTAATTATTACTGCAGATCAGGCGCCTCTTTTTTCAAGGTACATCTTCATTTCAATGGATACATTTAAGCAGGTTCCAGAAGTATACACTGCACACATTTTCAACTAAAGATAGAAACTATGCTTAAAAAGCTAATTTGGTATTTTTAGGAGTTTGGGTTTCTTTGATCTGGCCAAAAGAGGCTTAAAATTCAGCTTCAAACTATTTTGGTCTCTGCTTCACAACTCTGAAATAACTGCTACATCTTAAGTTCCCTTCGACCGCTAAAAAGTGTGGGATTCTATCAACCTGCACGCTGGAAAGGCTGAAAGTGCAGGGCTGACTTCACATCAGAATCTTCTCTTTCATGAGGATCCTGGCTTTGTCAAAGGAGGTGAATTTCAAAATGTATGATTTGGTCACTTTTGTTTGTGACAGGGTCAGACCTTCCTAATCCAAATTCAAGGTTTTTCTCTTTACAGTACAGGAAAATCTGGGTGCCTGCTTTTTTTTTTTTTTTTTTTTTTTTGCTGTTTTTTGTTTGTTTGTTTTTTGAGACAGGGTCTTGCTCTGTCACCCAGGATGGAGTGCAGTGGCACGATCTTGGCTCAATGCATCCTGGAACTCCCAGGCTCAAGCAATCCTCCCACCTCAGCCTCCTGGGTAGCTGAAAGTACAGGTGTGCGCCACCACGCTCAGCTAATTTTTTGCATTTTTTTTTTTTGTAGAGATGAGGTTTCACCATGTTGCCCAGGCTGGTCTCAAACTCCTGGCCTCAAGTGATCCTCCTGCTTTGGCCTCCCAAAGTGCTGGGGTTACAAGTGTGAGCCACTGCACCCATCCTAGGTGCCTGTTTGTTTAACTCTCAGTACAGGGAGGTTAATGACAGCAATCAGCTCATGGCGTTTCCAGTAACAGATCAGTATCTCTGTTACTCTCACCACTAGCCCACAGCTGGCCTGACCAGACCCTTTACCAATGTGGAGAGAGGAGTTCAGGGAGCCCCGTGTCCTGCCCAAGGCCACAGAGCTGATCAGCTGCTGAGCCGGGGTCACCTTGCAGAGTCATACCTCCACAGCACAGTCCTCTCCCTACCAACTCTCCCCTGTCTCCCACCCAGGCAGCAGGGATATCCTGGAGAAGGCTGAAGAATTCTAGGCTCTTCAGGCCGGGCATGGTGGCTCATGCCTATAATCCCAGCACTTTGGGAGGCCAAAATAGGTGGATCACTTGAGGCCAGGAGTTTGAGACCAGCCTGGCCAACGTGGGAAAATTCTGTCTCTACTAAAAATACAAAAATTAGCCAGGCACGGTGGTACGCGCCTGTAACCCCAGCTACTCAGGAGGCTAAGGCAGGAGAATCACTTGAACCTGGGAGACGGAGGCTGCGGTGAGCCAAGATCGCGCCACTGCACTCCAGCCTGGGCAACAGGGCGAGACCACGTCTCAAAAATAATAATTCTAGACTCTTCTGATGCCCCTACCCCATGTGGCTTGGGACTCCCAGACACTTTAACAAAAGCAGCAGCAAGTCTGCAGAGGGTTGTCCAGGGGACCCACCTGGACCCCAGACTCAACCTCTTGACTCTTGTATTTCAACATACTTTTGATATAGGAACTCCCTCCCACCCCACAATTAACTTTTATGTGAAGATTTTTTAAAAGACAAACGATACAACCCTAGTACCAGGTGCAGTGGTTCATGCCTGTAATCCTGGCATTTTGGGAGGCCAAGGTGGGAATATCACTTGAGCCTCGGAATTGGAGACCAGCCTGGGCAATGCAGGGAGACCTCCTCTGTACAAAAATTTTAACAAATATCCAGTTGTGGTGGTGTGTACCTATAGTCCCAGCTACTTGGGAGGCTGAGGCAGGGGGAGCTGCTTGAACCCAGGAGGTTGAGGCTGCAGGCAGCTACGATCACACTACTGCATTCCAGCCCGGGCAACACAGGGAGACCCTGTCTCAAAAAAACAAAGAAAAATCCCCAAACCAAAAACCCTAGAGCATTATGATTCCCCCAAGTAACAGCACCTGTGAACAGCATCACTACAAGGACCTTACAGACGTCCTGGCCCCACTACCTCATTTTACAGATGAGGACACAGACATGGGGAGAGGAAATTACTTGTCTAGGATAAATTCTGATTATATGTTTCTGGGGACCTTTTACATATCTTTTTAGAAAGTGTGGTGCACACAACATCCCTTCCTATAGTGCAGACCATTTCAAGAATGTGGTTTAATTAAACGATTCTGCTAACAGAATGTGTGTTTGCAGTTTTTCACCATTGACGCATACATGCCCGGGCTCAGCAAGATGAGTTTATTTCTTTAAAGCAGTTGCAGGCCATTATTTGCGAAAGAATTTGCATTCAATGAACATCACACAGACAAGAAGCTTTTAAAGGCTTCTGAAACCTGCAGTTTTGAATCTTTCCCACTGGAGAAGGAATCCAAATTGTCCGCGGCTACCAGATCTAGCGCGGTGTTTCGGAAGCTGTGAAGGCTTTATTAGTCTTTGAAAAAGACACTTGGCTAAGTCACAAGTGTGGCAAATGGAAAAAGATTTCTGGCCGGGCGCGGTGGCTCACGCCTGTAATCCCAGCACTTTGGGAGGCTGAGGCGGGTGGATAGCCTGAGGTCAGGAGTTCAAGACCAGCCTGGCCAACATGGTGAAACCCCATCTCTACTAAAAATACAAAAATTACCTGGGCATAAGTGGAGGGCACCTGTAATCCCAGCTACTCAGGAGGCTGAGGCAAGAGAATCATTCAAACCCGGGAGGTGGAGGTTGCAGTAAGCCGAGATTGCGCCACTAAACTCCAGCCTGGGCAACAGAGTGAGACTCCATCTCACCAAAATAAAATAAAATAAAATAAAATAAAAAAATTCCAAATGATCCCTCTGCAAAGGAACCAAGTTATGGGGCTGGGATGGATCTGTCAAATCCCTCTTGGATGGGGGTGTCCTGGAGCTAGGCCGGCTTGTTGCAGAAGCCCCCTGCTTGTTCTATCCAGACCACTTGAGAGCTTCCCTGGCAGGTCCGCTCGGCCCAGAGGATCCCCTAGGCTGTGCACCTGATCAGAAGGGAAGTCCCACGTGTATTTTGGTGAATATAGGGAGATACAGACCGTGGGTAACGACCCTCAAGAAGCACACACCTCTGATGTTCCCTGCAGGTGGCCCTCACCTGTCGGGGCACCTGGCCCCCTGCCATGCTCTTTCTATCCTTCCCTCCACATGACCATGGGACATCCGCCACCTAGGACATTCCCACCCATCTAAAGCTCCAGCAGCCTGCAATCACCAGGCCTTCCCACTTTCCCAGAAAAATCAGAGCTGGGGTTTTGTGCAAAATACCACCTTACTACGAAAATCTCAAAGACAAGCCCACATCAAGCAAACAGTAACACCAGTCCCCATGTGCCCATCATGCGCTTTCAATGAGTATCAACTCTCGGCCAGGCTTGTTTCATTTACTGTATTAATTGTTGCAAATCTCAGATATCAAGTCATTTGATCCAGAAATATCTCAGTGTGAATTCTCTAAAAGATAAGGATCCTTTAAAAAAAAAAAAAAAAGACAGTCAAAACACTATAATCCGGGGCCTGGGTGACATGCTGAAACACCACCTCTACAAAAAATACAAAAATTAGCCAGGCATGGTGACGCGCACCTGTAGTCCCAGCTACTTGGGAGGTTGGGGCAAGAGGATCAGCTGAGCCCGGGGAGGTTGAGGCTGCAGTGAGCCCTGATGGTGCCACTGCACTCCAGCCTGGGCAACAGAGTGAGACCCTGTCCCAAAACAAAACAAAACAAACACTATTATCACTTCACAAATAATAGCAATAACGCCTCAATATCATAAAATATCCAGAAACCCACTGTTCTAATTTCTCCAGTTGTTTCAGAAACACGTTTTCTGCTGGCTTGTTTCCAACTGTAATCTAAATGAGGTCCACACATTGCCTTTAGCTATCTCTTCAACCTCTTTCAATCTCCAAGTCATCTTTTTTTTTTTTTTTTTTTTTTTTTTGAGATGGAGTCACACACTGTTGCCCAGGCTGGACTGCAGTGGTGCGATCTCGGCTCACTGCAAGCTCTGCCTCCCGGGTTCACGCCATTCTCCTGCCTCAGCCTCCCGAGTAGCTGGGACTACAGGCGCCTGCCACCACGCCCCGCTAATTTTTTTTGTATTTTTAGTAGAGACAGGGTTTCACTGTGTTAGCCAGGATGGTCTCGATCTCCTGACCTCGTGATCCGCCCACCTCGGCCTCCCAAAGTGCTGGGATTACAGGCGTGAGCCACCGCGCCTGGCCAAGTCATCATTTTTTAACGCTGGCAACAAAGTCCATTTTTCTGGAGCAGTACCGCAGTCAACCCCACTGCAGGACAGGGCCAGGCCATATGCCCTGCTGACCCTGCCCTTCCCCCACCACCATGCCCTGACTGGGAACCAAGGATGGTGGAAGGAGAACAGGTCTGGGAGGGAGACGTCATGGGCACAAAGGCCAGCTCGACCTGGGAACCTCTTTGTGGCTTGTGAGTTTCGTCTGTGATACCCACTGCTTTGCACTAGGGAGGAACAAAGGAAGGAAGCCCCCTCCCCGCCGCACAGTGCCTCGCCCACACCAAGGACCTGATCAACGTCAGCTGGATTCATTAGATTATAGTCACAAACTGCAAAGCGGTGTTAGGGAAGAGGCACGACTCATATGTTGCTGTTCGAGGAAGCATAATTCCTCATGTGCAGCTCTGCCATTTCCGAGGAGGCTCAGGGGCAAGGCACGGGAATGACTTTTCTGTCTGGCAAGAAGTAGGTTCATGGTTGTCAGGCTTGTTATAGAACAAAAGGTGTCAAAATGAAGACCACGCCTTTAATCACCATTAAACCCTACTCATTCACTCGCTCACACACACTGGTGTTGGAAAGAGAAAAGTCTCATCTGCTGCTCCCTGGAAAGGAATCAGGCTCCTGGGATCAGGTGGAGATGAGATAAGAAGCCTGTTGCACAAGCCCTCGTATTTCATTGGAGGAATGAGATATCTGCCTCTGCTCTGGTCCAAATGCAACCATCCTCCAATTAAGGCCAGCGCCAGGCAGGGTGGACAGACAGGCTGACAGCTATGGTCCCTCGAAACTCTGAAACGATAATATTCTGGTTGCTGGGGACAGTCTGAAGGTGTTGAGGTTTGCTTGCTGGATGAGAAATCAGTGCAAAACCACCCAAATCACTGGAGCCAGTACTCCCAAAGCCTGTCCAATGGAGGCGTGGTTTCTAGAGCACAGGTGGGCATTTTGTGATCAAAAAAGAATGACGGCAAAAAAGAATGAGAAACTTGAAATAAAGCAAAGCTAGCTTCCTTTCCTCTTGACTTCTTAGAATCGGGATATATTCTGCTCATCATTATACCCTCAGGGCCGATAACATCAATAACAAGGACAGCAATAATGATAGCTAAAACATACAAAATTTGGTGACGAAACCTGGGCCCAAATTCCTGCTCAGTCATTTCTTTCACCTTTTTTTTGAGATGGAGTCTCGCTCTGTTGCCCAGGCTGGAGTGCACTGTCATGATCTCAGCTCACTGCAACCTCCGCCCCCCAGGTTCAAGCAATTCTCCTGCCTCAGCCTCCTGAGAAGCTGGGACTACAGGTGCTCACCACTGCGCCAGGCTAATTTTTGTATTTTTTAGTAGAGACGTGGTTTCACCATGTTGGCAAGGCTGGTCTCGAACTCCTAACCTCAGGTGATCCACCTGCCTCGGCCTCCCAAAGCACTGGGATTACAGGCATAAGCCACTGTGCCCGGTACCGCCTTGTCATTTCTTGATGTGCCTTTGACAAGAACACCCGATCTCCCGACCTCACAGGGTTGCCGAGAAGTTGAAGTGAAATTACATAGGTAAAGGGCCTGTTAAAATATTGGCTTGCCCAGGCACAGTGGCTCATGCCTGTAATCCCAACACTTTGGGAAGGTGAGGTGGGAGGATCACTTGAGGTAAGGAGTTCGCAACCAGCCTGGGCAACATAGTGAGATCCCATCTCTATAAAAAATTAAAAAGTTAGCCAGATGTCGTGGTACACACCTGTAGTCCCAGATAATCGGGAGGCTGAGGTGGGAGGATCACTTGAGCCCAAGAGCTGAGGCTGCAGTGAGCCATGATTACGCCACTGCACTCCAACCTGGACAACAGAGCAAGACCTGGTCTCTTAAAATATATATATATATACATAGGCTTGTGTTGACAGGTACTAAGTAATTGATTATTATTCTATTTTTAGATGAGGAAATGGGCTGTTGAGTGACTGGATCAGGCCAGAACTCAGCTCTGCCCTCTCAAATGCCCTCCAGCCTCCACTTCCCACCCTACTAACCAGCAGCAGTCACTTCTCTGCAGAGGAGAAGAGGTGAGAGTAGAGGAAGGCAGAGGCCTGGATCCGGGATGAACTGCTGGGTGCAGCCCGGGGACGGGAGCCACGCCTGCCTCATTCAACATCACATGCTGGAATCCAACTTTGGGCCACCGTGGTCGCGCATGGAATACAGGAGTGGACGGATGGGCACCTAACCCATGTGATTCCTCCCCCACCCAATGAGCAGAAAACATCAGTGAGGGGGAGGACAGGCGAGCCAAATACAGGGAGGACAGCACATTTTCTGGCACTGAAACCGGTGCTGGGGTCACTGAAGGATAGGCAGGGAATTTTCCTGCCAGGTGAGAGAAGGGGGTGGTTTAGAGAAAGGTGACAAGTGGCATCAGAGGTGGCATCAGCAGGGGGAACCAGGAGATGGCAAAAGCAGAAAAGCACAAGTTGTTTACTTTACAACTTGAAAGTAAATCCCTTGGCCAAACCAGAAAGCTGAGATTGGGCTGGGCACAGTGGCTCATGCCTGGAATCCCAGCACTTTGGGAGGAGGATCACTTGAGGCCAGGAGTTTGAGTCCAGCCTGGGCAACATGGCAAGACCCTGTCTCTACAAAAAATACAAAAATTGGCCTGGTGCAGTGGTGCACACCTGCAGTCCCAGCTACTCAGGAGGCTGAGGTGGGAGGATTGCTTGAGCCCAGGAGTTTGAGGCTGCAGTGAGCTATGATTGCACCACTGAACTCCAGCCTGGGTGACAGAGCAAGACCCTGTTTCAAAAAAAGGAAGAAAAAAGAAATCTGAGATTGATGAAATATGGTATGATGGCTATTGCTCAGAATGAATGGGAGGAGTTGAGGATTCTAAAAGCAAGGGAGAAATCCATTTCTCCCAGGAAGGAGTCTTCAGCTCGCTTCTATCATCCTTTCAGACACGACAGGGGCACACGTATCTGCATTTATATCTGCCTACAAACCAGAACCCATGGCAGACACGGGAAAGACAGAAGACAAGTAACAGTTCGTTATCTCCGGCCTCTATGGACCGCTAAAAACCTTCGCTAAATAGAAAGGTTAGATTTATACACAACAGCTTTAGTTGAAATCAAGATCAAATTTTCATTATCCAAAAACTTAAACGGAAGATCCCGAAAGGGTAGAGCGATTTGAGATTCCACGTAGGGCCAACTTGGTTTCATTCACACCGTTTCTGTGCAGTTAGCTCTGTGATTCCACGGACAGAGAGAAAACGGTGATTAAGGCAAGATGAATTGCAGGGAAATATTAAAAAGATGAAATCGATACATTTGTGTTTTCAGCTCTTCAGACATCTAATTCCCACCTGTATTTGGGGGGAAGGGATGTTCTGCTGTTACTGTTAGTTTATATTTTTCTGATCACAGAAGGAATATGTCATGGCAGAGTATGTTTAAAGCACAGAAAAACATAAAGAAATACGACTCCAAGTCCTGCTCCCTAAAGGAGACTTAATATTTTGGCATGGTTCCTTCCAGGGTTTTTTCTGCCTGTTCCTTTTGTAGTTGTAATAATACTGTATATATACTTCCTAAGTTGCTTTCTTTTTGCTTAAGCCTGACCCATGTACTACAAACTCTCTGCAATTTTTTTTTTTTTTTTTTTGAGATGGAGTCTCTCTCTGTTGCCCAGACTGGAGTGCAGTGGCACAATCTTGGCTCGATGCAACCTCCGCCTCCTGGGTTCAAGCCATCTTCCTGCCTCAGCCTCTGGAATAGCTGGGACTACAGGCACCTGCCACCACGCCTGATTTTTATATTTTTAGTAAAGACAAGGCTTCACTATGTTGGCCAGGCTAGTCCCGAACTCCTGACCTCAGGTGATCTGCCTGCTCGGCCTCCCAAAGTGCTGGGATTACAGGCTTGAGCCACCGCGCCTGGCCAAACCTAATTTTTAATGGTTGCATAACACTTCAAAGAATGGCTGCTCCTGGTTGATTTTTAAAATATACTGCTTTGTTCTATATTGATCAATATTGTGACTAAATGAACAAACAGATAATCACATGCCCTGCAACTCTCCATGTGGGAATGGAGTATGCAATGCTTCCCAAATGATTTTGGCAATTTATATTTGAACGTCAGCATCCTAACAATAATAACCAATATTTATAGCTGGTTTCGAGTGTATAGGGCATTTTCATGTGCACTGAGCTCGTTCAACCCTCACAGCAAACCCTGTGGAGATCTTATTACATTTACTTTACAGAGAAAGCCAAGGATTTGAGGTTAAGCAGTATTCCCATGATCACGCTGCCCAGGGACACACAGATGGAATCTCTCTCCCGGTGAGTGGCTCCCAAATCTATATCCAGGTGAATGCTACTCTCCTCATGGCCAGCCTGTCTCCTGGGCAGCTCTGCTTGGAGACTCCACTAGTATCTTACACTCTCCAAATGCCAATTTCATTCCTCCCCAAACTAGTCCTTTTTGGAATCTCATGGAGGGCACCACCCACCACAGCCCAAGCCAGAAGGCTAACTGCTCCCTCTCCTGCATCTCAACCTTCACCTTCTGCATCCAGCCATTCCCGGGGCTCCCTCTCCACAACACCAGGAGGCCTCGGTGAAGCTCACCTTCTAATCACAGGGCACTGGCACTGGAACTGGCAAAGCAGAAACATTTAATACACATTTGCTGAGAGGGAGGAAGCTCTTAAGACTCCACACACTCAGCTCTGTTAGGACAGCACACTGCCCTTCTGTGGAATCAAAGTTGTGACCAATGCACAGTAGGAAATAAACAATCTTTCATCTCACTGAATTATCTTTGCATGACCAGGCTCTTAAAGCTTATGATTAAAAAAGGTATATTAAGGCCTCTTTGAGAATTTGCTTTTTTGAGACGGGGTCTTGCTCTGTTGTCCAGGCTGGAGTGCAGTGGTGCCATCTCTGCTCACTGCAGCCTCAACCTCCCAGGCTCAATAGATTCTCCCACCTCAGCCTCCGAAGTAGCTGTATCTGGGATCACAAGTGTGTGCCACCATGCCCAGCTAATTTTTTCTTTTTGGGCAGAGATGGGGTCTTGTCATATTGCCCAGGCTGGTCTCAGACTCCTGAGCTCAAGTGATCCTCCCACCTCGGCCTCCTCAAGTGCTGGGCTTACAGGCGTGAGCCACTGCAACTGGCCCTCATTGAGAATTTTATCTGAAGCCAGGACTTCCATAGCATTCCTTGGTAAGAATAAGAATCTCACAATTAATCAGTCATCCGATTAATTGCCAATCCTCCTTTACACGTGAATCTCATTAGAGAAACCTGAAGCGGGCAAGACAAACACAACGAACCTTGCTGCAAAAGCTAAAACGACAGATTCCGGAGACATTTCGGAATGGTGGAATTGAAAGAAACATCAGGGCAAACACAGTTGGTCACTGGGTCGAGGATGAAAAAAGCACCGAACGGAGGCCGCCCCAACCAACCAGGCGCCGGAAAAAGCTCTCTCAATTTCATTTCATGGGACCGTGCGATTCTTACGCAACCGTGCCAATGTGAGGCATCTCGATGGCATTAAAGTCTTGTTAAAACAGCAAACCTGTTCTTTTCAAGAGAACAATGGTATTCTAAAAAGCCTTGCAAAATTAATCGAGTTATTACCCTATAAAGAGTCAAACATGTAACTATGTTTAAAAGGGTCCACAGGTTGTACCATGTCCAAACAGAGAATATGTACGCGGTGAAATCCTCCGCAGAACACCTTCCCATTAATTAGGCAGTGGAAACAGCAGCCTCCCCAAATCGAGCAGGAACAAACAGGAAAGAAAAGAATATACTTCTTGTGAGAGAGAGGGGAAAAAAAATACACGCAAACAAAGAAATTAAAGGCAATGCACTCCACCCTCGATAGAATCAGTTTCAACAGAAATAATGAGAGATCTTACGTGGGCTGCCATGATTTCTTCACGTTGCTCTAAAAGCGGAAGGCGGCTTTCCTGGTTGGCACCCGAAGAGGCAGAACACTGAGGACTCAGAGCCCAAAGAGAACCACCGCCTGCCTTAGGAGGGGAGTGCAGCCTGGTTTGCCATATAATGACGAGAAAAGCAAATCAGCTGGGAGGAAAGAAGGCAATTCTTCTTATCTGGGATAGGAGGGAGAGAAATAGGAAAACTTCCCAGGTGGTGAGTTAAGAAAAAAGGGGAGAGGAGTATTGGCAACTTGGGAATGAGGATGCCAGGTGAATACCCTTGTCTTAGCCACGCTCTCTTGCACACACACACACACACACACACACACACACACACACTGCACACACATAGAGCTAGGTAAGGAAAACATTCTGGGGGAAAAGTCTGTTTTTCCTGAATCTATAGGCACCATCCAATCATCCAGGCTGGGCGTGGTTGCTCACACCTGTAATCCTTTGGGAGGCCGAAGTGGGCGGATCACTTAAGCCCAGGAATTTGAGACCAGCTTAGGCAACACTGCCAGACCGTGTCTCTATAAAAAATTTAAAAATTAGCCAGACATGGTGGCTGGCATGAGCCTGTAGTCCTAGCTACTTAGGAGGGCTGAGGTGGGAGGATTGCTTAAGCCAGGGAGGTCGAGGCTGCAGTGAGCCACGACTGTACCACTGGAGTCCAGCTTGGGCGACAGGGCAATACTGTCTCTTAAAAAAAAAAAAAAAAAAAAAAAAAAAAGGGCATCATCTCCTTATGACAGAAAAGGAATTCTCTCTGTGTTTTCATGCTTCTGTGAAAACTTCAGGACTGGCCAGTGGCTCATGCCTGTAATCCCAGCACTTTGGGAGGCTGAAGTGGGCAGACTGCTTAAGCCCAGGAGTTTGAGACCAGCCTGGCCAACATGGTGAAACCCCGTCTCTACTGAAAATACAAAATTAGCCAGGCATGGTGGTGCGCACCTGTAATCTCAGCTACTTGAGGGGCCGAGGAAGAAGAATCACTTGAACCTGGGAGGTGGAGGGTGCAGTGAGCTGAGACTGTGTCACTGCACTCAAGTCTGAGCAACAGAGTGAGACTCCGCCTCAAAAAAAAAAAAAAAAAAAGAAAAGAAAATCTCAGGACCACCCTAGAGTCCTTTTGGGTTACTCCTCCCACTGAACCAAGTTCCATCTCCTAAATATTCTCACATCTTGCTGCTGCTGCTGCTGCTGCAGCTTCAGGCCGGGCCCACATCCTGGCTCCCAAGTAGGGCCCAGTTCCCACGACAGCCCCACTACGTCTCTCCTGAGCCCCAGGGTTCAGCACAGATGACATGACTTACACAGCACACACCAGATGTCAACGCTGTCATTTCTGTTACCTGTGTGCCCCTTCCCACCTTTGGGTTGGAGGTTCTAGAAGGAGGGGGGCTATTTTTACCCACCTAGCACTCTGCACACTTCACACGGAGTCTGGCACATGGCACGGTGGCAATATTTCCACTAATAACAGCAAGTATTCCAGAAACATGTTCCAGCAAAGGGCTCGCATACTTTTGTCTCATTTAATCACTTTAGCAGCTCCATGAGATGGGTACCAGAGATCCCCCATTACACGGGTAGGGACAAGGAAACTCAGATGACTGAATTACTTGCCCAGGGACTGCAGTGAGTAAACGGCAGCTGGGGTTCTGATCTGTGGGACTTCCAAACTCTCACACTTAACCACTGTTTCCGTTTAAAGATGTCTGGTGAATAAATTAATAAGTACGAAGAGTCTTTCAAAAAGACTCTATTTTGCAGACTTGGACATTTTCTTATTGTTTTCAAATTAAAAAGTAACATTCTCTTGTTTTTTTTAAATTATTTTATTTTTTAAGAGATGGAATCTCACTCTGTTGCCCAGGCTGGAGTGCAGTGGCGTGATCTCAGCTCACTGCAACCTCCACCTCCCAGGTTCAAATGATTCTCCTGCCTCAGCCTCCCTACTAGCTAGGACTACAGGCGCCTGCCACCACACCTGGCTATAATTTTTATTGTATTTTTAGTAGAGACGGTGTTTCACCAAGTTGGCCAGGCTGGTCTCGAACTCCTGACCTCAGGTGATCTGCCTGCCTCAGCCTCCCAAAGTGCTGGGATTACAGGCGTGAGCCACCGTTCCCTGCCTAAAAAAAAGTAACATTCTCTATGGAGAAAATCTGCAAAACACAGAAAAGCATAACAAAGAAAAAAGCCAATCTCACACCAACCAAAAATAATCCCTGCTAAGACTTAGAAAAAGGCCTGGAAGAATCCAGTGTCCTCATGTTCACCAGCCCTTGTGTGATGTGCAGGTATTTGCATCTATTGTGCTGTATGTCTATATATTCATCTTGTCTTTATATTTTTGAACATTTTTCTTTCATTAAACTAGGGTGATACAGCATCTTTAATTCTTACTTTAGGTGATATCATGATCTTTTCTGTGTTAGTAAATATTCTTGGGAAACAATATCAGTTACATAATAATTTGAATGAATGATTTTTAGCATCATTTAGCCGTTCCTCTATATTGGACACTAGCCTTGTTCCCTCCCACCTGTTTTTAGTATATCAATAACACTATAATTAACATTATTGTTCATAAAGCTTTGGCCACATTTCTTTTTTTCTGTTTGAGACAGGGTCTCACTGTGTCACCTAGGCTGGAATGCAGTGGTGTGATCACAGCCCACCACAACCTCGACCTCCCTGGCTCAAGCGATCCTCCCGCCTTGGCCTCCCAGATAGCTGGGACTACTGGTGCACACCACCATGCCCAGCAAACAATTTGTATTTTGTGTAGAGACAGGGTCTCGCTATGTTGCTCTGGCTGGTCTCAAACTCCCGCACTCAACCCGCACTGCCCGCTTCGGCCTCCCAAAGTGCTGGGATTATAGGCGTGAGCCACTGTGCCCAGGCGGCTTTAACTGTATTTCTAATTTTTTTCCTTGGGATAGATTTTCAAAAGTGGGATTGCTGGGTCAAAGGAATACAAAATTCTCAAGGTAACTGTTTTCAAAACAGTCTGAACAGACATTCCTATTATACCAGTTTACCCCTGAAGAAGTTTTCTGAAGGAAACGTTGACTCCATAATCCATCTGATTTTTTTTTTTAAACTGACCTGCTTCACCATCAAGTCATGAACTACATATCCTTTTATGAGTCAGATTACAATTTGGTGTATCTGGTGTCACATGCTAATAAGTTAGCTGGTGATAAATATAACCCATCTATCTCTGCAAAAGGCCGATCTCGGCACAGAAATGGAAATGATCTCAGCTTGGCATCCGGAGAGGCCGCTGTTTAACTGAGGCACTGCGATTCTCATTTCAAATGAGGGCGCGTGCATTTCATCCCTACCACTGTAAGATGCGGAGAGCCGGCCACGCTGAATGTTTTGTCCCCCAAAGCTGCCTCCTTTTTTTTTTTTTTTTTTTTTTTTTGAGACGTGGGCTCACTGCAAGCTCCACCTCCCGGGTTCACGCCATTCTCCTGCCTCAGCCTCCCGAGTAGCTGGGACTACAGGCATGTGCCACCTCACCCGGCTAATTTTTTGTATTTTTAGTAGAGACGGGGTTTCACCGTGTTAGCCAGGATGGTCTCATCCCCTGACCTCGTGATCCGCCCACCTTGGCCTCCCAAAGTGCTAGGATTACAGGCGTGAGCCACAGGGCCCAGCCTTTTTTTTTTAACCTTAGAAACAGGGCTTTGCAAGTATTCGATTGCTCAAGGGTAGAGAACAAAAGTTGTGACTCTTAGCCCTGTCCTCTATCTCCCTTAGAAAGGTGGCTACAAATCCCTAGGTCCAACCATTGGTGCCAATGTTCTCTTCAAGTTCCCTTTTCTGATTTCCCGTTAGTGGAGAGGGTCAGTGTAGAAGATCTTTAGCCCCGTAGCACCATCCTTGGGCCCAGTGACACAGCCAGCCAGAAAGACACAGTCTGGGACTTCTGAACTGGCTCAGGAAGGGTGCAAATTAGGAGAGGGGCCCCAGCTGTGCGTTCCCTGGGACACATGAGACTGCAGAAGTGGGGAAGTGGGTAGGTGCGGAGGTCAGGCATGCCTGCTATCAGAGCAGACAGACCTGGTGGAACTCCAGCTCGGTTACTCTCTGGCTGAATGGCTTGGGCTCAGTTCCCTCAAGTCTATAAAATGGGCATGATATTATTATGCCTCCTCATCAGGGAGATGTAAAGACTGAATGAGAGAATAAATGGGTAGAACTCAGCACAGTGAATACAAGCAGCAGGTGCTTGCTAATATCACTGAGAAGCAAGAAATGCCTTTTTCTTGATGCTCAGATCACCTGTGTCACAGCAATGGTCCAACAGGGAGAAGGGAATGGACCAGGGAGGAGGCGCAGAGCGGAACACAAATCATCCTCTCCCTTCCTTGAACCTGCATTTTTTTTTTTTTTGAGACTGAATCTGTCTCTGTCACCCACGCTGGAGTGCAGTGGCATGATCTCAGCTCACTGCAACCTCCGCCACCAGGGTTCAAGCAATTCTCCTGCCTCTCGAGTAGCTGGGATTACAGGTGTGCACCACCAGGCCCAGTTGATTTTTGCATTTTTAGTAGAGACAGGGTCTCACCATGTTGGCCAGGCTGGTCTCGAACTCCTGGCCTCAGGTGATCGCCTGCCTCGGCTTCCCAAAGTGCTGGGATTACACACATGAGCCACCATGCCTGGCCTGAACCTGTATTTCAACAGCTTCCAAATTCAAATATTTCTATGTAATGCATCCGATCCTCAGCCAGGCAAAGTGGAAGGAGATGGAGTTTGTCGTGGTTAAGCAACAGTCAGACTAGGTGTGTTCATGATGCCACCTGCGAGCAGCTGTGTGACCAGAGCAGTGATTCTGGAAGTTGGTCTAAGCCACAGCTTCCTCATCGCTACCATGGGCAATGGTGGCTGCACTGCAAATGCCAGCACACTGTAGAGAAGGGGTCTTGCTATGTTGCTCTGGCTGGTCTCAAACTCCTGCACTCAAGTGATCTGCCTGCCTCGGCCTCCCAAAGTGCTGGGATTATAGGCATGAGCCACTGTGCCCAGCCAGCTTTAACCATATTTCTACTTTTTTTCCTTGGGATTCTCCTTGGCAATACATACAGCTACAAAAGACGCTAGGCACCAAGCCACACAAATATTTACAACGAGGACGGGAATAATAGAATAATCACAGTGGCTAACATTTATTGAGCCCTTACTTTGGGTTACAATTTTATTTTGTTGAGACAGGGTCTCACTCTGTCACCCAGGCTGGAGTGCAGTGGCACCATCATAGCTCACTGCAGCCTTGAACTCCTGGGCTATCCCCCAACCTCAGCCTCCCAAGTAGCTGGGGCTACACGTGTGCACCACTGTACCTGGCTAATTTTCACATTTTGTCATAGAGATGGGCTCTTGTTATGTTGCCCAGGATGGTCATAAACTCCTGTCTCAGGCGTCTCAGACACATAAACTCGTGTCTCA
Source organism: Homo sapiens (assembly GCF_000001405.40). NCBI lineage: Eukaryota > Metazoa > Chordata > Mammalia > Primates > Hominidae > Homo > Homo sapiens. The sequence goes on along the minus strand of NC_000007.14, from coordinate 101,954,108 downwards.
GGTGATCCTCCCGTCTCAGCCTCCTGAGTAGCTGGGACTACAGGTGTGCACCACCATGCCTGGCTGACTTAAAAAAATTTTTTTTGTAGAGATGGGGGTCTTGCTGTGTTACCCAGACCAGAGGGTTACAATTTGAAAAGATACTGAATTTACTTGGTCTTCCAGAACCAAGAGCCTAAGACATACAGACATGCTGCCCATAAAGAGAATTAAAAGGCAAATGTAAAACTCCAAGCCATAATTTCAACATCACAACGTGAGAAGTGAACAAATGCTTTTTTTTTTTTTGTGGATTTCCCAGAAGAAAACCCTTAAAAGCAAAGGCTGTGCTTCCCCTTCAACCCTCCAGTCGTGAGACAAAACAGACATCGCCAGGCCCGACTGTGTCCTGGCACGGGCCTGAGGCTCTGCTGATCCAGCGCCTTATCTATATTTGGTACGTGAGGTAAAGCAAGAACATCTTATTCCTCCGCCTTTAATAAGCCAGCTTAAGACATCATTACTCACCACCAGAGTGAACTCATTTTGAAACTCTGAAGATGGAGAGGCCACTCTTCGCATTTCTTACTAAAAGAGAAGTGGCTCCTCTCCCCTGATTCCTACAACAAGAGCTGCCACAAATACCTTTAAAAAGGGGCAAGGTAAATTCGCTCACCAACTCACCGTGTAATTTCATCAACGAGAAGGCCGAACAACAACACATAGGGAAGTGTTTTTCTTCTAATAAGTACCTTTCTCCAAGAAGCCACCAATTATGAGGGCCGGGAATGTATTTAAATGCTTCTTACCGCACCAAGTGGAAGATCAGCCACTTTTTATTTATTACTTATTTGAAAGGGAGGGAGAATGAAGAGAATAAAATTTCCTTTTCCTTCTCTAACAAGATGAGTCACAATTTCCAAACATTAATCAATCAGTGAGTCACAGTTGGGGGAGAAGAGGAAATGGCTGGGAGGCCTTCCACTGCAAGCTCTTCCCAGAACCGCAGAGAATCAGGAACCCCAGCGGGCTGACTCGACTTCCCCAGTTCCCCTCACACGTGAGGAGCGGGCAGGGCGGCCAGAAGCCAGGCTTCCTGGCCTCTGAGATGCTCCGAAGGGGTCCCTCTGCTCCTTCATTTACGGAACACACACACATTTCGGAGGTGTCTATTTCATGTTGTAAACAGACGGATAAAATGTCCCGACAGAGCCCATGTCCTCCTGGGAAAGGCAGACAATCAAGTCAGTGACCGCAGAGGACACACACGTGCCCTGCGCACCTATGCACACCCAGTGCAGGGGTGGAAAAGGCAACGGGCAGAGGCAAGGGGTGGGGACCTCCCAACACACCTCTGGGACCAGGTAAGCCCCGAGCTGAGACCAGCATGGCGCAGTGGGGGAGAAGGTGGCGGCAGAAAAGGGAGTGAGCCACACAGGACCACATTTGTGCAAATGCGTGGGTGGGAGAAACAATGGCACGTTTGGAACCCACAGGTGGTTCGGCATCAGTACCAAGTCCACCAGATGAGGGAGGGACACTGGCCAGAGACCAGATGACAAAGGGCCACTGATCCCTGCGAATGAGGTCAACATGTTCTGAAAGGTACTCGGGGTTCCGTAGCAGGGTTCTCAGGCCTTAACCAGGAGAGCTGGTGAAGGCACAGGCGGCTGGGCCTGCCCGCGTATTTTCTGATTCAGCAGGTCTGGAGTAGACCCGAGAATCTGTACTTTTAATTTATTTATTACTGAAACAGGGTCTCGCTCTGTCACCCAGGCTGGAGTGCAGTGGCGCAATCACGGCTCACTGCAGCTCCAACCTTCCAGGTCTCAAGCAATCCTCAAGTCTACTGAGTAGCTGGGAATACAGGCATATGCTACCACGCCTAGCTAATTTTTGTATTTTTTTTTGTAGAGACGGGGTCTCGCTATGTTGCCCAGGCTGGTCTTGAACTCCTCAAACAATCCTTCCACCTTGGCCTCTCAAAGTATTGGGATTATAGGTGTGAGCCACTACGCCTGGTCAGAATCTGCAATTCTAACAAGTCCCCAGGTCCTGTGATGCTGCTGGCCTGGGCCACACCTTGACAGCCACTGCTCTACAGGACAGGAGTTCAAATGGGCCTGATTGTCTTTTTAGATAAAGTTTTATCGGCATACAGCCACGCCCACCATTTTTGTATTATCTATGGCTACTTTACAGCAGAGTTGAGTCTTTGTAACAGACCATATGGCCCTGCCGAAACCTACAGTATTTTACCATCTGGTTCTTTACAGTAAACAGTTTGCCAATCCCTGCTGTAGGCTAATGAGAATGGGTGATAAGAAAAATGCAGTGGCCCATACCTGTAATCCCAGCACTTCGGGAGGCCGATGCGGGCGGATCACAAGGTCAGGAGATTGAGACCATCCTGGCTAACACGGTGAAACCCTGTCTCTACTAAAAATAAAAAAAAATTAGCCAGGGTGTGGTGGCGGACGCCTGTAGTCCCAGCTACTCAGGAGGCTGAGGCAGGAGAATGGCATGAACCCTGGAGGCGGAGCTTGCAGTGAGCCGAGATCATGCCACTGCGCTCCAGCCTGGGCAACAGAGCGAGACTGTCTCCAGAAAAAAAAAAAAGGAAAAAGACTTGCCCAGTCAATGAGTTTTGAAGGGTACTGGGTTGATCGATGTTCAGCAGGTTTCTTTTCTGCAAGAGTTTATAGAGCCTTTAATAACTAGTGCAGTTATCCTGGGACTGGTGTTCCCAGACATGGCATTAGTCTACAGGATGCTGCTAAAGGAATTTTTTTTTTTTTTGAGACAGTGTCTCACCCTATCACCCAGGCTGGAGTGCGGTGGCATGATCTTGGCTCACTGCAACCTCTGCCACCCAGGCTCAAGAAATCCTCCCACCTCAGCCTCCCAAGTGGTTGGGACCACAGGCGTGCGCCACCACACCCGGCTTATTTTTTGTATTTTTAGTAGAGATGGTGTTTTGCTATGTTGCCCAGGCTGGTCTAGAACTTCAGGCCTCAAGTGATCTGCCCACATTGGCCTCCCAAAGTTCTGAGATCACAAGTTGAGCCACCGCACCAGCCTGCTAAAAGATTTTAACCAGCGAAGTTAATCAATCAGAATTGTATCTTGGAAAAACTCCTCCAGGGGGCAGATATACAGAAAGGGAATGAAACCAAAGGAAGTGAGACCAGTTAGGCAGTTGCTATGGTAACTAAGAAGTAAGGAGAGTGTGCACCAGGACAGGGGTTGGCCAAGTTTTACTGGAAAGGGTCAGATAGTAAATATTCTACATGGCTCACGCCTGTAATCCCAGCACTTTGGGAGGCAAGGCAGGAAGACTGCTTAGGTCTGGGATTTTTGAGACCAGCCTGGCCAACGTAGTGAGACCTCATCTCTATAAAAAAAGAAAAGAAAGAAGAAAAAAATATATTTTAAGTTTTGCAGGCCATATGGTCTCTGTTGCAACTACTCAACTCTGCTGCTGTAGCCCAGAAAAGCAGCCACAGACAATAGATAAACAAATGAGTATGGCTGAGTGCCAATAAAACTTTATTTATGGAGGTGAGTTATGGAATGATGAAAAAGTTCTGGAGATGGATGGCAGTGATGGCTTGCACAACACTGAATGTACCTAATTCCACTAAACTGTAGATTTCAAAATAACTAAAATGGTAAATTTTATGTTATGTGTATTTTACTACAATTTTTTTTTTAAAAAAACAACAAACTATGGGCAATGAAATTTGAATTTCATATAATTTTCTGGGTTTTTTTGGGAATTTCATATAATTTTCTTATATCATAAAATATAAGTCTTCTGGGCCGAGCGCAGTGGCTCACGCCTGTAATCCCAACACTTTGGGAGGCTGAGGCAGGCGGATCACCTGAGATCAGGAGTTCAGGACCAGCCTGACCAACAAGGTGAAACCTCGTCTCTACTAAAAATACAAAAATTAGCCGGGTGTGGTGGCGGGTGCCTGTAATCCCAGCTACTCGGGAGGCTGAGGCACGAGAACGCTTAAACCCAGGAGGCGGAGGTTACAGTGAGCTGAGATCGCGCCAGCATTGCACTCCAGCCTGATCGACAGGGTGAGACTCTGTCTCAAAGAAGCAGCTTGTACTGGAACTGTCGGATCCTGTGGGGTAATGAGCAATAATCAGCCCATCCGTGAGTGATGCCCAGGAGACACCAGCTCCTGAGAGTCAGGGGCAAGAACTCCTGCCTCCTTCACCTCTCAGAAGCCCCTCTCTCAGGGATTGGGCCTGAGGACCACTGTCTAGCAGAAAAAGCAAGCACTCGCTAGGCGTGGTGGCTCATGCCTGTAATCCCAGCACTTTGGGAGGCTGAGGTGGGTGGATTACCTGAGGTCAGGAGTTCAAAGACTGGCCTGGGCAACATGGCAAAACTCCATCTCTACTAAAAATACAAAAATTAGCTGGGCATGGTGATGTGTACCTATAATCCCAGCTACTTGAGAGGCTGAGGCACGAGAATCACTTGAACCCGGGAGGTGGAGGTTGCAGTGAGCCAATATCGTGCCACTACATTCCAGCCTGGGCGACAGAGTGAGACTCTGTCTCAAAGAAAAAAAAAGGAAGAAAAAGAAAAAAAAAAAAAGCAAGCACTCTGCCTTAGCCACAGTAAATGATCACAGTGAAATCCAATCAGAGATGAGGAGATTAAATAATGACCAATGTTTGGCTGGGTGCGGTGGCTTATACCTGTAATCCCGGCATTTTGGGAGGCCTAGGCGGGCGGATCACGAGGTCAGGAGATCGAGACTATCCTGGCTAACACGGTGAAACCCGTCTCTACTGAAAATACAAAAAATTAGCCAGGCGTGGTGGCGGGCGCCTGTAGTCCCAGCTACTCGGGAGGCTGAGGCAGGAGAATGGCGTGAACCCAGGAGGTGGAGCTTGCAGTGAGCTGAGATCGCACTACTGCACTCCAGCCTGGGCGACAGAGTGAGACTCTGTCTCAAAATAATAATAATAATAATAATGACCAATGTTTGTCAAACAATCTGTGGGAGAAGAACACACAACAGATTTTTACATTTCCAGCCCATTGTGGACTCAGATCTTTATAAAATAAAATTAAAATGCCACTTGGATGTCACCGTCACGTTAAATTGCTATGAACATTTCTAGACACCTACTCTGAACTTCTGTGCTTATCTTGTTGCAGACCAGTGATGGGCAGGGTCCTGGGCCATACTCAGACACACTTGCAGGGGCACAGTGGCCTGGCATGGTGCCTCCTGAGATTTCTCTGCTGAAAAGAGAACAAAATGTACAACCCAATCAGGCCAGCCAGTCCCAAGCTCAGGGACTCAGGCAGGTGATTCCTCAGGGACAGGACTCTGGAAAACGGAGGACCTCAATGGGGTGCTCCTGTACCAGGGCGGGTTGAAGGTCAGCAAATGTCAGAGAAGAGAGACTCTGTGATGCCCCCCCAGCAGAGCCACCAACCAGTAGCCCCTGGCTAATTTGGCTCTTACAACAAAGTAGGGCTTGAGGGGATCCAGATACAGAGGCCCAGACTCAAGGGAACTCGGAGACCCAGAGGGACAGAGACACTTCTCCATCTTTATAAAGAAATCAGACAACTTGAACACTGGAAATCTACAAAGCAGGCAACGTTCCAAGGCTAGCCCTTATTTTAAAGGCTCGACTTTATTATAAAATCCCGAGGCACCACGTTCCCCTATGAAAAGCCAATTCCTAAAGTGGATCTAGGGCACAGAGGGAATGGATTCTCACTCCATCAGAGCAGACAGTTTTCCGCTTAAGAGATGTAATTGCAAATCATTTTAGAAAACCCTCAACAACTAATTGTCGTGATAATGCCAAGTTTACGGAGCCCAAATAATGGACAAATATCACCACGTAATAGAATAGGACAAAAATGGTAATTTTACTATGGAAAGTTGGAACTTGCCATTTCAAATTAGCAGAAGCTGTGAAGTGGGCATTACTGACAATGTGAATATAGTAATTGGGGCTGATTTCTTGGCGCCTGGCCGAATCTGGCTGCCTGGCGTCCTGTGAGTTAATTATAGCTCTGTTAACAGAGCGGGGGCAGGGAACTCGGCAGTGACGCAGAGATAAAACTCAGCCCAGGTCTCTGCAGATGAGGCAAAATGTGAGTGTTTTGGCTGGAGATCAGGTGCAACAGAAATTAGTCCCAATTAATTCCGTAAGCAATAGTCCTCAGGAAATACAGACATGGATGGCTAGGGTCAACAATTCCTGGGAGCTGAACTTTCTGAAGGTGTCCTTGCTAACTCAAAATTGGTCTTCATCCTTTCCACATTGCCAGTGGAATGGCTAAGTAAGTCATTTTTGTCTACATCCAAAAATATTTCATTTACTGCTTTAAAAGATTCCTTTTAAAAAAATCCCAGGAATCAAAATATGTGATTCTGTCCAAATTAGCTCTCTCCACAGACTGAGACAATTATTTCACTGTGGGCTTTTTTGGAAATAAATCTTTCTTTTCTTTAATTTTAGAGACTGTATTGTGCACTTTGAGATTTAAGATGGAATTCATTTCATCCCCATGTCTAAGTTGTTGCCTGTCTAATACGTTGGCATGCCCCGTGCTGGGGCACCAGTTTCTTTAAGAAACTGATGAAGGTGTGTGCGGGATTAACTTATGGTTGGATATGGGGTAAATATTTAAGCTCGGGCTCGGGCCTAGAATAGTGAGGTGGTTTTTTCGGTTTTTGTTTTTTTGAGACGGAGTCTCGCTCTTGCTCAGGCTGGAGTGCAGTGGCATGATCACGGCTCACTGCAGCCTCGAGCTCCTGGGTGCAAGCAATCCTCCTGCCTCAGCCTCCCAAGTGGCTGAGACTACAGGCACATGTCACCACACTTGGCTAATTCTTTAATTTTTTGTCAAGACAGGGTCTCACTCACTATGTTGCCAAGGCCGGTCTCCCAACTCCTGGGCTCAAGGGATCCTCCCGCCTCAGCCTCCTAAAGTGCTGGGATTGCAAGTGTGAGCCACCACGCCTGGCCATTTTACAATGAAGTTACTCAAGTTTTAAATCTGTCATCAAAACATTTAAAATAAAAGTTCTTGGGACCTACTTCCACTCTCCCACCCAAATCGGCTTTGTCCCCTCCCAGCTGAAACCCTGGGTGACACATCCCGGGCCTTCTGTGGCTCCTCTCCCTGTGCACTGTTTTCTCACCGCCGAGCTCACGGAGAGACTGGTTCAGGGGTGCCACCTCCTTGGTCTCACTTAACATTGTCCCCTGAGCCCTCCCCAGCAGCAGCATGGGTTGAGCATCAATACTGGAGTCTGCTGAACTGAGTATGAATTCTCTGAGCAAGTCTATGCCTCCTGTGGCTTTCATCTTTTGTAAAATTAAGACAGCAAGGCCTACCTCTGATGACCACGGGGAACTCATCTGAAAGGCTTAGCAGTGAGTGATCTTTCCTTCCTCTGCCCCCCTCCACCAGCTCCTGGCCTCACTCCCCACCCCAAATCCAACCCAACATTTGCCAGCTGCAAGCTTCACCGCCACTGACCCTCCTGCTGGAAACCCTTCTCTCTTTTTTTTTTTTTTTTTTTTTGAGACGGAGTCTCGCTCTTGTCACACAGACTTGAGTGCAGTGGCACGATCCTGGCTCACTGCAACCTCCACCTCCCAGGTTCAAGTGATTCTCCTGCCTCAGCCTCCCAAGTAGCTGGAATTACAGACGCACACCACCACGCTGGGCTAATTTTTGTATTTTTAGTAGAGACAGGGTTTCACCACGTTGGCCAGGTTGGTCTCAAAATGAACTCCTGACCTCAGGTGATCCACATGCCTTGGCCTGCCAAAGTGCTGGGATTACAGGCGTGAGCCATCGAGCCCAGCAAACCCTTCTCTTCCTAAGCGCAATCTTCCCTCCTGCTGGAAACCCTTCTCTTCCTGACCCGGGTCCAGAGAAAGCTGCCGTCTGACCCACCTGTCGCTCCAAGACTGGTTTTGGTTCTTCTACTCTGTCTGTCCACACATCACACTAGAGAATGCCATCACCTCCTCAGTCCCTGACTGCTGGTTTCCTCTGGGGCCTTCCATCCTCCACCCTTCCAAATCCACAATTCTACCTTGACCTCTCTCCAGGTGCCGCCCTCCTGACCACAGAACCACTCATTGGAAGTGCATAGAACTCATTCTTTAAATAAGCAAATGCCTTGTCTTGACTCCTAAACCAAGCCCTGTGCCTCTGGTGTCCCCGGCCTTGGCTGACACAGCTAGAACTCTTCCTGCCACTCAGACCCATAGGTGGAGGGAAGGGAAGGTGATACAGGCTCATCAGAACCACGTTCCTGAGCACAGGAGGTTTGGGACAGCAGACACGTCTGGCTCCCTGAACCTAGCGGACTAGAACCCCCAACTCCTCCCTCTTGGCCTGCAGCCCTGCATGCAGAATCCTGTAGATCTTGTCCCTACTCCTCTTGCCATCCAGGTCTTCCCCACAGTCCCCACAGCCCTGACCAGGACCTGCATTGGGCTCTCAGGATGTCCCACTGGGTACTCAACTCTCGTTCAGAACATCAGCTCCACGAGGCCAGGACTATGACCTGCCTCCCCGGCACCTGGGACCGTGCCCAGCATAATGAGAACACTCGATACACAAGGCATTTCCATGAGTCCTTGTGCAACTGTAAATAACAATAAATTAACTCCCAGGTATAAATTACAAAATGCAACAGCGAGGAAATGTACTCGCAATTTAAATAAAAGTATTAGTGACTTTTAATTTATTTTATTTTCCTGGCAAGAAACTCTACATTCTGTGGAGTGGTTTCGGTGGTGGTGTGCTTTGTGTCTAAATGACAGTGGAGGTGTCGAAAGCAAGTGTATCCTGTAGCTGAAGGTGCAGAGCCGGAGCCTGCCTGGGTGGAAGCCGCTGCACACAGGCCCTCATGGCTCTGCCCTGAGGTCGCTCTGCCCTGTCTGCAAAAGACCTCATCCACCCCTGACTCCCAGCACGCACCTAGCACCTGCCCCGCAGGCTTGGTAACCAGTGGGTGACTGTGTGTGGAAGGAGTCCCAGAGTGGGCTTGGGAGGTGGGGTGGCACCCTGGGGTGACAATTTCTGGGAAAGTGCAATGCTGTCTTATTTTCTCACTCTCGTGGCATTTGGTGTTAACTCTGGGTATTGGAAGAAGCAGCTTCATCCCCAGGCTAAATTGCAACACCTTGCTTCAGAAAAGAGGCCCTCTCATTTCATACCAAGTGGGGTCAACCCGGCAGCAGTGATGTGCAACACGGCCTGCACCAGTGTGGCGACAGATGCAACCTGGGTGTGCCCACCTGCTCCCTGGGTGGCCCGAGGTGACCGCTGCAGGTCTGCAGCATCCTCCAGGAGGAAAAGCACCAACCAAGAGGCACAGGGTTTAAAAACAGAAACAGAATCACCCATGAACATACACGCCACAGCAGATGACATGGACTGCCCGGAGGAAACGACCCAGGGTGTCTTAGCAGGAGCTCAGTAGAAAAATTCCGGCTCCTGGGTTTGATTTGAGAAATGCACCAAAGTGTGACCTTAGGCAGATCCCCACTTCCCTCATCTGTGAAGTGAGAGGGGCAGAAGGCTGGATTGCTGGTGTCAACTGGTGGCTCACTGGCCACAAACAGTCACGGAGGAGCATGCGTCTCCCGCGTGAGCCAGGATGGTAACACCCAGTGCTTCCCCCAGACCTTGGTAGGTTTATGTCTTACTGCTGAGACTGCCAGAGCACAACGCTGATGTTGAATGCTAGCCTATAAATGTATCAACGCCTTCCTGGGGAAAAGCAGGAGCTCTGTTTCCATGGCACTGGGGTAGATGAACAGCTGGCAGTGCAGGACACCCCTCCTGCCCCTTCCCACTCCATCCTGCAGGACTCTTGGACACAACTACCCCCTGCAACCCAGCCCACTGCGCCCCTTTCTGGAAGGAGCCATCGGGAGGGGCTGGGACAGTCTCCCTGGGTGGGGACAGGGCTCCCTATGGATCCATTACCTGCTCTCAAGGCCTGAGTCACTCACACCTGGGATGGCTGAGCCCAGTCAACTGAAGAAAAAAACAAGTTTTCTTTCCCGAGTCACAGCACTAATAGAGGCTTTGGCAAGAACCTGTGTGCGGCTCAAGTTGTCTTTTTTTTTTTTTTTTTTTAATTTTTAAATAGAGACGCGGTCTCGCTATGTTGCCCAGGCTGGTCTCAAACTCCTGGGCTCAAGGCGATCCTCCCACCTCGGCCTCTGTAAGTGCTGGGATTACAAGTGTCAGCCATGGCACTCGGCCTAATTCACTTATTTAACGATATTTATGGAATGGCTAAGTGGCAGGTAGTGTGCTGGGTATACAGCAGAGACCAATATTAGATCACGAGCCTCCACAAGCCAAAAGGTGCCAACGAGACTCATCAATGCCCCCATTTTTTTTTTTTTAAATTTTAAAGCCCAAAACTCATCCTATTAGGGGACACTGTTCCCAACCTACTTGTGGCCGCATGAGTCCTCTGACTCTCGGTATGTAAGCCGGGCCCCTCTGCATCCTGCATATGATATGTGATACTGAAAAGAGCCCATTTGAGAGCGAACACCAAGACTGCACCAAAGACGCTGAAAGTAGCACTGACGTCAGCCGCCGCCGCGCGGGAGAGCATCTGCCAGCTCGGGGTTTTAGATGAATTGGTCATTTTTCTTGAACTCAACAGAAGCACTGACCAGAGGCCGGGTGCAGTGGCTCACACCTGTAATCCCAGAACTTTGGGAGGCCACGGCGGGTGGATCACTTGAGCTCAGGAGTTCAAGACCAACCTGGCCAACATGGTGAAAACCCGTCTCTACTAAAAATACAAAAATTAGCCAGGCATGGTGGCGGGCACCTGTAATCCCAGCTACTCAGGAGGCTGAAGCAGGAGAATCTCTTGCACCAGGGAGGTGGAGGTTGCAGTGAGCCAAGATTGCACCACAGCACTCCAGCCTGGGTGACAGAGCGAGACTCCATCTCAAAAACAGAAAAAGAAAAAGTAAAAAAAAAAAAAAAAAAAAAAAAAGCACTGACCAGGATGGAGAGGAAAGTTAACATCCACTAGGTACCTGTGTGCATGGCGCTAAGCCACAACGAACATGGGTGTGGTCTCAGTTATTAATCACAGCTGTTCTAGGAAGGACAGATTCCCGTCCAAGCTGAATGGAGGTGCAGAGAAGGGAACTGATCTCCCAGCAGCCGATGGAACCAAGATCTGGGCCCAGGTCCGTGTGCAGCGAAGCCCATGCTGCTCCCACCACCCCAGGCACCAAGAGCTGGGGCAAAGGCTTGGAGCAGTCGGTGGAGGAGCTCAAGCTGCCCTCTGACCCAGAGTCTGGGAGGCCTGCGGTGGCTCACGCCTGTGATCCCAGTACTTTGGGAGGTCGACGCAGGGGGATCACTTGAGCCCAGGAGTGGTTTGAGACCAGCCTGGGGCAACACAGGGAAACCCTGTCTCTACAAATAATTTAAAGATTCACCGGGTGTGGTGGCAGGCATCTGTGGTCTCAGCTGCTAGGGAGGCTGAGGTGGGAGGATCGCTGAAGCCCAGGAGGTTGAAGCTGCAGTGAGCTGAGACCACACCACTGCACTCCAGCCTGGGCGACAGAGAAAGACCCTGTCTCAAAATCAACAAAATTTCTTTCTTAGCCAGGTTTTTTGGTCTGGAGTAGACACTGCCTAAAATGGAGATTGCTTGAAATAATACTGAATACAAGGTAAGATCGAAAAGACACACCTGCAGAAACTGGGCCTCTTGGAATGAGAATTCAAAAAAGACTTTTGTTCCATTTCACTTATTCTGTGAAAGCAAACCTATGACCCAATGTGTCTGCATTACAGACAGGCCGTTTCCCTGCTGGGAATTTTCCTGTCCTGGCTATGATACTCCACCCTGTTAGCTTTGGGAGTAGTCTTTTTCTCTCTTAGTCATGCTTTTCTGGATGCCCTCCAACCCTCGAGCTAAACCTGCAGTACCCTAAAAAGGTAGGTGAACAGTGCTTCTAGGATTTAAGCATCTTTCTCCACCTACTGGAACAGAAGCTGGGTACATTTCTACCCCAACTCATGCAAAAACAGGCCTGGGAAACAGTGTGTACTGGCATGTTTGATAACGTTGCAGTTTCACCTCCAGCTGAAAGGACTTAAAAACAGGGACAGAGAGAGGGGGAGGGAGAGAGAGAAACCTTTCCCTTGTGTCTGTGGTTTTAACAACTTGTTCTGAGCAGTTTCTGCTCTTTTCAGGTTTGCAATCAAGGCTGGAATTTAGCAATGCAAAATGCCCCTCATAACCCGTGCGTCCAAAGGCTTTCGTGGGGTAATTAAAAACACAGAAATTCTTCAAAGAATGTATCTGTTGACTAGTTAATATCATAAAGCCTTCGCTCCTGATCTGTGATCCCAGCCTGAAACGAGGCAGACGGAGTTCAGGAATGCCCCGACGTGAAAACTACCAGATGAGGGAAGAGAGGGATCCAGTCTCAGAATGGGGCTATCAAACTGCAGCTGCCAAACCACAATCTCAGCAAGAAAAGGAGATCCAGTAGCTTGAGGAAATTAATTACAAGAAATAGATTCCATTGGCATCATTCATTTTTCCAAGACTTTGCTTGCAGCACAAAACAAAGATGTGAGCCCTTTCTTCCATTTTCGTCTTTAAGATTCTCCAGGAACAGTTAGGAAAGCCAGGTATCCCTCAGAGACAATCCAGCTACCGCTAAGCAGACCCGCAAAGGAGGTCTCCCCATGCAGCGATGAAAGCCACTCCTGTGCAAGTTTTGGGGAAACTGCAGGTTGATCCTGGCAATTCACTAACTTTCCCTTCAAACTATGGCAAAAAGTAGGCCAGAGAGAGACTCCAGCATGGCTTCTGGGTCTCCCCCAACCCGCCCTCCTCCCAGTGAGTTCCCCAGGCAGCCTGTCAGGTCCGAGGCTCCATCAGGGCTCAGGTTGACGGGAACAGGCTGCCCGGCTGGCTGCGTCCATGGAAACAAGCTCAGATTGGCGACAACATGCCCCAGCTTTAAAAGAGCCACCTGCCTCAAGGAAGCCCGGCTCCCTGCCCTTTTCCTTCTGACTTTGCAAATTTACAGTATGCAAATAAACTGTGAGGAGCTCTTCACTACAAGAGAAATGCAGAGCCCAGGGAAGGGGCTGGCCTCGCTAATGGATTGCTGTGTGACTCTGAGCAAGTCACGGACCCTCTCTGGGCTTGAAGAACTGACAGGATGGTCTACTGATTGCCAAGACAGCTGTGCCAGCATTCCCACTGTGAGGCATCCTTGGGCTAGACAGGGGTCTGGAATCCCTCAGTGAACACGGGCACCACAGCATTTAATCAATCAGCCAAGCAACAGATGTGGACTGATCAATAACGTGCCCAACCAAGGATCTGGGAGGGTGGAAGTGCTGGTCTTACCTCCCCAGAGCTTACAATCTAATAAGAAAACACATTCCCTTGCAAGCTAAAGGACAAAGGAATTAAATGACAATATAAGAACTAGAACAATAAGAAAACACACACACACATATATATATATACACATATATATCAACATAAGAAAATACTAGAAGAGCGTCTTTAATTCAGAGATCGAAGGGAGGAGGACAGCTCTGGCCTCCAGGCAGAGCTGCACCCAGAAGGAATAACCCCTTATTCCTTCCATCTCACCTGTGCGCGCCCGCAGGCACCACAGCCTACCCTCCATCACAGGCACCCCCAGCGGGGGTCAGGGACTTCATGGAGCGTGTCTCTGGGTGAGCTTCTCTTGCCAACAACACTTACATCTTTTTTCCACTGGTGACACCAGATTGGAAACTGACCAGCTTTGCGAACATTAAAACCTCCTCTTTTTTTTTTTTTTCCTGAGACAGGGTCTCCCTCCGTCACCCAGGCTGGAGTGCAGTGGTGCAATCAGAGCTCACTTCATTCTCAACCTCCCGGGCTCAAGCAATCCTCCTGCCTCAGCCTCCTAAGTAGCTGGGACCACAGGCTTACACCACCATGCCCGGCTTTTTTTTTTTTTTTAGATGGAGTCTCGCTCTATTGCCCAGGCTGGAGTGCAGCGGTGCAATCTCGGCTCACTGCAACCTCCACCTCCCGGGTTCAAGCAATTCTCTGCCTCAGGCTCTCAAGTAGCTGGGATTACAGGTTCCCGCTACCATGCCTGGCTAATTTTTGTCTTTTTAGTAGAGATGGGGTTTCACCATGTCGGTCAGGCTGGTCTTGAACTCCTGACCTCCTGATCCACCCACCTTGGCCTCCCAAAGTGTGAGCTACCGCGCTCAGCCCCAATTTTTGTATTTTTTATAGACAGGGGTCTCACTATGTTGCCCCAGCTGGTCTCAAACTCCCAGGCTCAAGTGATCCTCCTGCCTCAGCCTCCCAAGCAGCTGGGACCACAGGCAACCACCACCAATAATTTTCGTATTTTTTTTATAGAGGTGGGGTTTCACTATGTTGCCCAGGCCAGTCTCAAACTCCTGGGCTCAAGCGATCCACCCGCCTCAGCCTCCCAAAGTACTGGGATTACAGGCATGAACCACTGCACCTGGCCCAAAACCTCCTTCTTTAAAAAAAGACTGCTCACATTCAGGATGTGAAACTGCAGAGTGGCTGTACAAGATCGTTCAGACGAGGGTTAGGTGTGGGGCTGTGCTTGGCTTTAAATGGCCCAGGGGACTGGATGTTGGACCTGTGACATAAGCACTGCCTGACCAGCCTTAAAAATCCCTCCATGCTGTGGTACATCCATACAATGGAATACTACTTGGCACTGACAGCGGCCACACTGTTGAACTGCAAATCCACTGCGCTAAGTGAAAGAAGCCAGACTCGAAGACTGCATATGGTATGATCCCTCTATGTAACACTCCAGAAAATACAAAATGATGCCAGCAAAAAACAGATAAGTGGTTACCATGGGCTGAGGGTGGGGGAAGGGACTGACTACATAGAGGCCTGGGAGAATAGGGGGGACAGTGGAACCATCATATATATATATATATATATATATATATATATATATATATATATATATATATATATGTATTTTTTTTTTTTTTGAGACAGAGTTTTGGTCTTGTTGCCCAGGCTGGACTGCAGTGGCACGATCTTGGCTCACTGCAACCTCCATCTCCCAGGTTCAAGCGATTCTCCTGCCTCAGCCTCCCAAGTAGCTGGGATTACAGACATACACCACCATGCCCAGCTAATTTTTGTGTTTTTAGTAGAGGCGAAGTATCACCATGTTGGCCAGGTTGGTCTCAAACTCCTGACCTCAAGTGATCTGCCCGCCTCAGCCTCCCAAAGTGCTGGGATTACCGGCATGAGCCATCACGCTCGGCTAATTTTTGTGTTTTGAGTAGAGACAGGGTTTTGCCATGTTGGCCAGGCTGGTCTCGAATTCCTGACCTCGGGTGATCTGCCAACCTCGGCCTCCCAAAGTGCTGGGATTACAGGTGTGAGCCACTGCACCCAGCCTGTCCTCTATCTTAATAGTGGTGGTGGCACATGACTATATGTGGTTGTCAAAATTCATCAAAGTGGACACCTGAAAAGGGTGAATCTTACTGAGTGTAAATCTGACTTTTTAAAAAAATCTCTTCCCCCAGTGAAGAACTGATTGACACCAATATCTCCAGGCCAGTAGATGAGGATGAAATGTAACCAAAAACAGGCTCCAAACATGGTGGATATCGGCCAGGCACAGTGGCTCATGCCTGTAACTACAGCACTTTGGGAGGCTGACACAGGAAGATCATTTGAGCCCCAGAGTTTGAGAGACCAACCTGGGCAACATAGCGAGACCCTGTCTCTGCAAAAAATTAGCTGGGTGTGGTGGCACACGCCTGTGGTCCCAGCTACCCAGCAGACTGAGATGGAAGGATCGCTTGAACCTGGGAGGTTGAGGCTGCAGTGAGCTGTGATCACGTCACTGCATTCCAGCCTGAGTGACAGAGTGAGACTGTCTCAAAAAAAAAAAAAAATACACACACCAAAAAACATGGATATCAACCTTTTGTACTGACTGATATCATTAAGGCCTCATAAGCAGCTAGATCCAAATATTTACTGTCATCTGTAATTCAATTATTCACCCTTCTCCTGGCTTTTCTGTGAGGAGGGAAGGGCAAGAGTGTGGGTAGAACAGATGAGTTAACAGAATCTTCTCAACGTTAAAGACTGTCTACTTTGATTTATAAAAATCTTTGGTGTCTGCTGAACTCACATTTGCTAGAAAATGCTGGTGGTGAAGTGAGTAAGCAGAAATCTACTAATATTTATATCATTAGGCTGGGCGCGGTGGCTCTCGCCTGTAATCCCAGCACTTTGGGAGGCCAAGGCGGGTGGATCACTTGAGCTCAGGAGTTCGAGACCACCCTGGCCAACATGATGAAACCCCGTCTCTACTAAAAATACAAAAAAATTAGCTGGGCATGGTGGCACGTACCTGTAGTCCCAGCTACTCGGGAGGCTAAGGCAGGAGAATTGCTTGAACCTGGGAGGCAGGGGTTGCAATGGGCCAAGATCGTGCTACTGCACTGCAGCCTGGGAGACAGAGCGAGACTCTGTCTCAATTAAAAAAAAAAAAAAAGACTTGATTTTGATTTATCCCTTTTCCCTCATTCTGAAGGCCCCCCACAACCTCCTCACACCCCACTTCCAGGGACTCGGACATGTGAATAACCCTGGCCTATGCCAAAGCTTGGGCGATCTTTGCTCAGAAATAATCCTATGGCCACCAGGTTCTGCCTCTATCTCTGTCATGTGCTATGATGACCTGGAGATGGCTTTTAGGTCTAAACATTGATGCTAAGATTCATTTCCACCACCTGAGCCCCTCCAGGAGCTAATGTCTTTCACAGGGGGAGGAGCTGGGGGCTGGGGTGCTGACATCCCGGTACAGGGTCTTCAGGGGGCCACGCAGCACACACTCCCCAGGCATCTACTTTGTGACAGAGACAGAGACATGCAAACACAGTCCCGGCAGGGGACACATCCTCAATCAGCATCTGGAGGAAGGGACACAGAGGGAGGCCATGGGAGGGGGCCCAAACTGGCCTCAGAGTAAGCATTCCAGGAGCTGGTTCTAAATGCAAGTCCCCAGGCCCTTCCCCGGTGACTGTGTCTCACTAAGTCTAGGGTGGGGCCCAGGGACAGTATTTTTAACAAGCATACACACACACCCAGGAGGTTTTTATGATTAGCCATGTTAGGAAAACGCTGACACGGGGGAGCTCCTGCGTGCCTGGAAACGAAGCTGCTTGCTTAACCATTATGGTTCTGAGAGCTGGGAACCCTGATTGCATGATCTCCACCTAGCCGGTCCCACGTGGCCAGGGCAGAAAGCAAAACCCCAAAGCGAGGAGGCCGGTGGGGATGGCAGGGCTGGCGCCTGGGCAGTTTCCTCCGCTGGCCCCCTGCCACCCTCCGCACAAACACAGCCCGGCTGCCGCCTCCAATCCAGACCACCCACGGCAGCCGGGCATGATGGTCGCCGGGCTTTCCTCTCTTCTGTCCCCTGCACTTAGCCCCCGCTCACCCTTGAAGGATAACCTTTTCTCCTATGTATCCGGGAAAACTCCCAGGGGATCCTGCCCTAACTTCCTCCCCGGGGTTCCCATCTCCCTGAGTTCCCTCCTGTCTGCTCGCCAGCCCGAGTGCCGGATCCCATCTCCTCCCAAACTCTGTGACCTTCATCTCGCTCTGGAAATGACGTTCGTGCCTCTCTTGGAATGCTCTCTTTCTCCCCACCCCCGTCACACCTGAAAACAAGCTTGGGGCTCCCCCTTGTCAGGATGGGGAAGTCCATACCTTAACCTGGTCCATCTACAGATGTACCCGCCCTCCTCCCTCCTCCCTCCTCCCATCCTTCTCAGCCAAGTGCTTTCAAAACCCACTGTCTCTATGCCCCAGTTCCACAGTCAGAATCCTCCACCTGCATCTCCTTGACAGTGTTTTCCTGCCCTGTAGTTTAACATCTGTCTCCACTAGAATGTAAGCACCGCGAGGGCAGGGACCTTGGCCTTCTGCTCACTGCTGCAGCCTCAGGGCCTGCAACTGCCTGGCACACAGCTGGTCCACAACAGATCGTTGTTGAATAAGACATAACCACCGCTTCCTTGTTTTAAGAGCGTGTTTCTCGCAGAGTCCTCTAAAACAGTGTCTCAGCTGTTCCGGCTCCACCTCTGTCCCCAAACGTCCATCTGCTGCCAGGCTGTAGAGTGTAACTTCGGCTGGAAATGTGAGCCTGGCCATGTGACTCCCAAGTGTGCACCCTCTGACACTTGGCAAAGCCTCAGACAGAGTGAAGTCCAAGCTTCACTTGGCCTGAGCCCCAGCATCGTGTGCTGTCCCCAACACCACCCCAGCCTCCTCACGCCTCGTGACAGCCCCACACCATTGCCACACCAGGTCCGGGTTCCTACACATCCCCAGAGCCCTGTCTCTAGCTCCAAACATCTGCTGGGTGCTGCCCTCCCAAGAGTTTCATTTACTACTTTAGAACAAAATGGTGGATACCATGCCAACCTCCCCAGCTGGGCCAGGAGTGCCCGGAGAAGTGCAGGGCACCCACAGCAGATGTGCCAGCATGTCCGATGGCAGGACACAGAGCTGGGAAAGCGTGGACGGAGCCAGGCCTTGTCCATTCATGAATGGCAGTCTCTTTCACTCACGTCCGTGTGAAAAGACCACCAAACAGGCTTTGTGTGAGCAATAAAGCTGTTTATTTCACCTGGGTGCAGGTGGGCTGAGTCTGAAAAGAGAGTCAGCGAAGGGAGAAAGGGGTGGGGCCGTTTTATAGGATTTGGGTAGGTAAAGGAAAATTACAGTCAAAAGGGGTTTGTTCTCTGGCGGGCAGAGTGGGGGTCACAAGGTGCTCAGTAGGGGAGCTTTTGAGCCAGGATGAGCCAGGAGAAGGAATTTCACAAGATAATGTCATCAGTTAAGGCAGGAACAGGCCATTTTCACTTCTTTTGTGGTGGAATGTCATCAGTAAAGGCAGGAACCGGCCATCTGGATGTGTACGTGCAGGTCACAGGGGATATGATGGCTTAGCTTGGGCTCAGAGGCCTGACAGTCTCCAAGTCGGATCTGTCCCAGCAGCTGTCTCACAGATCCCCTCCATCCACTCCTATACGTGGACCCTTCCTCCTCCTGCTCCTCACCCCGGGCAATGCTGTTTTCACCTCTACTCCTAGAGAACACGGCAAACCCAACTGTACTTTGGCCAGAACAGACTTGAAAAAAACCCGAAAGTTTACTTTGGAAGGGAGTTAATAATAAAGGCTGGAAGGCATCTTCAAGGCGATAAACACCTCCTTTTTCCCTTCTCCCAGCCTTGGCATGGCACTGTCCCCGGGGGAAGCGCTTTCTGGGACACAAAACTGAAAGCCTCATGACAAGAGCCAGGGAGCCCAGAAACTGGGAAGGAGGAAGAGGACAGGACGTGGACGGAGCGGGCAACTTCATGAAGAGCCATAAAATGTGTTTCTCGTCTACCAAAAGCTGCAAAACCCTTTCTTTAACTCATGAGAGGCTCGGGGCTGAGAGCTGGGCTTTTAAAAGTCAGATTCGTGAAACCCTGAACATTGCCAAGAAGAAGGAACAATAATTCCTCCACCTCAAAGTTTCTAGAAACAAACACAGAAATAGAAGAGGCACTTCTTTGAATCCAAACTAAATTATTCTGTTAAGTATTGAAGGTTGTCAGAGAGATACAACCAGAATAAACATCTCTGATAATGGGAGCGCATTATAGTGAAAAGGTGGCAACTTTTTAAAACATCGACTATGCTATCTCTAAAATAAACAAAAAGAAGACAAAATTCTCATGACTTTTAGGCTCTAATTTAGGTAGAAAGGAAGTCAGAGAGAGATTTTCAAATTTATACTGTACAACTTGACCTTTAGATCATCGTTACAGTGTGATGAATTCTGAATTTCTGTTCACAAACCTCCTGACAACTGTATTAAGGTTCCATAGGATAGAAACAACTTCTCTTCTGATTAACCACAGGGATTTCAACAGGCTGTGATACACATTTAACATGGAAAACATTATTAGCCAGCTGATGGGGGTGAGGGGAAGAGAAAATGATCAAACAAAGCAAACTTCCTCAGCACGCCATACATGGTCTTTCCGGCTTTTAAAATATCCAAACATCGCTTTTTAAACTTTGATGATAGAAAACAGAAAGAACTTTTTTTTTCATCATTTCAAAGGAAAGCGCTACAAGTTTTTCTAAATTAGGGCTAAAAGACAGAATGGCTATTTTTAAATGTCTGGTTAAAAATTAGAAAGTCTCAAAGGTAAGCCACAAGTATGCGAACAAACCAAGAACACTGCTATTTCTGTTCAAGTACCAAAGACTGCAGTAAATGAATGAATGTATTCATCTTCACTTTATGATCAAAACGGTCAACGGGAGGTAAGAAATCGAAAACCTACTAAAACAGAAATGTTTATTTCCTATACAACATGACACCTACTGAAAATTCTGTAGAAATTCATCTGATCTTAATAGTAGAAGCATTTTCTTCGGCCAGTTCTAATTTTGAAAAAAAGAAAGAAAAGCTATAATAAAGTCCATTAAGAAATCTTAATCTCCATTAAGACAATGAATAATGTGAGAATATGGACTTAATAGTGTTTGTCTAGGAAAAAGGTAAATAGCTAGCTCTGAATTCTTTTTTAAAAATCTAATTCTTTTTTGTTGTTGTTGTTAAAAAAGGAAAATGTCCACTTAGTATAAATACTAACAAAGGCTCTGTATTTTTTTTAAACTCCTCCAAATCCCTGGAATAATGCCTGCCAACTAAAACACCTACTATGAATTTAGTAATGGGTTATGCAAACATAAATTATAAGGCCAGACATTTTAAAAGGAAAAAAAAAAGGTGATTTATCGAGGCACTGGAGACACGGTAGGAGAGAAGCAATATTTCAATTTTCCACATATTCCTCAACACTACATGTGTTCATGCAAAAAGAATTTTAAAATAAAAATGACTCTCGGCTCTTCTGGTTCTAATCAGTTCATTTACTTGAAAAGGGTTATCAACGAATTCATTTCCCACACTTATAATTGAGAAAATTAATATAAAGCCAAACATTTTATCAAGTTTCAAGTATGAATGAAAAGCGTGTCTCACGATCTGGTTTCAGTAAAAAGAAAAATACAAATATCACCTCTCCTTAGAGTGGCAAAAAGAGTTAAACCACATGTTCTGTTCTTAAATTATTAGCCCTAGAACCTACCCTGATCCTGTTTTTTACTTTAATTTCTTTATTTCTATTCACACATCACTTTTCCTTGTCTCAATTCACTGTTAAGTGAAACAGTATTTTTTCTTGATGGCGGCAAAGCAATCATTTAAATACGTATGAAATACCTTTCGTGGGTTGTTGATTTATAAACAAAATAAATGAAAATATACTTGTCTGCAGCTTTTAATTCAAGGAAACAGAAGCTATCACCTTTCCCCGAGCACACATCAACCAGGCCGAAATCTTCATTTTTCTTCACTTTGCCAGTGGCTGATGGTTTCACAAATGGTCATCTTCAAAAGCACATGTAACTGAACGAGCTGATCTCAAGAAAAGGCTTGAAAATGCTGCGCTCGTAAGCGATGCACGTTTTAAAATGCAAAAGTGCAAAAGAACATCTCTGCGCGTATTCCTGGTGCTGTGAATTCCTCCCTGGAGAAGGCTAATTTGAACACACACGCTTGCATGCGATATGGGTTCCTGGCACTTTGATTATGTGAACACACCTGACCCCAGGGAAATAGGCTGACGCCGGCCCCATATTTCAGACAAACCAAACAGCCAATAGACAGTAATGGCTTTAAGCTACTGATGGCCCGGGCCAAAAATGAAGCCGCACTTAATCTTCTGAAGGAAACTGTCAATGTTAGGAGGCCCAGGGCCGACATTTCCCTCGATCTTAATCACAGCCACCTATGATAACAGAGTGAGGTTTATTTTTATGCCTGGCTCCAGACACAATGATCAATCCTTCAATTTTGACGATTTTGTATCCCACACAATGAACCAGAGTAAGTGAAGTCCATGTAGGTAGTTTCCGTGGATCCCTCAAGTAAAATATAGAGAATGAAATTCACCTATGAATGAAATCTAAAACAATCAATCAAAACTTGAAAATGCCTTCTAAAGCCTCTCCAAATCTACAAATTTAATGAGATTCCAATAAAAGCCAATTTAAAATTTCCATCTAAAAAATAAGAATTCCTGAGGGGTACGGTAGCTCACACCTATAATCCCAGCACTTTGGGAGGGACTGAGCCCAGGAGTTTGAGACCAGCGTGCGTAACATAGTGAGAACCCCTCCCTACAACAAATACAAAAATCAGTCAGACACCATGGTGCATGCCTGTAGCCCCAGCTACTTGGGAGGCTGAAGTGAGGATCGCTTGAGCCCGGAAGGCAGAGGTTGCAGTGAGCTGAGATTGTGCCATTGCACTCCAGCCTGGGCGACAGAGTGAGACTCTGTCTCAAAAAAAACCTTCAGGCAGCTTTGCCACCTGTGGGCCTAGGCAAGTTACTCCTCCTCTCTGGGCCTCAGTTTCCCTCTCTTTGAAACAGAAATAAACACTGTACCTGTTTCGTAGGGATCCTGTGAGTGTTAAGTTAGTTAAATGCCTTTCCAGTGTTTAGAATAGTACTGGATATGCAGTAAGTGCTCACTAAATATCAGCTGCCATTATAAGCTACGACGGCTGTGTCCCTGAAGTTACTGAGCCCTCACAACAGTCTTCCTGGTTTACCCCATTCCACACACAATGGGACTGCCAGGAATATTTGCTGCACACATGAATGAATTCTGGGTAGGAAAACTCCAAGAGGCAGAGGAGGTGATGCCTTTTAAGAAGAAAGGGATGTGCCTAAGTCTTGGGCCCACAGGTAAGATCAATAGGAATAAGGACACCTATGGAAAAGGGACGAGTCTCTTGTTGCAAAATGTGTGGCTCTCAGCCACACAGAACCTCGGAGTCTCGCTCTGAAATCCAGGCTGGAGTGCAGTGGCGTGATCTCGGCTCACTGCAATCTCCGCCTCCCAGGTTCAAGTGATTCTCCGTCTCAGCCTCCTGAATAGCTGAGATTACAGGTGCACTCCACCACACCCGGCTAATTTTTGTATTTTTAGTAGAGACGGGGTTTCGCCATGTTGGCCAGGCTGGTCTCGAACTCCCAGCCTCAAGTGACCCGTCCGCCTCAGCCTCCCAAAGTGCTGGGATTACAGGCATGAGCCACCATGCTCAGCACCAACACCTCCTTTCTTAGACTGAACAACAGAGAGGTCATGGCTTGCTCAGATCTTGCATTCATTAAGTGGCCAAGTCAGAATCACAATCTAAGCTTCCAGATCCAATTATATACTCCTTTAAGGACACCAACTATATAACACAACATCTTCTTAAAATAAAGGGCCACAAACAAAATTACAAGACTCTGCATAACAGGCCAGTCATGCTCCTCGTAAACTCACTTTTATGCCACTCACATTTGCAAGTTAAAATGAAAAGCCAATGTTAGTCAATAACATGCTCAGTGACTAGTCCCACCCACACCACACGCGCTCCATCCCCCTAGCCAAAGAAAGAAGAAAACGAAGACAGCAAGTATCAGAGTTAGCATGGCTTGGTATCCAATTGTCATTTTCTTGACTGACATAATCTCAAAGTGGAAGGGGAGATTTTCCCACGCTTTGGCTTATAATCAATTCCGTAAGTTAAGAAGGCTTTCACAGGCCAATGGCAAATTTTAGGCTATAACGATATGTTCCTTCCTAAGTACCCTCCTAGAAAACATTCCCCCTGACATATAGAATCCTTTAAATGAGTATGCCACTTCAAAGAAATACTCAAAAGCAATTTTAAAAAAAATCTAATAGAAGAGGAATTGCTAATGGTTAAGTGACTAAAAATTTGGCTTCTGGGCCAGGCGTGGTGACGCATGCCTGTAATCCCAGCACTTTGGGAGGCCAAGGCAGGTGAGTCACCTGAGGTGAAGAGATCAAGACCAGCCTAGCCAACATGGTGAAACCCCATCTGTACTAAAAACACAAAAATTAGCCGGGCATGGTGGTTGGTGCCTGTAATCCCAGCTACTTGGGAGGCTGAGGTAGGAGAATCGCTTGAACCCGGGAGGTAGAAGTTGCAGTGAGCCGAGATCAGGCCACTGTACTCCAGCCTGGGTGACAAGAACAAAAATCTGTCTCAAAAAAAGAAAAAAAATTGGCTTCTGGAACCCTAAGGAGGCAGGGTGTTCAGGGGATTATATGGCCTCATTCCCAGGAGTCTGTCTGCCCGGGAAAATCCTGGTAGGTGGGTGGGTGGCTTACGCTTCATTAAGTGGCACCGATGATACTTAGCTCCCAGGGTGACTTCCAGGGGCAGAGAAATGATGGTCATGCACTTAGCATAATGCCTGACTCCTAGCAAGTACTCAATAAATATTAATAACAGCTCACCACGATTTCAACCAAATCATATGGCTTTCACATTTAGCCGTTACACCTTTAAAATCATGCTCAACAAAGTTGTTTGCTGAGAAGAGGCAGAGAGTGCTTTTCTGTGCTGAAGTTATTATTAAATCCTACACAGAATGACGTTCTCCATTCAGAATGCATTTCAGTTGAGGTTATTGACCAGAAAGACAAGTTATGGGCTACTCTCAAAGAATAGCTTCAAAAAAGAAAGTCCAGCAGCAAACATTTCCACTCTATGAACAGTGAAACTAATGCAAAAGGAGAGAAAATTACTCTCTAGACACATATGGAAGAAGGCAAGTTTTAATTTTACTGTATCTGTTCAAGTCCGCAGTAGAAACTAGGGTCTACCCTAGGCTTTAATAATTTTTTTAAGTGTTCGTTTATAGCTTTATTTTATTTTTATTTATTTTGAGACGGAGTCTCACTCTGTAGCCTAGGCTGGAGTGCAGTGGCACGATCTTGGCTTACTGCAACCCCCATCTCCTGGGTTCAAGCGATTCTCCTGCCTCAAACTCCTGAGCTCAAGTGATCCGCCAGCCTCAGCCTCCCAAAGTGCTGGGATTCTAGGTGTGAGCCACTGCCCTCCGTCACATTTATAACTTTAAAGTCCATTTGTGGCCGGGTGCAGTGGCTCACGCCTGTAATCTCAGCACTTTGGGAGGCCGAGGCGGGTGGATCACGAGGTCAGGAGATCGAGACCATCCCGGCTAAAACGGTGAAACCCCGTCTCTACTAAAAATACAAAAAATTAGCCGGGCGTAGTGGCGGGCGCCTGTAGTCCCAGCTACTTGGGAGGCTGAGGCAGGAGAATGGCATGAACCCGGGAGGCGGAGCTTGCAGTGAGCCGAGATCGCGCCCCTGCACTCCAGCCTGGGTGACAGAGCGAGACTCCGTCTCAAAAAAAAAAAAAGTCCATTTGTGAGGCCGGGTGTGGTGGCTCACACCTAGAATCCCAGCACTTTGGGAGGCCGAGGCGGGCAGATCACAAGGTCAGGAATTTGAGACCAACCTGGCCAACATAGTGAAACCCCATCTAAAAATACAAAAATTAGCCAGGCGTGGTGGCAGGTGCCTGTAGTCCCAGCTACTTGGGAGGTTGAGGCAGGAGAATCACTTGAACCTGGGAGGCAGAGGTTGCAGTGAGCCAAGATCGCGCCACTGCACTCCAGCCTGGGTGACAGAGGGAGACTCCATCTCAAAAAAAAAAAAAGAAAAAAGAAAAAAAAAAGGCCATTTGTGAACACAATTTCTCAAAAGAGTAGATTTTGGTAACATGAACACAATAAGCCATTTATTGACCTTCTACTTGGTGCCTGGGTTGTTCTGAATCCCTATAAGAGTTCATCCAGCCCATAATGACTCCGAGGTCGTTATCATTCCTATTTTTTGAGATAAGAAAATAGAGGCTTAGACGTGATAGAACGCAGCATGTTTTTGACTAAAATTCCAGGGCACATGAATCTAATGACAGTGCTTCCCTTTTGACAGTTATTAAACTCTCAGATAATGCGTCTTTTATACTTAAAATAGCCCTGTAAAAACGGCTGGACACATGAAGGAAGCGACACATGGCTCTCAGGAAGGAAAGGGGATGCCGGCCTTGTTGACGTTTCAGCAAGGGGCGGGGGCAGACAGACAAAGCGGCCGTCCTGAGATGCTCCCGGAAGGAAAGCAGGGCCTGCGGGGTCTTCAGATGCCACCCGCCGCCCCTGGGCCAAGCCCCGCAACAGCTCTGACCACTTCCAGTGACAAGGAACAGAGCAACTGGGAGATTAGCTCCTCGTTAATTACCTAAGAATTGCCTAAGAATTAATTACCGAAGAATTACCTAAGAATTTCTGGGCCTTTGGCCCAGAAAACAAACAAACAAAATAAGGTCTCTTTGAAACTCCACAATTCATTGACTAATTTTGTGTGTGTGTTTTTGTTTTTTTTGAAGATAGGGTCTTGCTCTGCCGCCCAGGCTGGGGTGCAGTGACGCAATCATAGCTCACTGCAGTCTTGAACTCCTGGGCTCAAGGGATCCTCCTACCTCAGCCTCCTGAATTACAGGTATGCACCACCACGCCCGGCTAATTTCTTCATTTTTTTGTAGAGATGGGGTCTCGCTATGTTGCCCCAGCTGGTCTCAAACTCCTGGTCTCAAGCAGTCCTCCCACCTCAGCCTCCAAAGTGCTGGGATTACAGAAATGAGCTACCGCACTTGGCCAACTGAATTTTCTAATGCCCAGATTAAATAGCATCCCTGGTCTTAGAAAGCAGAGAGACTGAATCTGACGCTTCAAAGTAAGTGAGTGGTTACAGCCAAGATGATCAGGGCTTTACATGGAAGAAATGTGGGGGACTCCACTGCTAACAGCTTGCCAAAATTAATCAATGGTTATTTCAAAATTTGCACTAAAGCCTCCGTGTGTGTGTGTGTGTGTGTGTGTGTGTGTTGTGTTGACAGGTGATACAAAAAGTCATTTTGCATTCTTAAGATCAAAACACGTTCTCTGACTCCCCAAAGTACCTTCGCCCATCCTTGATCACTCACTGCCATCTTGTTCTGTCTGAGCTCTTACCGCCACCTGAAATTATCTTGTGCATCATTTGTTTACTTGGCCACTGCCAGATCTCTGTGAGATCTGGAATCTTCTCCCTCCATCCCTGCTGTATCTGACTGCCCCTGGCCCTAGAAAAGGGCTCAGGACTACTTGTAAAAGAAAGCAAGGAAGGAAAGAAGAGAGGAGGGTGTTTGTTGAGCACCTACTATATGCTCTGTGCATCTGAATTCATTTCACCTCCTGGGTGAAATGGGATAGCACCAATTCTTCCTGCTTATACATAAGGGGACCAAGTCTTAGAACAGTTTTTGACCTTGCTCAAGGTCACTGCACGTCACCACTTACTAGTTATGCGTTCTACTCCTGGCCTGAGACTGGACATTCAGCCTCCAGGACCCCTTGAAGTAGGCAGGGTATGTTTTTTGCAGACGAAGAAACTGGGGTTAAGTTTCTGTCACAGTGCCATGGAGGTCACAATACTATTAATGCTGTTGGAGCAAATGAAACCAGGGCTTGACTAGCATTCAATGTCCCTGGGCCCAGGCAACCTCCTCTTCCCTACAGGCCCCTGCTGGTGCCCTCCAGACCATGCGGCAAAGTCTTGCTGGGATGTAGGGGGATAATGCAGCCACCTTCCCTGACTGGGGCCCGAATTAGGTTCAAATTGCCTTCATTACTGGTCCCACTCAAGGCACCTCTTCTCCCCTAGAGACCCAAAAGAAAGAAAATAATGTCTTGGGTTGATAAACTGGCTTAAAGGGTTTAATTGGTAACAGTTAAAAGTTCACTTTTAATTTTTAAACTTTTTCTAGTTAAAGGCTTATTATAACTTAACAGTAGGTGATTCTAGAATGATTAAACACACAAGTTGATTACTGGGGTTTTCTCATTTTGCCAAATCCTGGAGTAGACTTTTTAAAACCAAACTGCCCCCTGCAAAAATGAAAATTCACAAGATACTTTTCTGTGGGGAGTTTCTTTAGAGGATGAGAGAACAACTGAATAAGAAATCTCTTCGGGGGTTTCTGACACCCCCATGAAGAGAGGAATTCTTTTTTAATTTAGTTTAGGTTTTTTGTTTGTTTGTTTGTTTGTTTGTTTTGAGACGGGGGTTATAACTCTGTCACCCACATTGGAGTGCAGTGGTGCAATCATGGCTCACTGAAGCCTCAATCTCCTGCTAGACTCAAGCGACCCTCCTACCTCAGCCTTCTGAGTAGCTGGGACCATAGGTACGCACCACCACTCCCAGCTAATATTTCTATTTTTCTGTAGGGGTGAGGTCTCACTATATTGCCCAGGCTGGTCTCCAACTCCTGAGCAAAAGCAATCCATCTGCCTCAGCCTCCCAAAGTGCTGGGATTATAAGCGTGAGCTACTGCACCTGGCTGAATTTTTTTTTTAAATAACAGCTTTATTGATGTATAATTTATATACCATACAACTCACCCATTTAAAGTACACAGTTCAGTGGCATTTGGCATATTCAAAGTTGTGCAAGTATCACCACTGTCTTATTCTAGGACATTTTTATATTCCAAAAAGAAACCTCATACCAACTATCAGTCATTCCTCATTCCTCTATCCCCTCACCCCTGGGGGTTTCTATCTCTATAGAAATCTACTTTTGGCCAGGCACTGTGCCTCATGCCTGTAATCCCAACACTTTAGGAGGCCGAGGCAGGTGGATCATTTGAGGCCAGGAGTTTGAGACCAACCTGGCCAACATGGTGAAACCCCATCTCTATGAAAAATACAAAAAAATTATCTGGGCACAGTGGCACATGCCTGTAGTCCCAGCTATTTGGGAGGCTGAGGCAGGAGAATTGCTGGAGCCTGGGAGGCAGAGGTTTCAGTGAGCCGAGATCGAGCCACTGTACTCCAACCCGGGTGACGGAGTGGAATTCTAGCTCAAAAAAAGGCCCCATTGTGTCACATCAGGGCTGTGGGCCTTCAATGAAGCCAACTCAATGGGCTCAACGTGATGAAAGGAAAATGAGGCTGGGCTTTTCACTTTTCTGTGTGCAGTGGTTTTAGGGTCTAATGAGGAGTAAAACAAGATTTGTTGATAACAGAGAAGAGTTGAGAGTCCAGTGGGTAACACTGACATATCAAGGAGTAGCCGATGATGCCTGGATGCTGTTTCATGTTTAGAAAGCATCAAAGGCCAGGTGTGGTGGCTCACGCCGGTAATCCCAACATTTTGGGAGGCTGAGGTGGGAGGATCGCTTGAGCCCAGGAGTTCGAGATCAGCCCGGGCAACAAAGTGAGACCCCCATCTCTACAAAAAATAAAAAATAAAAAAAAATAACCAGGTGTGGTGGTGCACGCCTGTAGTCCCAGCTACTCGGGAGGCTGAGGTGGGAGGATCATTTGAGGCTGGGAGGTTGAGGCTGCAGTGAGCTGAGATCATGCCACTGCTCTCCAGCCTGGGCCACAGAGCAAGACCCTGTCTCCAAAAAGAAAAAAAAAAAAAAGGAAAAAAGTAATTGGGATGATATGTGACTTTGCTAAATCCTCACGTCAATGCCAAGATGGGGTTACAACGATCACCCTCACTTCACCACCTGACTCGCCCAGGGTCCTGGGGGGTGTGCAGGGCCATGGAGCCCTGGTGACTATCTCAGGGCAGCCTGTGCACCACGTGTCCACTGGAGTCGCAACTTTATTTTTAAGTGACTCTCTTTTTCCAGGCTGAGTCACTCTGGTGGTGTCTATATAAAGGCTGTCGAGGCAGTGACTAAATGCGTTTGGGCCCAGGCCACAACTATATATTACTACCCTCCACTCCCTCACCCATCCTGCTAGCTCCTTTTCTCACCGAGAGTGAAAAACGAATCATAAAAGTTCACAGCATCTTCCCATCCTCTGTCCTCCTCCCCATGGCAGAGATAGCATCAGGTGCGTGGCTTCCTGGCTTACCCCGCACACAGTGCATCCTGATCAATAAAAAGGAGGGACCTCCTCCCCTCACCGTGCCTGCCAGGGTCGGGAAGGAATCCACAAATCTAGCCAATTTCAACGATGGTAAAAGATTCCTTTCCAAGTCCTATCTCAAGACAACTCCCAAGCCTGAATTTTTACAACTGCTACCCGGGAACACAGAAATCAGAGAAATGCGCCAGGCCGGCGTAGAAGGGGCAGAGGAAGATGTTGGC
This sequence comes from Homo sapiens, assembly GCF_000001405.40. NCBI lineage: Eukaryota > Metazoa > Chordata > Mammalia > Primates > Hominidae > Homo > Homo sapiens. Next base: position 101,923,881 of record NC_000007.14, on the reverse strand, counting down.
ACCCAGGAAAGGAAAAGAAAGTGGATGGGCAGTTCTGTGAGCAGCACAGGGTGCTCCCTGTTGCAAGGTGGGCATGCTGAGCCAGGCGTCTCCGACAGTCAGGGCTGCCGCCGCAGCCAACAAGAGCCAGGATGGAGACCTGGGTGTGACATCATGTGCATCTGAGCAGGACAGGTGTAGAAAGCACAGACACAGACTGTGAGCACCGCAGACCAGGCATCGTTGGGATTAACGTTCCAGAGATCAAGAAATGTAGAGGCAAAAATACATCAGGGCAAAAATGACCAGTGACGGCCCCTGAGCCGCAGCTCGGCTCTCCTCCCAGAGCAACGGGGTCTGTTTTAGAGGAGACAAAAATTAACTGAGCAAAGTCCTGCAGACAGACACCCAAGAAGCGTTCTGGAGTAGGACTGGGCCGACTGACGTCACCAGGATGAGGGCTGGGGATGGTTTCATGATAAAATCACAGCATCTCAGGAATGTGGTTCTCCTCCTCTCTTTTCTCCCATCAGAGAAGGTTCCTCCCATATTGAAAAGAAGCAGAACAAAACCCAAAACCATCCCTGAGCTCTTTCTGGAAGCAAGCCTAACACAGACGACCATTTATTGGAGAGTTGAGCATCACATTCAAATAGCAGAGCCCTGAAGCCAGGCCGATGTCGCAGGAGCACTGGGGGTTTCTCCAGGGAGGACCCCACGCTGGGTTACCTGGTCTCCAAACTGTCCAGCCACTCTCCATCCACTAACTCCCTACAGCCAGGCCAGTGAGCCGGGGCTGCAGGTCAGACATGCTGCAGACCTCCCGTAACCTCGCCTCCAGAAGAACTCTGGAATCACACACGCGGGAAATCGGAGTTTGACCGCGATCAAAGCCATGGAAAAGCAAACGGCAAACGGAAAAGCTAAGAGACACTTTCTGGGGTTTGCGAGAGCTAGGCTTTCAGCCTCCACTGCTCACATACATGATTCTAACACCACCAGGCTTCCAGATAGCTGCTGCTGCTCCCTCCTGACATGCTGTGGCCAGCCCAGTGCAGAGGTGCTGCCCCTGCTGCCAGCCCGTGGAGCCCCTTGTCACATCAGGTGGCCTTGCTCCTTCACCCATCTCCCACTCCCCAGCACCCAGCCCAAGGCCAGGCACACCCTGTCCCTGCCCAGCGGTCAGGCCTTGGTACTCATCTGTCACCCACCCCAAAGCTCTAGAATCCCCCCTCCTCCCTCCTTCATCCCCTTCCACCCCAGGACACAAGGAGGAGAAGGAGAGTAGAGGTGACCCACTGGTTCTCCTGGAATGGTGAGCTGAAACTGGGACTATGGGCCCAGAGAACTGGTGTTCTAAACTAAGGCTGCATGGATGAGTGTCTGGGAGCCCCCCAGAAACTGCAAACGTGCATTTCCCAGGTGCGTAGGTCCTCAACTTTCATGGATATTTTAAAGGTTAAGAACCAAGGCTCAAAAAGCAGAACTGTTTATCTATAAAAAGGGTTACTGAGCCATATGTGGCTTATCCAGAGAACTTTATCACCACTGACATAAGAGTGTTTCTGTGGGGAAAGTCTACAGTCAGAAGATTCCAGTCATTCTATCCTAGCACTTAACACGCTCTGCCATTGGGTTCTATTTGCTTACTAAGAAAGATAAGAAACTTTTTAAAGAATGGAGATAGGGTTTTATTCCCAGGGCCAAACTGTCTGGCACATGGAAGGTGTTCAATAAATATTTGTAAGATGATTAATTGTTATTACAAACCAATTTTTTTTTTTTGAGACAGGATCTCACTTTGTTGCCCAGGCTGGAGTGCAGTGGTATGATCATGGCTCACTGCAGCCTCAACCTCCTGGGCTCAAGCCATCCTCCCACCTCGGCCTCCCAAGTAGCTGGGACTACAAGTGTACACCACCATCCTGGCTAATCTTTTGATTTTTTTGTAGAGATGGAATCTCACTATGTTGCCCAGGATGGTCTCAAACTCCTGGTCTGAAGCGATCCTCCCACCTCAGCCTCCCAAAGCACTGGGATTACAGGCGTAAGCCACTGTGTCTGGCCACAAACCAACTTTTGAAACACTTTAAGCTGAAACTACCTATATTTGTTGTTATTTTTTTTTTAAAGTTGCCCGAGCTAAGGCCGGGTGTGGTGACTCATGCCACTTGGCACTTCGGGAGGCCGAGGCGGGTGGATCACCTGAAGTCAGGAGTTCAAGACCAGCCTGGCCAACATGGTGGAACTCCGTCTCTACTAAAAATACAAAAAATTAGCCGGGCATGGTGACGGGTACGTGTAATTCCAGCTACTCAGAAGGCTAAGGCAAGACAATCACTTGAACCTGGGAGGTGGAGGTTGCAGTGAGCAGAGATGGCGCCACTGCAGTCCAGCCTGGGTATCAAGAGTGAAACTCCGCCTCATAAATAAGTAAATAAATAAATAAATAAATAAATAAAATAAAATAAAACATAGAAATTCCCCAAGCTAGCTCTGAGGAACAGAAATCCACTGTATCTCATGAGTTACACGGTGAGTATTCCCAGGTTAATGCTAATAACGAACATAAGCTAAACTCTAGGGACAGGCCTGTGCGCAGCCCTTCTCGTACAGGCACATGGGTACGTACACACACATATGTGCACACAGCAACCCTGCGAGCGGGGCCCTGTTGTTACATTATTTATAGATGACAGAACTGGGGCTTTGGGAGGTATCTGCCCCAAGACGCACAGCTACTAAGTATGTCGCCTTAAGTAAGAAATACAAAAATCAGAGCTGGGCGCAGTGGCTCACACCTGTAATCCCGACACTTTGGGAAGCCAAGGTGGGTGATTTAGCTTGAGCCCAGGAGTCTGACACCAGCCTGGGCAACAAAGTGAGACCCGGTCTCTTCAAAACATAAAATTAGCAGGGTGTGGTGGCACGCACCTATAGTCCCAGCTACTCTGGAGGCTATAAGGAGAGGATCGCCTGAGCTCAGGACATCGAGGCCACAGTAAGCTATGATTGTGCCACTATATTCCAAAAAAAACAAAAATATAGAAAGCAATATACCCTAGAAACACTCCACCGCCTATTATGTTCCACGATTGATTCTTAATTCAATAGGGAATGGATGTTCAGTTAGAACATTTAAAAATGTTTTTCTTTCAAAGGGACTCTTTTTGTAGATTCAAAGAAAACGTATACAATTTTATCTGCAGAGTAACTGCAATCTTCTGCAAATTAACTACAATTTCTGGATTAAAAAGACACAATATCATATGATGGCAAATATATTAATCTAATGATATAAAACTGAAACTTTAAAAAACTAATTCTAAACAGAAAACCTTCAACTGGGCGCAGTGGCTCGTGCCTGTAATCCTAGCACTTTGGGAGGCCAAAGTGGGAGGACCCTGCTTGAGCGCAGGAGTTTGAGACTAGCCTGGGCAACAGCAAAAGGCTCTGTTTCTACAGAAAATTTAAAAACTACGGCCAGGCGCGGTGGCTTACACCTGTAATCCCAGCATTTTGGGAGGCTGAGGCGGGTGGATCACAAGGTCAGGAGTTCAAGACCAGCCTGGGCAACATGGTGAAACCTCACCTCTACTAAAAATACAAAAAAATTAGCTGGGTGTGGTGGCGCATGCCTGTAATCCCAGCTACTCGGGAGGCTGAGGCAGAAGAACTGCTTGAACACAGAAGGTGGAAGTTGCAGTGAGCCAAGATCGTGCTACTGCACTCCAGCCTGGGCAACAGAGCAAGACACTTGAAGAAAAAAAAAAAAACACATAAAAATAAAATAAAATAAAATATACTAGCCAGGCACTGTGGTGCCACGTTCCTGTAATCCCAGCTACTCGGGACACTGAGACGGAGGGATCACTTGAGCCCAGGAGTTGGAGGCTGTAGTGAGCTGTGATCGTGCCGCTGCGCTCCAGCCTGGGTGACAGAGCAGGATCCTGTCCCCAGAAAAACCCTTCAAGGCTCCAGCCATCCTGGCGCTCACCTCCTGATGTTCCTGTGGCTTCTCCCGCCTGTCAGAGTCCCAGCCACCACACAGCACCCCTCCCTGGCCACCTCCCCGTCACAGCCCACCTTTTCCCTCCTGGACTAGAGCTTTTCCCAGTGACATCTGGGAAGGGCCAGTCTAGAAGGTGAAATCTCCGATGGCAGACAAACTTTACTCCCCACTGAACCCTCGCGGGTGCCTAATCCTCCCTGTGGAACACATTAGACATTCATCAGACACCAGGAAACCTTTCCTTCTTTCCCAGAACAAAGAGAGACGTGGGCGTTTCCATCAAGATCAACACCCTTGGTGTCACACCAGCAGGAACACCACCAGCCCTGGCTCTGCCACGCTGTGCCCTGGAAGGTATGTTGCCATGGGGATCGTGGGCTGCATCCATAGGGAAGAGGATACCCTCCTCCCGGTAAGCCAGGCTGTCCTACCCAACGGGCGAAAGCTCTAAGCAAGCCTCGTTTCTACACATGCAACAACCCGACGTCACCTCCACGGTTAGTAATCAATCCTGCGGTGTGGCCAGAGGAGCAACCAGTGTCAGGGCAGTGGTGGCTCCTCAAGACTGAGACCCCAAACAAACGGTGACCCAGTGTCCCCTTGGGACACAGGCCAGGCACTGAGCTGAGGCTCCACACATGTGCTATCTACACACACACGTACTGTCACAGCTCCCCCCCCACACACACACACCTGCTGTCACAGGGAACAGCAGGGAACTCCGCCTCCTGCACACCCAGCACACTCCGGCCACAGCCCCCGACTCCCACCACTGTTCTGGTCTTATGTGGTTTCAACATTTCCAGCAGGAGGGCTGGGCGCGGTGGCTCATGCCTGTAATCCCAGCACTTTGGGAGGCCGAGGTGGGCGGATCACCTGAGGTCAGGAGTTCGAGACCAGCCTGGCCAACATAGTGAAATCTACTAAAAATACAAAAATTAGCTGGGTGTGGTGGTGGCATGTGCCTGTAATCCCAGCTACTTGGGAGGCTGAAGCAGGAGAATCACTTGAACCCAGGAGGCGGAGGTTGCAGTGAGCCGAGATTGTGACACTGCACTCCAACCTGAGCGATTGGGTGGTCCTCCAACCTGAGGGCAAGACTCTGTCTCAAAAAATAAAAAAAAAGTTACCAGCAGGAAGCTCTGGCTGCTGGCACAAGTGAAGTGGGTCTCGTCTTGGACTTTCCGCGTGGGCGCCCCACAGATTTCCAGGTTGGTCCTTGGATGAGAAAGTGCATAGGGCTGGCGGGGCAGGAGCCTGCAGCCAGCTCCCCTCTCCCCACCTCCCCAGGACCGCATGCTGCAGTGAGACCCTCGTTACTACAGCCAAAGATGAGGAAGTGGGCACCACCCTCCACCCACTGGCAGTGGCGGGGTCAGGGCCAAGCAGGTGGTGACCTTCCATCATCTGCCTCCCCTTCCTGGTGGGTTCTAGCCCCTTTCTCCATGAAGACAGAGTCTAAAAATGTGTCCTGAGAAGAAATGCCCCAAGTGGCAGGTACCTACCAGGCTGCCGCCTCCCCAAGCCTCTTCCATTTATTGGGATCAGAAGGAGATAAAAACGCCAAGTTTAAGGCCAGGTGTCTTTGAGTAACTAATGTGGAATTCGACACAAGGCACGATGGAGGGATAGGGCTCAGTGCAGTACAAGCGGCATTTATCAGCAGAGCATAAGGAACGGACAGGGTGACCGAAGGGGGACACGCTCCTCCTCCACTGTCACTAGGAGTTGGGGACTTCTGAGGAACACCCAGGAAGCCAGGCCTCTTAGGAACCTCATTCTCTGGCTGAATACACTCGTGTATTTATTGTCCGTGGCCTCTGAAGGATGGCCTTGCCCCTCTAAGATTTTCTGGGTTTTTTTGTTTCTTTGTTTGTTTTTAACCACAAAACGTTTTCTTTTTTCTTTTTACCTTTTATAACAGAGATGAGTCTTGTTATGTTGCCCAGGCTGGTCTTGAACTCCTGACCTCAAGTGATTGCTTGCCTCAGCCTTCCAAAGTGTTGAAATTATAGGCGTGAGCCACTGCGCCCAGCCAAACCTCTAAGATTTTCTATGGAAACCCTCAGACATATGGTCACCGAGGAAAGGGCAGTGACAATACAGAACGGTGGGTGACCACTAGCTACAGGAACGGCACTAAGAGGAGCTAGCACGATGGATGTGGCGGGGCTTGGGCTGGGGAAACTGAGTCAAGGACAAGCGCTCAGGAAACCGGAGTTCCAGGAAAGTCTGCTCTGAAGCCGCTGGAGGCAACAGAAGAAGGACGTTCTGTCCCCAGCTCTTTTTTTCCTCCTGTTTTTACTCATGGCAAGGCTGACATGGAGAATAGGGCCCCCCACTCCCCAACACTGGCAGAGAAGGCAGAAACCCCCAAGCACCAGTGACTCCCACCTGCATTTTTGGTCTCGTGAAACATGGAGTACCCACATTTAGGGGCAGCCGAGGCAAGCAGCGGGTGTGAGATTTGAACCCTTAGCTGGCTCTGTGGCCAAAGGCTGCCTTCTTTCTACTCTGCTACCAAGCTTTCTCCTAAAATATTTATTCTGAAGACAGAAGGTTATTAATTTGTTTTCCATAATGATTCATGCCAGCAGTCCCTTGACTAGCAAGCCTCTTTTGAAACATTTTAAATGAGTCCGCTTTTAAAAATGCAATTCACATATAATTTCCCAGCAATATTATGTAAGTAAGAGAGGGGCATCTCTCCTAGAAAGGAGCTTTGCCTCCAGGCATGTTCCTATGTCTTATATGGAGGAGCCAAGAGCTACGATACGGAGAAGATTCCCCAAGCCCGGAAGCCGGGCCGAAGCTGTGGGCTGCTGCGACCCCTTCCCATACAAGGGGAAGATGTAAGAGAGGCTGGGGTCCGAGCCCGCGGGATGAGCGCCATGGGGACCAAACTGGCAGATGTCACCCGGAAAGCCATTCCCGCGACTGCTCATCTGCCTGCAACACGCTTGGATGTTTTTTTTTTTTTCTTAGTAAGCCCCTGATAGGGTTGAAGGGAAGGAAGAAGGGGCCAGGAAACGAGCAGAAAAACGCCACCCCAGCAACTCAACACTGTCCCCCGATTGCACACTCACGAGAGAAAAAACAGGAGTATATAAAAAGCACATTTCCATTGCCCTTTACGGCATATTTCAAGAAACAGAGAGGCATTTAAAAGGCCTAGCAGGCGAAATGTCTGTTTTACAAGAAGCGTTAGGCGCACTGCTATGCCCAGATGCGTGCAGCCTTCAGACACTCCGCCTGCACCAGCAACAGGGAAGCAGGCCCCGCGGACCTTCCACCCCACAGGATCCCTTATGGACTTTGGTGGCTTGCTAACTGACATGGGACAGGGTCTGGGATGAGCTCGAGGGTCTGAGACACCCACACACCTGCCCACGTGTTCTTACAGACCAAGCTTGTCCAGTATCTGCACCTGGAATTGGCTCTGACTTTCATATTTCCAGACAACCTATCAATTTCCACATCCCCACAGCCTGCAGGATGGCATGCGTTCTGCTGGAAATGGGGCTGAAGACATCTGGGGAAAGAAACGGGTTGTTTGCCGGCCGTGCGTTCATCTGATGAAAATGAAACGCTCACGGAGCGTCGCCTGAACATGCACCAGCATTCTAAGATCCCTTCAAAGCGAACACGATGGTCACGCGCCTCACCTCTGGAGTGTTCTTCTTGAACTCCCGGCTCTGTTCGATAAGCCGCTTTCTGGACTGCTCACTTTCATCCTGCCGGTTCGCCAATACCGTTGCGGTGGCATCGAGTTCTCTCTGTTGGGGAAACAGGAAAGGAAAAGTGAGATTGTAATTGCACTGTGTACTAGAGGAGGGTCCTATTTGCATTTGACCAGAACACTGGGGGAGAGACCCCAGTGGCTCTAAGGAACATCAACTCATTGGCAGAGGAGGGGCTGGAGGGTGGCGGGAAGGCAGAGAAATGAACATTATCCCCCCATCCCACGTCCGTCCCATGTGAAGTGGTTGAGAAAACCAAGCTCGTTCAACATCATGGGTCGTGCCTCAATGTGCACGCCATAAATGACTCTGTTCCCATAACAGAATACACAGAAACATCTTTCTTGCTCCAGCCACAACTATCAGGCTAATGCCCAAAGCACCCGCCTCCCCAAGTTGCTCCACGCCTCTTCTTCCCAAGGGTTCCTTCCAGCCAGCCACTCTCCTGAGCTCTAGTCCTTCTGCTGATCTATCCCCTCCTCGGGGCATTCCGTGTGGCCGTCCTTCAATGCTGTGGGCCTGGGATCTCTGAGAGTAATACTTGGTTTGTATTCATTCAACAAATGTTTATGGTGAGCTCACTCTAGGCCAAGCATCATGTTCGAGACCATTAACCTATGATTAGTTTTCAAGAGGGACCTTTAAAAGGTAAATTCCAAGAATAATTATTTCCAACCACTTTTCAGAAATGAGGCACCATTGGCAGTTATTCTCAAATCACATTACTTGCGCGGGAACGCTGAGGACCACCAGGAGTGGGTTCCCCATGAGGGACCCGCTAGGGGGCTGAGGACTCTGGGCTCTGCTCCCCGCAACAAACCGATAATCAACGCGCCAGAGAACCTGTGCCCTGGCCTCAGAAATTCTGGGAAGAGCTGCCAAGAGGATCTGTTTCCAACAAGCCTGCAGCAGATGGCCCCAGAATGGTGTTCCAGGCTGACAGCAGGCGCCCAAGGACACACTGCTGTCGCCACCAAAAGGCCTGTTTTCCTGCCGAGTCGCTTTGGCAACTAAAGACACACAGCGGCCCGTTCTGCTGGGATCCAAGGTGGCTGCTCTAGCTGGCTTCTCACGGTTGGGACCATCACCCTGAGTCCAAGCAGAGCTGAACGGCGAGAAAAATCAAAGCTGAAGATTTATCCCCACGCCTCCAAGAAGCACACTAGAGCCTCTCCTTCTCCACCCCCCACCACCCAGCTCACCAAGTCCCACAGGCTTTCCTCCTTGGCGGAAGTTAACCAGCAAACCTACACGTTACAAGTTCTTGCTGGGAAATGCTTCCTTGGTACTACTACGGGGTGGGCCATGCCGGATGGGATGAAATCATGCTGTCAACTTACAAATCATGGACAGGCCGGGCGAGGTGGCTCACGCCTGTAATCCCAGCACTTTGGGAGGCCGAGGTGGGTGGATCACCCGAGGTCAGGAGTTTGAGACCAGCCTGGCCAACATGGAGAAACCCTGTCTGTACTAAAAATACAAAAATTAGCCAGGCATGGTGGTGGGCTCCTGTAATCCCAGCTACTCAGGAGGCTGAGGCAAGAGAATCGCTTGAACCGGGGAGGCAGAGGTTGCAGTGAGCCGAGATCACGCCACTGCACTCCAGCCTGGGCATGAGTGAGGTGTCCCAAGGGAAAAAAGAAAGAAAGAAGAAAGGAAGGAAGGAAGGAAGAAGGGAAGGAAGGAAGGAAGGAGGGAAGGACGGAGGGAGGGAAGGACGGAGGGAGGGAGGGAAAGAGGGAGGGAGGGAGGGAAAGAGGGAGGGAGGGAGGGAGGGAGGGAAGGAAGGAAGGAAGGAAGAAGGAAGGAATCGTAGACACTTTAAAAAGCAGGGGAGGAAAGAAAAAAAAACAACAACGACAATAAAACAACAAACCAGGCAATGAGGGGAAGATACCACCACACCACACTCTTCTCCCCTTAGTATTTCTGGCATTCAGGCACATCTTGGGCAAACAAGTCCTAAGGAATAACGTGGGCTAGAATTCAAGAACAGATGTCAAAGCTATTGCAGAAAAAAGGGAAACACTGAACATTTTGATAGACCACATTTGAAACACATCCCAGTTAAGGGAAGGCAGGGAAAAAAAAAAAAGAGCAACCGAAACCAATGTGGTGGAACGGGGGATACAGATAAGAGAGGAGCAGTCACAGCGAAGCAGAAGGCTCTTCAAAAATATAAACAATCTGGAGGGAGGAGGGCTTTGACATCTATATTTAAGCAGCAGCAGCCGAAGTTATAAAAGGAGCCTTCGAAAGAAGGCGGGGAAGAAAGCCAATATTGAAATATGACAAAAAAGAAAAAAAAAGAGTTGATGTTTCGTTCCAATCGCACACAGACGCAGAAAACTTAGGAGAAAAACAAAAAGAACATGACTGCTTTTGGCCGGGGGTCCCTACTTCCCCCACTGCATGGAAGCCTAGCAGGGTGGGGGTGCTGGGGGCGGTTACCCAATCGGTGGGCATCTACCGATGTCTTTGAGTTGGCAGGCGCTGGAGGTATGAAGGTGGGGTCCCAGCCCCGACCCCCAACTTCTCATCTAGTGGGTCAAGTGTGGGAAACGCTGGGGAAGATGCCAGATGAGCCGGGGGTCTGTGGGCCCCCTCCGTCCCCCTCGGTCCCCACCTGCCCCTCCCTGGGCTGATCTGTCAGAGAGCCTGCCTGGTGGAGGAGGAAACTGAAACAGGTGGCCCGGTGCAAGGTGAACCCACCTTGATCCCGGGGCTGCAGAGCCAGTGCGCCTGCGGCAACTTGCTGCTGGCAGTCGGGGACTCAACGGGGGTCTGCGGCCCTCCCTTCCCCGTGCCCGCAGACATATGCAGGTCGGCATGGGAAACCCACGGGGGTCTCCAAATTTAACACCGAGCCGCCACCCGCCACCACAGAAACAGATTGGCACAGCGAGGAGGAGAGACTGAGCTGCCGCCGCCCCAGATTGGGTTGATCAGATTTAAGGCTTGAAATCTTTGACCAGGTCCCTTGGAGAAAATTTTTTTAAAAAACAACACACACACACATAAAAACCAGTACCACCAAATCCTTTCTGAAGGACGCTAAGGCGTTCTCGGGCTGTGGGAGGAGACAGCGATTAAACATAAGCCAAATACTGTTTTATTATCTACCAAGCCTGCCTATCCTCAAAGCGTCAACTACAATGACACATTAACAAGGGAATGAAATGCATCTTGGGGAGGTGGAGGTGGGGGTCCCAAATGCAGAGGCCTCGGCCCATGAGTCACGGGTCACGTGTGAGAAGGCGTATGGAGAGTCGTCACATCTGAAAGGCATTAAAAAGTCACAAAGAGCAAAAAACCTGGACCCAACCTCCTCCATGCCCAGCAATACCCTGTCGGTTTAGCCCCTCACAGATTTTCCTGTAATGTAAAAAAACACGGTGTATTGTAAGGGATATGATAATCATCAGATACATCCAAGCCAAAAAGCAAACCGCAACACAATGTTTAAAAGAATATCCATCCATATGCTCGCATAGGCTGTGATTATCTCCAGAGGGATACAGAAGAAACTTGTGACCGTGCCTGGCTCTCTCCAGAGGGGCCGGTGGGGAGAGGGACTTACTCCATAGTGTGTATCTTTGGACTGTCTTGCCATTTGGATGCATTATCTAGCTGGAAGAACTGCACTAACTATTAATTTTTACAATCCTGCTAAATGTGAACGAGTGCGTACACAAATGGTAATGCATAGTGTGGGACACGTGAGCCTCTGCGTTACGGTCTGTGTGTCCACCTGCAGGGGCAGAGGCCTGGAATCCAGAGCCTCGTGGGTCTGGTGATGCAAGAAGTGAGGCGAGTTATGTCCTTTGTCAAAACAACAGCTGTTTCTTGCACAATATGCTGCCCACTGGCCAGTCTCAGGGCGTATGGAGATAGAGGAGGAGGAGGGAGGGGGGAGGGGGAGGAAGAGGGGAGGGGGAAGAGGGGTTGGTGGTGGCGGTGGCCACTGCTGGTCACAGAAAACACCACCAAACCAAGCCAGAACTCTCCCGAGGAAGACAGAGGAGGGTATCCGCTCAGAACTATCTAGAACTCCTCTCCAGCTAGAAACACCTGCGGGCCCCTGGTCCCAGGTCCCAGGTCATGGGAAGCTGGCAGGCTAGCAGCAAACTGATGGGCTCAGAACCTGGCACTTCCAACGAGGCTGAGACAGAAACTTTACTGAGAAAATGTCTGGCAAGGAGAGGCACCAGAACGCAGAAAATGTGTTTTTATCTTTCTAAGAGATCACAGGATGACTGATGTCAGGAGGCAATGAGGACCCACATGGGTCAGGTTTCAGTCCCACCCAGCCGGCCCCTTGGCAGCCGTGTGGCCCGGTCCACCTTACACCCCCAGCACTCGCTGGACGGCAACTATTCCTCTCTCAAGTCAATGGGCCGAGCTGACCAAGAGCTTCCCAGGTGTAGACTCAGCAAGTGGGTGTCACCAACAGGAGCCCCACCCTTGCACAGAAGAGCTTCAGAGGTCAAGGCCAAGGCTCAGGTCATCCACTGGCGGGCCAAGGTCAACGCCAAGGCTCAGGTCATCCACTGGCGGGCCAAGGTCAACGCCAAGGCTCAGGTCATCCACTGGAGGGCCAAGGTCAAGGCCAAGGCTCAGGTCGTCCACAGCAGAACCAAGGCCAAGGCCACGGCTCAGGTCATCCACTGGAGGGCCAAGGCCAATTGCCAAGGCTCAGGTTGTCTACTGCAGGACCAAGGCCAAGACCAAGGCTCAGGTCATCCACGGCAGGGCCAAGGCCAAGGCCAAGGCCAAGGTTCAGGTCATCCACTGGAGGGCCAAGGCCAAGGCCAGGGCTCAGGTCGTCCACCGCAGGACCAAGGCCAAGACCAAGGCTCAGGTCATCCACGGCAGGACCAAGGCCAAGGCCAAGGCTCAGGCCATCCACTGGAGGGCCAAAGCCAAGGCTCAGATCATCCACCACAGGGCTGAGACCAAGGCCAAGGCCCAGGCCCAGGCCCAGGCAGTCCACTGCAGGGGCAGGCCAAGCCTATCACCAAGTCGGCCTGGCTGCTGCTGTCTCAGCTCAGAAACCAAGGCCTACGTGCACACAGGCATCCCTCATCCCGTGACGCTGGTGTACAGCTGGGGTGCTGTGGATAGCTGGAATCCTGTTTTCCTCACTGATTACAATTTCTGGGATGTTTTTTCTCCAATTCTGACAGCTCCTCAAAGGGCAAAGCTCCTAACATTTTAAGTTTCTCTCTGCCCCCAACTCCAGACTTTCTGCCAGGCATTTCAGATGTTATTAAAAACAAAATTAAAAAACTACCATGTAACCAGCTGTCTGCTTAACAGAAATAGTGGGAAAATTTTTTTCCCAAATAAGTATTTAAATAACACCAGAGATCCATTTGGATTTGCCCATCTTTTTTTTTTTTTTTTGAGACAGTCTTGCTCGGTCGCCCAGGCTGGGGTGCGCTGGTGTGATCTCGGCTCACTGGTTAACCTTCACCTCCAGGGTTCAAGACCCAGCCTCCTGAGAAGCTGGGATTACAGGCATGAGCCACTATGCCCAGCTAATTTTTATGTTTTTAGTAGAGAGGGGGTTTCGCCTTGTTGGCCAGACTAGTCTTGAACTCCTGGCCTCAAGCGATCTGCCCGCCTTGGCCTGCCAAAGTGCGGAATTACAGGCATAAGCCACCATGCCTGGCTTGGATTTGTTCACCTTTAAAGTGTATGTGGGCCGGGAACAGTGGATGATGCCTGTAATTCTAGCACTTTGGGAGGTCTAGGCAGGCAGATCGCTTGAGCCCAGGAGTTTGAGACCAGCCTGCCAACATGGCAAAACCCCATCTCTACAAAAAATACAAAAATTAGCTGGACACGGTGGTGGGTGCCTGTGGTTCCAGCTACTTGGGGGGCTAAGGCGGGAGGATCGTTTGAGCCCAGGAGGTCAAGGCTGCAGTGAGTCATAATCAAGCCACTGTGCTCCAGCCTGGGTGACAGAGGGAGACCCTGTCTCAAAAAGTATAATTGTCAGGAGTTCGAAACCAGCTTGGCCATCATGGTGAAACCCCATCTCTACTAAAAATACAAAAAATTAGCTGGGCATGGTGGTGTGCATCTGTAATCCCAGCTACTTGAGAGGCTGAGGCAGGAGAATCGCTTGAACTCGGGAGGCGGAGGTTGCAGTGAGCTGAGATGGTGCCACCGCACTTCAGCCTGGGCAGCAGAGCGAGACTCTGTCTCAAAAAAAAAAGTGTAATTGTCAGTTGTTTGTTTTAAAGTGGGGGTATGGGAGGCATCCCCACCATTTCCCACTGAGATTTCCAGCAAGTGCTCTCTGCAGATGCACAGGGCCAGGCTCCCACAGGGTGGGTCCTTCTAGGCCTGCAAAGGATGCCTCCTGCCCCCAGAACCTCTGGGCTGGTGGGAAAAACATACTTGGGCTGGCCACATCAGCAACACAAGTATTCTTGTTTTATTATCTCAAACTTTAATCCAAAGAGTGAGTTCATCTGATGTTTCTTGGGGGATTATCTGTCAAACTAATCAAACAGCACATCCTATATAGAAATCTTAAATGGTTTTGCTAGTGAAAAAAATAGATCACTTGTACAAAAAGGGAAAGGTCGGCCATGGTTCCTGCACAGGAAGGTCCTAAGACCATTTTATTTTTTGTTTCATTTCCAACAACAGAATCATTTCGATGAATGGAGGGTTCTCTGGCTAGAAAGGGGTGGTGGGCCTAAGCCCCACCCACCAGCCTCTTTCCATCACTTCTCCAAGTCCCCTACTGAAAACATCCCAAGACGCTTCAAACAGTGGTGTCTAAACTGGAGTCCTGGCCTCAAGCAATTTTCCCACCTCGGCCTCCCAAACCTGAACTGGACTCCTGGCCTCAAGAGATCCTCCCGCCTCGGCCTCCCAAACCTGAACTGGACTCCTGGCCTCAAGAGATCCTCCCGCCTCGGCCTCCCAAACCTGAACTGGACTCCTGGCCTCAAGAGATCCTCCCGCCTCGGCCTCCCAAACCTGAACTGGACTCCTGGCCTCAAGCGATCCTCCCGCCTCAGCCTACCAAACCTAAACTGGACTCCTGGGCTCAAGCGATCCTCTTGTCTCGGCCTCCCAAACCTGACTGGACTCCTGGCCTCAAGTGATCCTCCCACCTCAGCCTCCCTAAGTGCTGGGATTACAGCCTGGATTTGCTCATCTTTAAAGTGTATGTGGGCTGGGTGTGGTAGCTCACACCTGGACTCCAGGCCGCATCCCCATTGTAACCTGTGTGGCTGTGGTCAAATGACTTCCTTTCTCTGGACATAATCAAGATGATGCATTTCAAGTTTGTGGCACAGTAAACGCTACATCACAGTTCATTTTGTGTACTCTCACAGACACATGCTTGACCTCAGACCCGAATTCATTCTGCCACCAGCATCCCCCACCAGGCCAGGGGCTCCAGGGATGGTTCAAGTAAATCATAAGTCAACCCTGACTGCCAGGTGCAACAAGGCCGACAGGACCAGACCATGGGACAAAAACAGAGGTGGGGGGCTTAGAAAAGGGAGAAATTGAGGCCAGGCATGGTGGCTCACACCTGTAATCCCAGCACTTTGGAAGGCTGAGGTGGGTGGATCACCTGAGGTCAGGAGTTCAAAACCAGCCTGGCCAACACAGTGAAACTCTGTCTCTATTCAAAAACAAACAAACAAACAAACAAACAAACAAACAAAAAACAGGCTGGGCGCAGTGGTTCACGCCCGTAATCCCAGCACTTTGGGAGGCCGAGGCGAGCAAATCACCTGAGGTCAGGAGTTCCAGACCAGCCTGGCCAATATGGCGAAACCCTGTCTCTACTAAAAATACAAAAATCAGCCAGGCATGGTGGTGCATGCGGGAAAGTGCCATCCTGTGAGCCTGTGCTCAGTAATGGAAGTGTAAAAACACCTCCCCAGAATATGTCCATCAACAGCAATCAATCTAGTCACTGCAAATACACAGATACACATAGATGCATAGAATCTGCTTCTACCTACACAAGGTTCTGTAGAAGGTTCTACAAACATAAGATACTGGTAGTATCCATACCAGGGAGGGAAATTAAGGGGCTGGGCACTCACTTGGGGGTGGGAAAGTCTTTCATATCTACACTTGGGTACCTTTGGTATTTTAAGCACGTAAATGTAATGCCTACTCCTAAAAGTAAACGATGGTTTTTTTTTTCTTTAATAGATGGAAGTCTTGCTATGTTGTCCTGGCTGGTCTCGAATTCCTGGGCTCAGGCGATCCTCCCACCTCAGCCTCCTCAAAGTGCTGGGGTTACAGGGGTAAGCCACTGAGTCTGGCTAAACATTGATATTTTAAAATCTTATTTTTTCCCCTCCAGTAATGAGACCTAGGCTTTGAAGGGCTGACAAGGTCTTAGGACATCTCATTTGCAGAAAGTTCATTTGTTCTCTTCGTGGGCTCCATTTAAAGGAGAACCTTGTAGATTCCTAAAGTTAAAGTTCATGTTTTTGCTTATTTCATAAGTTTGTGGCCAGTGGGTGACTCACACCTGTAATCCCAGAACTTTGGGAGGCTGGAGCAGGTGGATCACCTGAGGTCAGAAGTTCGAAACCAGCCAGGCCAACATGGTGAAACCCTGTCTCTACTAAAAATACAAAAATTAGCCGGGTGTGGTGACGTACACCTGTAATCCCAGCTATTCGGGAGGCTGAGACATGAGAATCGCTTGAACCCTGGGGGCGGAGGTTGCAATGAGCCGAGATTGTGCCATTGCACTCCAGCCTGGGAAACAGAGTGAGACTCTGGTCTCAAAAAATAAAAAATAAAAATAAAAATAAATAAAATCTCATTTCTTCCCCTCTAGTAAGGAGACCTAGGCTTTGAAGGGCTGACAAAGTCCTAGGAAACCTCATTTCCAGAAAAGTGCTCCTGCGTAACGCTGCAGAAAATTCATTTTGTTCTCTTCATGGACTCCATTTAAAGGAGAATCTTGCAGAATTCCCAAAGTGAACGTTCATGTTTTCACTTATTTCATAAGTTTGAGAACCAGGTCTAACCTCATATTTCCCAAATGTTCTCAGACACTTAATCCTTCCCCATCACTTTCCCACTGACAGGCTTTGATTCACTACTGTGTCATAAAAAATCCTGAATGATGGCCACAGTGTTCTGGTACGTGATGTCAGACACGTGGGCCAGAGGGGGCATCTCGAACCAGGAAGCCAGGGTTTCCACAGAGTGAGACTGACCTCCAAAAGGGGTCCGGGAGTGGGGGGCAGCAGATGAGTGGCAAAGATGGGACAGTGGGAGGGAGAGACCCATGGAACCACCACCACCCACACTGCCCACCCACCTAAGCAGTGAGCTCCCACCCACTCCACCACCCCATACAGGCCTAGGCTCGCAATGAGGAAAAGGAGACAAAAAGCATAGTTGAAAGCAGGAAAGCTGGAGATACGGCAGCTGCTAGGAGTCAGCCTGATGCAGAGAAGGAGGCACCCTTCCTAGTCCTCAAGGGCATGCAGTGGGGGCCTAGAAAGATGACCAGGACACAGTCCTCCAGGACACGGGGCGCGCCCTGCCAAAGCCCGCCGTGAGCTTGGCGTTCCCTGCTCAAATGCCTTCTGTGGCTTCCTGGGGGCCATCGATAAGACCACCCAGGGCTCCCCAGAACCCTGACCTGGCATGCTGACGTTCCCCTAGTGTCCCCAGAGAACAGGGTCCCCTCCTTTCCCCTCGGACCTCGCCACAGGCTGTTCCTTCTGCTTGGAAACCTTTCCTTTCTCTCTTCCAAAAAATGTTCTGATGCCACTTCCCCAGCTCCCTCCCTGCTCCTCCTGCCTCACCTCATAAGAGATGGGAACCTGTGTGCCCAGCTCAGTGAGTGGCTGCGTGGCAGCTCCCCTAGTCTGGGCACAGGGTTGGTGCCGTCTCCCCATGGGCTGTGAACTCCAGCAAGGACTGTGTTTTGCTCACTATGAATTTCCCAGAACTTTGCAGGGTCCTGGGGACATCACAGGCATGTAGTCAGCGCTAGTAAATTAAAGAATAGCTGGCCACAGTGGCTCACACCTGTAATCCCAACACTTTGGAAGGCCGAGGTGGGGGGATCACTTGAGCCCAGTACTTTGAGACCAGCTTGGGCCACATAGTAACACCCTGTCTCTCCAGAAAAAAAAAAAAAAGTTAGCTGGGCATGGTGGCGCACACCTGTAGTCCCAGCTATTTGGGAGGCTGAGGTGGGAGGATCACTTCAGGCCAGAAGTTCGAGCCCAGCCTGGGCGACAGAGCAAGACCCTGTCTCATTAAAAAAATAAAAAGAAAGAAAGAAAATACTGGGCACGTGGAGAAGCAAGCGCTTGCCCAAAGACTGATTTTCTGGTTATCTGGCGGGTTAATAAGAAACACTGCGTGTTCAGGAATCTCTACACAGGGCAGCTGGCAATGCCTTCCCATCTTGGAGATTAGGGCCGAATGAACAGAAGGAAACCTCTTGGCCAGATCTCACGGCGTATGGTGGCTGTGTTTATTTATGGTGTGGTTTTCTCACCACGAGGGTGGATCTTGGTCCCCAGTACCCTGAAGAAGAGAGGATGTTCCGGGTCTAGGAGAGGAAAGAGGTGTCTACAGCATGGTGTGGAGGGAAGGGTACTGAATTTCTGATCCAAGGGACCAGCGTGAACACGGATTCCCACTGCCTGTCGGGTGAACAGAATCTGGAGTCTGTAAGATGGGCGCAACGCCACCTCCTCTGCTGTTTCCCACAACGCATACAGGGATGCAGAGCGGTCTGCTGTGGCTGTCGCTCCAGCTCCCTTGGCCCCACAGATGAGGGCAGAGAGGCAGCAATGAGTCCCAAATTGGGAGAAGAATGAGCATGCTTGGAAAACAGCTTTGTGCACCTAAACTCCTAAAATCATAGTGCTTTTCCTGGGTAGGTCACATTTTCCACCAAAATCAGAGGGCAGGAAAAGACCTGGTTCACTTCCAGTTGCCATAGTTTATACGAGACAATGTCTGGCTACTACAAAACGAGGGAGAGAGGTTCTGAGCCCCCCACCCAGAGACACAGCCTTGGGTAGGTCACCTGGCTCTCACCCTCCCCAGCTGAGTGATCCAGGCAAGTGATTTAATGTAAAATGGGGACACCCTCTGATACATACTTCATAGAGCTGCTATGAGGATTAAGTCACATAAAACGCCCAGTGCAATGAGCGTGGATGTCAGTTTCTCTTCCTCTTGCTATTCAATCTGACTCCACCTCGTATAAAGATTACGTGCCCATGTTCCTTTAATTCTCAAAATGGGGCCAGGCGCAGTGGCTCACGCCTGTAATCCCAGCACTTTGGGAGGGCAAGGCAGGGGGATCACCTGAGGTCAGGACTTTGAGACCAGCCTGGCCAACATGGTGAAACCCCATCTCTACTAAAAATACAAAAATTAGCTGGGTGTGGTGGTGGGCGCCTGCAATCTCAGCTACTTGGGAGGCTGAGGCAGGAGAATCGCTTGAACCCGGGAGGCAGAGGTTGCAGTGAGCCAAGATCACACCACTACACTCCAGCCTGGGCAACAGAGTGAGACTCTGTCTGAAAAAAAAAAAAAAAAAATTCTCAAAATGTTATTATACATTTGATATGTATCAGTATTTCTTGATTCTGAGAGATCATTTGATATTAACTCCCAATCACGGAAATTCAAGTGAAACTTACAAGCTGCGGCCTTTCCATGGAAATGCTATTCTCTTGAATCTGTTCAGCACACCCCCAGAAAATGAACAGAAGTACAGTACTGACTTAGGGTAGACAGTAGGGGTAAAAAGGGACAGAGGCGGAGACAAAATTTCTCAGTATATAAACATACAAATTTTATTTTTTTGGAGACAGGGTCTCACTGTGTTACCCAGGCTGGAGTGCAGTGATGCAATCACAGTTTACTGCAGCCTCGAACTCCTGGGCTCAAGCAATCCTCCCGCCTCAGCCATCTGAGTAGCTGGGATTACGGGCGCGTGCCACCATGTCCAGCTAATGTGTGTGTGTGTGTGTGTGTGTGTGTGTGTGTTTTGTAAAGACACGGTTTTGCCATGTTACTCCTGAGCTCAAGTGACCGCCCCCCACCTCAGCCTCCCAAAGTACTGCCATTACAGGTGCGAGTGACCGGACCTGGCTAAAATTTTGATTTTAGACCAAGTGAACACGTTACCTATTCAGAAAATAAGATTGAATAAAAAATTATAATTTGGTCTATGAGTATAAAAGCTACGCGTACAAAGTTTTCCTACAAGCCTTTTTTATAAATCTCTCAGGACTGAGAGATTTCCATCAAGAATCAAGAATTTGTTTTTTTGTTTTTCACCCCGTCACAAACCCACTCTGCGAAGATGAAAATGCCAGATGTATCCAACAAGCATTGCACTCCATAGAATACTTGCTAGACGCTCATTTAAACGGTGAGATGTGAGAGACGCTGTCTCGGAGACGCATAATGACATGTAAGGCGGAGCAGGTGCCGGGGCAGGCCACGTGGCCGGCTCTGTGGCAGGGAGAGGGGAGGATAATTCTCAGCCCTAACGAGAAGGGCTCTGCTTTATGGATTACTCAAACCACATGACATTACTGATATTTGACCATTTTTGAGCTACAAAAAAATGTCCGTTTTATAAGCAGTATTCTTTACTGCTCTGTTGTGGCTGTTATCTCAAAACAACACATAATTCTGCCTGCCAGGCTCAGCCTTGTAGGCACACGCAGTGCTCCCCACTACAATCTTCGGCTCTGCAAGGAGCCCAAAGGACCCTAATTCCCCCGACCCAGCCAGCCCCCTAGGGTACGGTTCTTGGGGTCTGCTCATCTCCATTTGCCTGGGTTCCCCATAGCTTTCTCCCGGCCATCTTGCCTCCTGTTAAAGTGGGACCTCCCCCGCCACCACCCGCCTTGTGTAGGTCACTTGTTTTCTACCTCCTGTGTTCCCCCATACCAGGATGGGGAGGGGCTACTGAGGTCTGGCCGGCTGCTGACCCTGCCCCTCCTCTTGGCCTCGGGGTCAACCAGGGAGAGAGGCAGCCACAGGTGGTTTGCTGATCTGGTCTTACAGATAAGGAAACCGAGGCTTCGCATGAATGTGACTCACCACTGAAACAAATGCCCGGGAAACAGGCCCCTTGACTTCATGCCTTCTATTATTCTTTTTATACTTAGCATACATCATGAGACATATGGGAACTTGTTAAAATTAAGAAACATCAGCCATTAAAATTAAGAAATATCAGAGGGGTGTGGTGGTGCACAACTGTAGTCCCAGCTACTCGGGAGGCTGAGGCGGAAAGAGCCCACGAGTCCTGCCTGGACAACACAGCAAGACCCCATCTCTTAGAAAATTAAAAGATGCCCATGAAGGTTGATTTGGGCAGTTGATGGCTAAGATATTAATTCCTCTGCCCAGCTCGATGGCACTGCCCCACTGCTCCGTCTGCAGGACAGAAGACGGATGTCAAAGACAACAGACAGGTCCCAACTCCGCACAGCTGCATCCGGCACAGAGAAAGACTTGGGAGATTTGTAGTGGGTTGACCCTCCAACCAATTAATTGGCTCCAGGGACCAACTAATGAAATGAGAGGGATGAATGGGAACTGCACTATCCAAAATGGTAGCCAGTGGCCACATGTGGATTACATTTCATCTAAGTTAAATTTAAAATTTGTTCCCTCCATTCCAGCTGCCATACTTCAAGGGCCCAACAGTTACATGTAGCTAGTGGCAATTATATTTGCTGGGGCGGGTAGAGACCATTTAATCAACACAGAGAGTTCTAGGGACAGTGCTGGCCTCCAATGACCCCCAGGTCCTGAGGATAACGCTATTAACCATTGCAAGGGAGGTACCGCCCCATTTCACAGACTGAGGAAGCTGATGATCAGATGACTGACCGGCTTTGTCGAAATCATAGCAGGAGAGGTAGGGCCTGGATTTGAATCCAGATTCGGCCGACTGTCCAACTGAGGCTCTCTGCAGAACACCATGCCACCATCTCTTCCCCATGCCTCTAGCTGAATGCAATTCCCTGTCTCCATGAAACAGGGGGCGAGGTCATCAGTGAAAAACGAGACGGGGCAGGGAAACCGTTGTGGCTGAGTCTCAAAATAGTCCTGCCACTGCCAAAAGGAATAGCTCTGATCTCATCTGCGCTGGTAAAAATGTTTTCCTCCTAAAGTATTTGTTTCAGAAATAAGCCTTTAATTTGAATGCTTTCAGAGCCAACATTTCTGTCTGCTGAAAATATTTATTTCTATTGTTTGGCAGGAATCAATTTGTTAGGGCACCAGCCATTCTGGCAAGGGCTCCCTTCCCCTTCGCGAGGAGAACACTGGCAGGGAAGCCACCCGCGGGCCTGTGGCTCACTCCCTGTTGGGGTTTCTCAGCCACTAACATCTGCCCGGGCAGACACGGGCTGCTGGGGAACAAAACAAACCACCTAGTGTGTGTGTGCCCGGGACATATACGCTTTGGGGGGTCCCTGGGAACGTACAGCTGGGCCTGGTGGGCCACTGGCTGCTTATAACTTGCAGAATTAAAATAGATTTTGTGGCCAGGCACAGTGGCTCACACCTGTAACCCCCGCACTTTGGGAGGCCGAGGCAGGTGGATCACCTGAGGTCAGGAGTTCGAGACCAGCCTGGCCAACATGGCAAAACCCTGTCTCTATTAAAAATACAAAAAAATAGCCGGGCGTGGTGGTGCAAGTCTGTAATCCCAGTTACTCGGGAGGCTGAGGCAGGAGAATCGCTAGAACCCTAGGGGCGGAGGTTGCAGTGAACCAAGTTCACACCACTGCACTCTAACCTGGGCGACAAAGCAAGACTCCGTCTCAAAAACAAATAAAAACAGATTTTGCTTAATTATTTTGCAAGTAGAAGAAGGCTGGTGACCCAATATTGGGTGATTTTTTGTATAGCCCTGTTTCTTCCAGAGCTGGGCCCGCCCTACCCAGGGGCATTACTGGGCCCTAGGAAGCAGTAGGGGCATTTGGGGTAGACCAGGTTCCATCCTGGATTCAGCAGCTTCTTGTTATGGGAACTTGAGCAAGTCACCAAGACTTCCTGAGCATCGATTTTCCCATTGGTAAAATATACCACCTACCTCACCTCCCAGGGTCGTTGGAAAACTATGTGATATATAAACAGAACAAGACATACTCTTCTAAGTTAAAAAAAAGTTCCAGAGAGATAGTAGTTATCATTGTTAGATTCTTCAGTGATTAAGTATCCTGCAACTTACACACATTAGCTCCTTTTCCCATATGCTCTGGGGTTCGGATGGGAGGTGGTGCCTAAGAGAAGGATCCTGCAAGTTAAAAGCTATCACAGTTATAGGTGAAGTGCTAATAACTTCATTTTGAAACTGTCAGGTTTGGCTTTTTTTTTTCTTCTTCTGAATCACAGCTGTGGCTTGCACTAGACCTC